>NC_000001.11:60765956-61068986 GCF_000001405.40 Homo sapiens | reverse complement strand
CCTACCCATCTCCCGCCCACTGTAAAATGTAAATATTGTCAGCCCTGCTTACCTCATGTGGCTTGGTGAGGATTCAATAAAATCATGAATGTAAAACTGTTCAAAATATGTAAGTTTCTATTCCCTCAATACCTCTACCACCAACAGTTGTTAATAGAGGACTATATATAACAAATAATTTGAATTTTTAGCTAGTCATATTTATCCTGCCTGTATTTTATAGGTTTTGGAGTAGAGGTGTGTACACATACATACACAAAGTCTATCAAGATAAAAATGAGGTGAAATTGAGAGTAAGATTCAAAACATATGCAATAAGATTCCATTTACTTTGCTAGCATTGACTTAAAATTTGACTTTGAGTTTCCTAATAATTTAAAGAGGAAAAACTAAAATTTATGAAATACACAATGTCCATGTGATTATAAAATTCAAGGCCAGGGAAGGTGACTCACTATAATCACAACATTTTGAGAGGCTGAGGTGAGAGGATCACTTGAACCCAAGAGTTTGAGACCAACCTGGGCAACGTGGCGAAACCTTGTCTTTACAAAAAATACAAAAAATTAGCCAGGTATGGTGGCATGTGTTTGTAGTCCCAGCTACTTGGGAAGCTGAGGTGGGAAGAATCACCTGAGCCCAGGAGGTCAAGGCTGCAATGATCGGTGATTGCACCGATCCCCAGCCTGGATGACAGAGCAAGACCTTGTCTTGAAAATAAATGAAGAAATTAGCTGGGCCTGGTGGCTTGCACCTGTGGTCCCGGCTACAAGGAAGGCTGAGAATGAGCCCAGGAGGTCCAGGGTGAAGTGAGCCGTGATTCTGCCACTGCATACCAGCATGGGTGGGAGAGCAAAACCCTGTCTACAAAACCCCCCCCCCGCAAAAAAAAAAAAAAAAAAAAAAAAACAAGAAAACCCACAAAATTCAAGAAAGTTTATTCGAAAGCAACAGAGATGTTCTGAGGTCTGAGAAAATTTACCATGTAACCTCCCACTACCACCTTCACCACTGCCACACAGACCTGGGTTGTCATGAAGAAAACAGTCTTGACTGTGATGCACTGAACCATTTACTCCAGCCCTGGATGAGAGTCCAGCCAACATAAGGACAGAGGGAGTGGGAAGGATGGGAATCTTCTCAAATGACTATTCTCAATGAATATTCTCAAATGACTCAAATGACTCAGCTGTAGCTTGAGTGCTATGGGCTAATGGAAAGGCCTAGAATTCAGCAGCAAAGAAGGGACAGAACTAGTTGGCATTGACCCCTCCGCCCCTATGGTTTTTCATACTTACTCTAATATTCCTAAGATCACATTACACCTCCCAAAAATAGTACAGAGGGGAAGGAAGCAGAAACTGGACAATCCAGTTGGTGTGGACGCTATGGCTTCAGACTCTTCCAATCTCTTTCCTTTGGCTCTCTGGCCTGTCCTGACGTCTTTCTTGCGTAAGGTGACTCAAAATGGGGTCAGCAAAGGGAGCTCTAACAAAGGAAGTTGTAGAATTGGGTTATTGCTGTTTGATACAAGTAACAGTAAGTGGGTATCTTGCCTCAAAGCTCTGTTAATAGCCTAAGAACCAGGACTTCAGGGCAACTGAAATCATTACCGAAAAAAAAAATGTATTGTGGGTCAGAATAGGAGATAAGGTAAAGTCTGACACTGTACTGGTGGAAAATGACAATCTTTGTGTGTGAAAAAATATATATAACATAACATTTACCATTTTTACTTTTTTTAAAATTTGAGATGGGTTCTGTGTTGTTCAGGTTGGAGTGCAGTGGTTCAGTCATAGCCTTTGTGGGTCAGAATAGGAGATAAGGCAGTCTGACCCTGTACTGGTGGAAAATGACTGTGTGTGTGTGTGTGTGTGTGTGTGTGTAAATATATATAACATAACATTTACTATTTTTACTTTTTTTTTTGTTTGAGACAGGTTCTCTGTTGTCCAGGTTAGAGTGCAGTTGTTCAATCGTAGCTCACTATAACCTCAAACTCAGCCTCTTGTATTTTAAATATATAAATATATATAGATGTGTGTGTGTGTGTGTATATATATATATATATATATATATATATTTTTTTTTTTTTTTTTTGAGACGGAGTCTCACTCTGTCTCCCAGGCTGGAGTGCAGTGGCGCGATCTCGGCTCACTGCAAGCTCCACCTCCTGGGTTCACGCCATTCTCCTGCCTCAGCCTCCCGAGTAGCTGGGACTACAGGCGCCTGCCACCACGCCCGTCTAATTTTTTGCATTTTTAGTAGAGACAGGGTTTCACCGTGTTAGCCAGGATGGTCTCGATCTCCTGAACTCGTGATCCATCAGCCTCAGCCTCCCAAAGTGCTGGGATTACAGGCGTGAGCCACCACACCCGGCCTTAAGTATTTTTAGATGTAAGTTGAATGGCATTAAGTAGATTCACAAAGTTGTCCAACCATCACCACCATCCATCCCCAGAACTTTATCATCTTCCCAAGCTGACTCTGTATCCATTAAATAACTCCTCGTTTCCTACTTCTCTTAGCACCTGGCAATCACTACTCTACTGTCTGTCTCTATGAATTTGATAACTCTAGGTACCTCATGTAAGTTGACTCTTACAGTTTTTTTCCTCCTGTGACTGGCTCATTTCACTTAGCATTATGTCTTCAGGGTTCACACATGTTGTAGCTTATGCCAGAATTTTCTTCCTTTTTAAGGCAGAATGTTTCATTGACTGAACATATATATATATGCACATATATACATACATATGTGTGTGTGTGTATATATATGTTATAGTAAGCTATGTTTTATATATATACATATGAAACATTTTGGCTGGGCGCAGTGACTCACGCCTGTAATTCCAACAGTTTGGGAGGCTGAGGCAGGTGGATCACTTGAGGTCAGGAGTTTGAGATCAGCCTGGCCAACATGGCAAAACCCCATCTGTACTAAAAATACAAAAATTAGCCAGGCGTGGTGGTGTGCATGTGTAGTCCCAGCTACTCAGGAGGCTGAGGCAGGAAAATCAGTGGAACCTGGAAGGCGGAGGTTGCAATGAGCCAAGATCACGCCACTGCACTCCAGCCTGGGTGACAGAGCAAGACTCCATCTCAAAAAACAAAAACACAAAAAACAAAGCAATAACAACAACAACACACACACACATTTTGCTTCCAAACCTTTTTGGCTGTTGTGAATAATGCTGCTATGAGTATGGATATATAAATATCTCTGAGACCCTGCTTTCAATTATTTTGTATATGTATATACCCAGAAGTGGAATCATTGGATCATATGGCTATTTTTAATTTTTGAGAAAAAAACAATAATCTTAATTTCTTATTGGAGAAAAATATTGAATGAATTATTTAATGACTTGTTGCATTTATGGAGTTGATTTCATGGGCCTCAGGAAGCTCAGATTCTAGTCCCCATAGTCCCGTTAGCTGTGTGGTCTTCAGAAGTCATTTGAGCCCCGACATGGTGGCTCATGCCTGTAATCCCAGCATTTTGGGAAGCCAAGGTGGTGGATTGTTTGAGCCCAGGCATTTGAGACCAGCTTGGACAACATGGCAAAACCCTCTCTCTATTAAAAAAAAAATTAACTGGGAGTGGTGGAGTGTGCTTGTAGTCTCAGCTACTTGAGGGCTGAGGTGGAAAGACTGCTTGAGCCTGGAAGGCAGTCAGCTGAGATCTCACCACTTCATTCCAGCCTGGGTGACAGAATGGGACCCCATCTCAAAAAAAAACAAAAAAAGTCACTCGAATTGTCAGGACCACTCTGGGTTTCCTCATCTGTAAAGTATCTTTCAACTAATGGATATCTAAAGTTGTTATTAGAAATTCCATAGGTCTATAGTTACGCATAATAGAACAATATGGTATATGCATTCATCCGTTCATTTCTTCATTCATTTCAGGAATACTTTATGAACGCTGGAGCAGGTTTTTTTCTCAACCAGAAATAAGAGTTACCAGGAACTATGGGAATTGGGAGGAGGAAGGCTGGAGTGGAAAGAAGAAATAAACTGGACTGAAAACTAGTGGGAGAGGAGGTATCAAGATGAGGCTGAAGGGGTAAATATGAGTCAGAACATTTGACCATAGTGATCAACTTCAAGACTATAGACTGTATCCTGACAGCAATGTAGAGTCATTGAAAGGTTTAAAGAAGGTGGTAATAAGATGAGTTTTTTTTTTTTAGAAAAATCAGTCTGACAGCAGTGTAAAGATTGGATTGCAGGGTTTCAGAAAAAAGCTACCTTTAATTTCTTTCCTCCACTATCTCATGTTTTCTTTTCTTTTTTTTTTTTTGAGATGAGTCTTGCTCTGTTGCCCAGGCTGGAGTGCAGTGGCGCGATCTCCACTCACTGCAAGCTCTGCCTCCCGGGTTCATGCCATTCTCCTGCCTCAGCCTCCCAGTAGCTGGGAATACAGGCGCCCGCCACCACGTCCAGCTAATTTTTTGTATTTTTAGTAGAGACGGGGTTTCACAGTGTTAGCCAGGATGGTCTTGATCTCCTGACCTCGTGATCTGTCTGCCTCGGCCTCCCAGAGTGCTGGGATTACAGGCATGAGCCACCATGCCCGGCCTTCTCTTTTGTTTTACATATGGAAATGTTAGTCAAGATGTCCCAGAGCCTAACATGGAACAAAAGACATTTATATCTAACTTATTTCATCTTGGTAAACAATACCATACTATACTTTTTACAGTGAAAAATGTTTGGTCACCATTTTATTGTGACCAAAACTTTGAAACTACTCGGCTGAACTCACTGTGGTTGGTAATGTATGCACATCTTCAGGTCTTTAGTCTGCCAGTTAATATTTTAGGGCTATAACATTAGAGCAATTTAGAAAAAAAGTTCTAACTGGGCGCAGTGGTTCACACCTGTAATCCCAGCACTTTGGGAGGCAAAGGTGGGAGGATCACTTAAAGCCAGGAGTTTGAGACCAACCTGGGCAACAAAGTGAGACTCTCATCTTGCTTGAACCCAGGAGGCTGAGGCTGCAGTGAGCTGTGATCGCGCCACTACACTCCAGCCTGGGTGACAAAGTGAGACCCAGTCTCAATTTAAAAATAGGGCTGGGCGCAGTGGCTCACGTCTGTAATCCCAACACTTTGGGAGGCTGAGGTGGGTGAATCACTTGAAGGCAGGAGTTCAAGACCAGCCTGACCAATATGGTGAAATCCCCGTCTCCACTAAAAATACAATTAGCCAGGTGTGGTGGCGTGTGCCTGTAATTGCAGCTACTCAGGAGGCTGAGGCAGGAGAATCACTGGAGCCCGGAGGTGGAGGTTGCAGTGAGCTGAGATAGCACCACTGCACTCCAGCCTGGGAGACAGACTGAGACTCCATCCAAAAAAAAAAAAAAATTAGTTAAAATAAATACAATAATAAGAAAAAAGTTCTGATGGGAAATTGTTATCCTCTTTATAACATTAAATAATTAAATATCCCATATTAATGTAATACCTTATATTTTATGGAAAAACTTTAGAAAATATATATTTTATTAAGTGGAATTTTTTTCTTAATTGGGATGCCAAAAGTCTAATTCTGACTTTATATATTATTATTTATATAAATAACATGGTATTATAAAATCATAAAATTACAGGGATACCGTTTTCCTTTTTAATATACCTATTATTTTCTTTACTCTGCAAGTTAAGAGTTGTGCTG
Source organism: Homo sapiens (assembly GCF_000001405.40). Taxonomy (NCBI): domain Eukaryota; kingdom Metazoa; phylum Chordata; class Mammalia; order Primates; family Hominidae; genus Homo; species Homo sapiens. The sequence continues at coordinate 61,063,304 of NC_000001.11, read as the reverse complement.
CATCAGCAGAGCTGGGTACCTATGGAAACAATGAATGATCCCTGAAGGCCATTATGTTTTATGGGCCAAGAAAAAAAAGTTGGTTTCTATCTTAGATCACATGAATGCAGAAATAAGTTGTTTGGAAAAAAACTCTCTGGGTTTTAATATGCAAGAATAATATTTTGGTTTCCTGTAGATATTAAGATTCATTCCATCAGCAATACCTTGTTCAGTAAAATAATGCTGGAAAGAATGGCATTTACCTTCAATAAATTTTGGCAGTTTTGGCATAATTTTTATGTTTACCAAGGAAAGAAAACAAAAATGGGAACAAGTAGAACCAATTATAAAGAGTGCTTTAGTTTGGCGAGGATGTTCTAAATGGCCAGTTTGTTGTAAGCAGGGCCAGGCTGAAAGCTGAAAAATGAAAGTTTGTTAGGTCCTTAGTATGTTTATAGTATACTGAAAAAAGAAGTACTTTTTAAAGAAAGAGACCAAAGAATGGTGAATGTTTCTGGTTTTAACATTATCCTATTAGTTTGCTAGTCCTTGCAGGAGCCATAAAATTGACAATAAATCAAACATATTTTAATTTGTCAGGAGATGGCAGATAGAAAAGAAATTCCCAACTTGTCTTCTGCCAAAGTATTTCTACTAGCCCTATCTGCTACCAAAATTTATACTTCCTAACGTTTTTTTAAAAATAAATTGAACTATCGAGTTTGTAAAATATTTACTGAATGTTATTGGTGTGCCAGGTATTACACTGGGTTCTGGGCATACAGGAAAAGTAAGGGGCAAGCTGGTCTTTAAAAACAGCAAGTGATTCTCCACAAGGCTAGATTACCTTATTTTCCATAAGGCCAGAGCATAATAGCCTTTTCCGGGTCGCTAACAACATTCGACACATGACTTTGCACCAAATAATGGGTTGCGTTCTACCTCACTTCTCTCTTTCCAAATCCAGTTTCATAGTTAGTAGGACTATCTTTTGGAATTCTTATTTGAACATCAGATTACAGTAAATCCTATGTCCTGATGTGACAGCATAATATTCAAGTAAATTCTGAAAATGTAATATGTGTGATACTTGCTTCAACCCATGTTAAAAATAATTATTAATATTCAATTTCATTTCTCAAAGTCGGAATTTGAGAAGACAATTGAATTTTATGTTACCAATAATTGAAATGCTAATTACAAGAAGTGCTATTTAAAGAGTTTGATTTTTTTTTTTTTTTTTTTTTTTGAGACTGGGTCTCACTGCATCACTCAGGCTGTGCAGTGGCACGATCATGGCTCACTGCTGCCTTGACTTCCCAGGTTTAGGTGATACTCACACCTCAGCCTCCCGAGTAACTGGAACTATAGGTGAGCACTATCACACCTGGCTAACTTGTTGCTATTTTTCTTAGAGATGAGGTTTCACCATGTTGTTCAGACTGGTCTTGAACCCCTGGGCTCAAGCAATCCACCCACCTTGGCCTCCCAAAGTGCTGAGCTTGCAAATGTGAGCCACTATGCCTGGCCTGAATTTTTTTTTTTTTTTTTTTTTTTTTCTGAGACAGAGTCTTGCTCTGTTGCCCAAGCTGGAGTGCAATGGCGCCACCTCAGCTCACTGCAACCTCTGCTTCCTGGGTTCAAGCGATTCTCCTGCCTTGGCTTCCCAAGTAACTGGGATTACAGGTGCGCACCTCCCTAGTAGCTGGGATTACAGGGGCACGTCACCACACCCAGCTAATTTTTGTATTTTTAGTAGAGACAGGGTTTCACCATGTTGGTTGGGCTGGTCCTGAACTCCTGGCCTTGTGATCTGCCTACCTTGGCCTCCCAAAATGCTGGGATTACAGACTTGAGCCACTGTGCCCGGCCCGATTTTTTTTGTTTGTTTTTTAAGCATAGGTAGGAGAGAGTTTTTCTTAGTAGATAATAGCATTGACACAGACACCTGTTATTTCCCAAGCTAAATGTTCTTAATTGGAGAGGTATTGAAAGGCTTATAAAATGTATCCTCACCGGGCACGGTGGCTCACGCTTGTAATCCCAGCACTTTGGGAGGTCGAAGCAGGCAGATCATGAGATCAAGAGATCGAGACCATCCTGGCCAAATTGGTGAAACCCCATCTCTACTAAAAATACAAAAATCAGCCGGGCGTGGTAGCAGGCGCCTGTAATCCCAGCTCCTCAGGAGGCTGAGGTGGGAGAATTGCTTGAAACTGGGAGGCGGAGGTTGCAGTGAGCGGAGATGATGCCACTGCACTCCAGCCTGGCAACAAAGCGAGACTCCATCTCAAAAAATAAAATAAAATAAAATAAAATAAAATGTATCCTCTCTTTTTTTCTTTTGTAAATGTAAATGTAAATCTAAATGTGAATAATGACTCAATCTCATAGTTTTGTGTCTGTATTGCTTTTACATTGTTACCTGATCACCCCAGTTGTTTCAATTTCTTCAAAGCCTTTGCTTCCATTTTTTAAAAATGTAACATTGCATAATGTTACTTACTATTGTAAATTGTCTCCGTGTGTATGTTAGGTACAATAGTATGACTTTCATGGTCTATAGATAATATAATTATGTTAACTTTGATGTGCACCCAGTAAAAAACCCTCAGTTTTGTTTTTTTTTTTTACAATTGATAATATGAAAGCTTAACACATAAATCATAAGTTGAAAATTAAAAAGCACTTCATTGATAGAGCAATCCCAGTATGGTAAAATCTGAAGATTTTCCTATGATGTTTTATGTTGCTTTAAAAATAAGAACATAACCAATTAACTAAGAAAATACCATAGTTAATGTTTATACTATTCAGATATTTATTATTGTCATTAAACGAAGTGCCCAGTTTAGCAAAACGGTCTACAGCAGCAGCATATTAGGAATTTTACTAAACATTTTCTATAAGAAAGCTATTTTTGTGATTTCTTTTTTGCTTAAAAAAAATCTATACCAAGAAAGTTTATAAAAATTAACTCTGTGGTCTGACTATAGTCTCTGTAATGGTGAATCATGGTTCTACTGAGGATATCACAAAGAGTTTTAATTCTGATAGAATTTAGGGGAGTATTTCATGAGTTTAGGGCCTTGCTTAATGACCAACAAAGGCTTATTTGTTAGTTTTCATATGTTCATATTTTAATTTAAACATTTTGGTATCACTTTTGTAGCTATAAGTCAGAATCACATCAAACTCTGAGGCCCTGGAATGTGAGTCTTTAAGAAAAAAGACAGTGGAAGTTTTGGTGCCTGGGAGACAGTATGGGTTTCCTTTGAGTTGGTAGGTAGGCCGCCTTTCTGTGGACCTAGATGTTGACCTACTTCCATTTGTCTCTTCTGTAATGGCTGAATTAAAATATCCGGCTGGGGTGGTGGCTCACACCTATAATCTCAGCACTTTGGGAGGCCGAGGTGGGTGGATCACCTGAGGTCAGGAGTTCAAGACCAGCCTGGCCAACATGGTGAAACCCTGTCTCTTCTAAAACTACAAATATTAGCTATGTGGTGATGGGCGCCTGTAATTCCAGCTCCTCATGAGGCTGAGGCATGGCTATAATTTCTCCTAAAAAGGAGTATTTTTTCACATCATGGACAATGCAGGCCTACTTTATCAAGTTGAAACCAGGAATCACTTGAACCCAGGAGGTGGAAGTTGCAGTAAGCCAAGATTGTGCCATTGCACTCCAGCCTGGGTGACAGAGCGAGACCTCTCTCAAAAAAAAAACAAAAAAAAACTCATCAAGTTATGGTAACATGAAAGTTGTACAGTTTTACAAATTATGAGTTGTGAAACAGTACCCCAAACACAGGACCGATTAAGTATGTTTTAAATGTTGGAGAAAATGAGGTTGTTGGTGGTGAGTTCATTTGGGCTCATTTTCACTATTTTAGAAGCACATTTTTAAAAAAAGCTGTCTTTTGGCCAGGCACAGTGGCTTACGCCTGTAATCCAGGCACTTTGGGAGGCTGAGGTGGGCAGATCACTTGAGGTCAGGAGTTCGAGACCAGCCTGGCCAACATGGTAAAACCCTGTCTCTACTAAAAATACAAAAATTAGCTGGGCATGATGGCACATGCTTGTAATCCCAATTACTTGGGAGGCTGAGGTAGGAGGATTGCTTGAACCCAGGAGGCAGAGGTTGCAGTGAGCTGAGACTGCACCACTGCCCTCCAGCCTGGGCGACAGAATGAGACTCAGTCAAAAAAAAAAAAAAAGCTATATTTCAACTATGTTGTAATAGCTTACTCCACTGGGTATATATTCACATTTAACTGAGATGGATTTTCACTGTGTTGCTACATCTAGCTTTTTAATTTCTCCTAAAAAGGAGTATTTTTTCATATCATGGACAATGCGGGCCAACTTTATCAAATACATTAAGGTCATCAGTTTGGCCTCTTTCCAATCTCTCCCTTCTGTTCAAGAAAAATGGGGTCCTCTTGCCCCTGGTATCTGCAGGTTGGGATTTCATATAACAATGAGGACTGCAGAACTAACTGGGAGGGATGGATCACCCTCTTTCTTTCTTCTTGGCAGTTACTCATTTGCAATCCGCTCTGCACTAAACCCTTTAAGGCTACATATAAACTTTGGGAAAGTTACATCACTGTAAACAAAGATATGCTGCTTAAGTTATTATTATGCAATACTGTGTCATTACTCACACATTCACACTGCAATTATCTTCCCAATTTGACAAATACCACTATGGCTCTGTAGTCAGCTTCAAGAGAGGTAAAAACCTAGGATAAATATGTCAATGCCATCTTTATGAATGGAAAAGTTTTCCCACCCCCTCAAAAAACATTCAGGTTTTGTCCTGCAAACAAAGTTGGGTGGCACAGCTGACCCTCAAGTCTTTGGAATCCCACTTTTTAAATGTAAATTATGTCTGGTGTGATCCATATGCTCAGCTACAGAAAATAGCAATTCAATAATAAATATATGAAAGTAAAATTCTGTATGTGTTTTTAAATAAACTCACAGGCATCAACACACATTTCTAGAAATTAATTTGTAAATTAGCCACCTTCCTCCAAAAATTAAAAAAAAAACAACTGTCTGTAACTATTGAGTTGTGTCTGCCCCAGGTGATCTCTACCAGATCTGGTAAAGAGATTGCCTCCTGCTGCTGTTCAGCCACTGCATGGGTTGGTGTTTAAGAAGACAAATCAAACATATTCTGGACATATATTTATTAAAAATTTGATAACTAGACAAAAAGTATCAGTTTTAAAAGAAAAAAATTGGTAACTACTGTCAGAAGAAAAAAGCGAGTGAAAACAAATGACCGGCACAAGTGCCTATGACAATTTCTCTCCCTGGACTGTTGCAGAGCTGACGAGGTGGAGGTGGGTGAGGGAGGGAGGGACAGAGGTAAGAAACAGATTAAAAGTGTCACTTCCGGCCAGGCGCTGTGGCTCACGCCTGTAATCCCAACACTTTGGGAGGCCGAGGCGAGTGGATCACCTGAGGTCAGGAGTTCGCGACCAGCCTGACCCACATGGTGAAACCCCGTCTCTACTAAAGTTAGCCAGACGTGGTGGCCGGCGCCTGTGATCTCAGCTACTCGGGAGGCTGAGGCAGGAGAATCGCTTGTACCCGGGAGGCGAGGTTGCAGTGAGCCGAGATCGCGCCATTGCAGTCCAGCCTGGGCGACAAGAGCGAAACTCCGTCTAAAAAAAAAAAAAAAAAAGTGTCACCTCCCCATCTGCAAAGGTCTGGCCTCCTGAAAGCTCAGGAAACGGTGGTGGCCATTTTCATTTTTTTTTTAAGGGAATAAAGGGGAAATAAAACAGAAAAGGTATATTTCCCTTCTTGCGCCAACAGCTCGGCTCCTCTCCACAAATAAAAAATATATTTTTTTAAAAAATCACAGGCACAAAACCCAATCCACACGCATCCTGTGAGGCTTCTGCTGTCAACTCGATTCCATTTGGCGAGTTGCACTAAAGGAGATAGATCTTGAAAAATCAACCCGTGCTCGCGCCCCCGCGCCTCCGCTGCCGCAGCCGCCGCAGCCGCCGCAGTGGCCACAAAATTAGCGGCTCCGAGGACATTTTTGCCGCAGTGCACGTCCGCCGTAACCACCGAGCACTCGGGTGAATAATGGAAGTACAGTGTGGAGACAATCAAGTTGATTTATCACGCAAAACAATTCTCTGCTTCAGCCAGTTCTTGGTCCTGTCACTTTAAATCACAAACGCGCGCATACACAGATCCATAGGCGCCCACACATGCACGGTACACGTGTGTGTGAGAGTGTGTGTGTGCGCGCGCGTGTGTGTGTGCGCGCGCGCGCGTCAGAGCCAAGTGGAATGATTCCAGATTGCTTCACGTATATGAAGCGGGGGGGAAGCGCCCGTCACCCCAACCCCCTACCCCAACCTTTTGCAGCCTGGACAAGTGGTCTGTAATGCAGCTTGGCGCAAAATAAAGTCTGAACAAAACTAGACTGTGAGACTAGCACGTCCTAGAGTGGAATTGACTGAGGTTAACGCAGAGTCTGTAAAGACTCTACAGACTCGGATCATTTGCAAGCAAACTAAAATTCCCTTTTTTAAAAAAGAAAAAAAATCATTAATTGGGTTCCGATCTAAAATACTGCTCTTAAAATGCGCTCACATGTTGAAGACTGAGATTGCAAGTTCTCGAGTAAACATCTGGTGAAGACATTCCAGGAACACATCTGAAAGGAAGAAAGGAGTAAGACAGCCCCTTCTTTATGTATCTTGGGCCAAAAAAGGGTTGTTAAAACTTTTTTTAAAGTGTGCTGTTAGTCTAAATACTTTTTATCAACTCTAAGGAGCAATCTGGTTTGGGGGAAGTAGACTGAACTGAGTGAACTGGAAATACGGAGTCCTGGGTTCCTTGTAAGCTCTGGCAAGTCTTTCTTTTTCTGTGCCCCCAACCCCCACCCCACCCTTTCCTCATCTGTAGAATTGCAGAGGGTAAATGATGTGGTTTCTAAAGTCTTTTTTTGCACAGACAATCCATGATTCTATTTAAGAGGGAATAATGATGGGGGAGGGGGTTAATGTGGAGAGAAAAAGAGGTCATATTCCTCAGGTGGCATCTGTTTAAACTGAAGGTGATGAAAGTGATGAGTCCAGTATGCATGCGTCCTTAACAATCAAGATTGTCTGTATTAACAGCTGTTATTGTCCTAGCTCTGCAATACATACAGTGTATGAGTGCTCTTTGAGAATGACAATTTAATCATATATTTTCTGGGGGAGGGGAAAAAGACCATTTTCAAGGACCAACCAAAAGGATATGGGGAATGGAACAATTTTCAATGTTCTTGTTTATTTATGATCTGTATATAAAATGCATTGAATCACTTGGATAGCTTATGGAAAGTAACTTTTCAGTGGGTAAGAGTTCTTCTATGCCAGGTTGGCTGTCTAGATGTACCAAATTAATGGGATTAATTACTTCCTGTCTACTTTTTTCAGAAAACAGCTCCAAGCAGGATCACATGCAGAGATCACTGTTCAAAACCCCTCTTGTCTGTGTAGTCAGTGGTCAAGAGCACAGGTGCTGCAGCCAAACAACTAGCTAGTTTTAACATGCACAGGCTAAGTAGTAGTAGGCAAATTACTTAGTTTATTTGTGCCTCAGTTTCCTACATTTATTAAATGGAGATTAAAACAGCAACTAATTCATAGGGCTGTTGTCAGAATTAAATGAGTTATCATATTAAAGTGCTTAGAGCAGAGCATGGCACATGTAGCAAACAGCTCAATGAATCTTAGAGGTTATTATTACTCCAATGTAAACACAGGGAAAGCAAGGTCAGATATAATAGGGGGATCTTTGAACTGCTCCTGGATTTCCACTGAGGCCTCTAAGCAGTTTATTTTATCTGGCTTTTATGATGTCAGTGTGAAGCAAGGAGCTCAGCAGTCTTTATTATTATTAAGAATAGGCCAGAACATTCCCTACCAAATCTGTTCCCATACATGGAATAGTTAAGCAACTATGGAGAATTCTCCACTTGACCAGATCAATGCTAATATGTAATGTTGGCTGTATATGTTAAGTGCATACTTATTAATGTGTGACTATCCAGGTGGCAGGAAGCCAAGGTTTCCTTTGGAGAGAAGTTTTCCAAGCCATGTTCCTGTTGCAATGCTTTCTTTCCTACACAACTTGTTACCTCAGGCCTAGTCTGTCACTGAATTATGAAGAAGTATAAACAATCCCAGGACTCAGGTATGCTCCCTTTGTGTCATTATTAGTTTAAACTGAAAGAAGGCCATCCTGAATTTCTCTTTCTCTTAAGGACCCCCAGAGTGCTGACTTGAACAAGGCTTTAGGAAGGGTCAAAGGAAGGAAATGCTTAAGGGAGCAATTCTGCTAGTGTTTGCAATTTGGGATTGGAGGCAAGCTGCAGTTAAACTTTATAGAGGAAGCAGAGATTAGGTGTTTCCAGAACAAGGTAGGCGCTGGCAGGCTGAGGTCATTGCTTGTTGGAAAGTAATGCCCCACTTCTTTCCTCCTTGCACTCTGCGAAGCCCCAGGTGCAGTAACTGTTTTACCAGGGGCCGGCAGAGAGACCGCCCCGTCGAGGGCAGGCAGGCCTGGGACGCCCAGTGTGGCATGGGACGCCAAGTTTAGTGGGTTGCAAGACCCGGGGTAAAGTTCTCCATTAGTAGAAAGCATCTTGCTGAGAGCGCCGAGAGAAACATTCATTCATTCCAAGCGCTGGGCGTGAGCGTAGGACTCCACTTGATCAATCTTACACAATTTTCAAAATAATGAATAAAAATAGAAGAGGGTGTGCTACCTTCTCCTCCACCTGCCTGTCTCCCCCTTGCTCGCTTGTGGGGCCAGGGTGAGACTTTTTAGCAGGCAAGAACTCCCCACCCCATCTTCACTATCACACTCGCACACACCCCTTCGAAAGAGGCGCTGTATCAGAAGGGAAATCTAAGGTACTCATACTTCAAAAAATTTCGGGAGCCCAAATCTGGCGGGCTTCATTTCTCGTCTGCAGCAACCTGGCACCCAGAAGTCGCGGGCGCTTGGCCTCGGAGCTCCTCCCGAGACCTCCTGCGTCCGGGTGGGGACACAGTGATTACTGTCCCTGGCAGCCCGCGGACTTTCCCAGTTTCAGAGCTTTTAGGGGAATTTGAGAGCAAATAAATTCAATTCTGCTCTCCATCGCCACCCACCCGGACCACGGGGATCTTCCACTGCAGGCCCTGAGAGGGACTGGAGTGAGGGCGGGTGCAGGGACCGAGCCTGAGGCGCAGGAGCTGCTCGGCAAGGTCACGACCGCGAGGCTGCAGGAGGCGGCTGTGGAGCGCTGCAACCGGGCGCCGCCCTCTGGCTCGGTGGCTGACCCCGCGCCGCGCCCCCTTATCTGTCGCCCGCCTGGCACATCCCAAGGGGAAGGAGGGGGCGACGCGGCAGAACCGATCCTTACTTTCGTGGTGGCAGCTGAAACCCGCCGGGCTCCTGGGCGAGTTGTCCTGGATCAGATGCCCAACACAACTGAACTTTAAATAAACGGGTTTCCTGCGCTGCCCCCTCTCCCTAACGGCGACCTGTGAGAAACCTTTGTCGCCTTCCCTTTGCGTCTTTGAGCCCCGGGAACCTAGCCCGGACGGCCTCGTTCTCCACATTAATTCGTGGTCCACCAGTTCAGCAGCCTGTCCTCTCAGCTTCTTCTAGGGTGGCTTATAATGAAGGTAGCAAGTTCAATGTTTTCTTGTTTTTTTTTTTTTTCCTCCTGGAGGGAGGATTATGTGAATTTAAAATCTCCTAGGCATTCAAAACCAAAACCAAAACCAACCAAACAAAAACAAAAAACAAACATAAACCAAAAACAACAACAGCAACAAAAATACTGTCTTCACTTAAGTGGATAGCGGAGTCAATCCAAGCCTTCCTTGGGCTAGTCTTGCTCAGACAGTGGAGTTCCTGAATCTTTCAGGAAAACAGAGCCCCTTTCACCCACTTCTGGAGGGGGACTTAATAAGACTGCAATATATTACCATGTTTAAAACGTTTTGCAGAAGCAAGATTGCCTAAAAACGACCTGCTGGCGATACACGGGAAAGCAAATCCGCTTACAGAGAGGGCCCGATCTGGAGGAAGAGGGGAGAAGGCAGGACCCAGCCCCAATTAAAACCCAGCACTTTCCAATTTTCGAAACACAGCACTCAATGCTGTGGGGCTACAGGATGGAGTGGTGACGGCCCCTGGAGCTGACAGGTTGCAGACCTTCCGGGCTGTTCTTTACTGCTTACTGGAAGTCTTCAGACTTCTTTTGGAGTAACCGTTCCCCTTTTGTGTTTTGTGGGCATGTGTTTGCACCCTGAATGAAGCTTGTCCCCACACTTGAAGTGGATAGCTCTTGTTCTTTAACTGGCAGTGAGTGGCCCTAGAGTGGGAATGTTAGTGCCAGTGCAGACTAAGGTGTGTGTTTGTGCCTGGTTTGTTGTCTCGGGGAAACCACCACCTTAATTGTTTTGTGCTCAAGGTGCCTGTGTTTTTAAAGTGAACTCAAGGGAAAAACTGCAGAGTTTGCAAGTTTTGTGATTCCTCAGGCCAGGAGAGCCTGTGAAGGTCTCGGATCCCGGTATCTCTGGGGCGAAAATCATTAAAAGTATTTTGTGGAGAAAGCATAGCTTCCCAGCTTCATGAGGATAAGGCTGCTTTCTGTAAACCTTCAAACCACAGTGCACCAAGCCTCTACCCTCAACCCCTCTTCGAGAACAGAAATGCACTCCAAGCATTTCTGGTCTTCTTGTGGTTACCATGCCATTATGTAGCACCACCTGAAACTATCTCTTTGAATACTGATTCCAACTTTTACAAAGTTTCTTGCCCTTTTTTGCACCCTGATAAGTTGTACTTGTCCTATGTGTAATGCAAGCTTGCCTCTGAGCCCTTGACCTGCTGTCAACCCCGGAATAGGGAGTATTCTAAAGGTTACATTTTCGTCTTAAGGGATAAAAATGTTGCTTTCATCCTGTTTACCGAGGGTGCCCAGTACAAAGTGGGCAAAGTGGTAGGAAATGCGGTCTCTGGGCTTTGCCAGTGTCGGGAGGATAGTTCCAGCATATTAGTCCCTGTCTGCTTAAATGCCGACGTTAGGTACCCGGCATGTGATGTCCTGCGGTTGAGCCCTCTTACTCTTACTCATCAGGTCCCGGCTGCAGCGCTGGGAACGCTGGGCACACCTGCCGATTTTAAAGCAGCAAATTCAGTTCAGGCCACCGGGAGCGGGAGGGCTCGCTTTTCCGCTGGGGCTACCGCATGAAGCAAGTGCTTAAATTTTTTCCCTTCACAAAAGGGAAAAAACCATTTTGCTTAAATCTGTTTTTTCTTAGGACGCACTTAGAGACCAGGCCCGCCAATATTCCAGTTAGAGTTAACGCTACCAGAAATATGCAGTGCTTTAGGATTCCAACTTGGGACTCGTTGAAGACCAGAATGTTACAGTCAATCTCGCCTTTCTCTTTTTGTTTCCAACACCCTACTTTCCCTTCAGTCTCTTTCCTCTTCGGTGTTCTCTACCTCTTGAAATATAAAAGTTTAATAAAAACACCACCCTATTTTATTTTTTAAAATAAAAGTTGACACTAAATTTGAGAGCTAGTGTTGCAACTAAGCTCTTCGGAAGTTTACCCATCTGTTCCCCAAACCTTTGATGCCTGTAATGTCAACCACGATTGCTTCTTAAAATTCACTAAAAGAAGTCTTTCAGTAACTTTGAAAAAGTGTAATAAATGCTAATGGGGGGGAGGGAACTCCCAACTCTGATGGATTTTACCTTCTCGGATCAAGGAGCAGGACTCCAAGCAAAAGAATAAACTTTATGTAGTTTATTTTTAAACTATTCTATTTTCAGTAGCGATTTCTCTTCCTTAGCTAAATTACTCAGCTTTGCTCAATTCCACTTTTACCTTTCCCCACACGTCCTCACTGACTCAGCAATTGTCACCGAGTGAGACCCTAGGTAGTGGGAAGGAGGCCCCCACAGATATGCTCCCCGGCTAAAGCGCTCGATTGAAGATCTGAGAAAATATCTTCAGAAACTACAAATGGAGCAAATCATTTACCTAATTCACTCAAGAGCTTCCACGGGAAGGACTCTGGAGGATGAGTGTCCTCCTAATGCGGTGCTAATGAAAAGCCCCTTAGCCGGCTCTCCGGCCGAGCGCCGGACCGCGTCTGCTCGGCGTCTACGGCGGAGCGACCCTGGTTGGCGGCGGCCGCGCATTCCCCCCCCCACCTGCCCGAGGTGGCACGGCGGCCGCAGCGACTCCGGACGCCGCCGGGGCCACTCTCCGGAGCGCCGCCCTGCGACCCCGGACGCCCCCTCCCTGCCCCCACCCACCGGCGCGGGTCTTCCTCCCGCTCTTCCTCCTCCTCACCCTCCCCGGGGCTCTGTGTGGGGGGCTAGGAGGTGACTGGGGACGCTTCCTCGGTCGCGACTCCCGGTTCTCCGCGGCCTCCCGCCCGGGGGGGTTGGGGTTAAAATCTGGGAGTTCAGCTCTGCGGCGAAATCTCGGGTTCCCAGGGAGGGGCCGGAGGGAAGGAAGACCCCGCCGGGAGCGCGCCGGCCAGAGCCGCCCCCGCCCCGCGCGGCCGCTGTCCCGTGGGGAGGATGAAAGCGCAGGGCCCGGGCGGGGCCGCGGCGGCTCCAAGGGGCGGCGAGTGCGGGGCGGGGACTGCGGCGCTCGCGGTGACCGGGCCCCCCTTCCCAAGCCGCAGCTCCTGGCCCTGCAGGTGCACCCCCAGCCCCCTTTTAGGCCCCTCCGTGGAAACCGCCTTCCGGCCCAAGTTCTATCCTTTGAGGCTTTGAACCAGGCCTTTCAGAAGTTTTTAAAGCTGCCCCGCCCCGCCGGCACTCACGGGGGTCACAGTCCCCCATCCCTCCACCTCCGCTACAGCTGCCGGCGAAGCGGGTGCCGGGAGGAAGCGGAGTGGGGGCCAGCGGGCCGGCCCGAGGGTCGGGGACCGAAGCGCCGCCCCGGAGCGCCAAGCTCGGCCCCAGCGCTTGGAGATCGCGCCGCGTAGCCCGACCTCGGAGGAAGCGCGGGCCCGCCAGCCCCTGGAGAGGGGAGGGCAGGGGGGCTGGGAGAGGAAGAGCGCGCGGGGAGGGGGGCATGTCCCCATCACCGAGGTTCCTGCGCTCAGTTCAAGCCAGGGGACAACTTAAATTGGCCTTCAGGGGAGGCAGCTGGTGACCCGTGTCCTCGCCCTCCAAATTCCCCTGAGCGAAGCAGGGCGCCACCTACAGGCGAGCTCTAGATAGCAGGCAGGAGAAAGACGCGCCTGCAAAGTAATGTGGCCCCGTCCCAGCAAGCCTAGCAAGGCCTGTTGTGTCCACAGCCTCCTCTCAGCTGCCTGAGCCTGTACCGAGTTATAGGTCCGTTGGCAACAGCAAGAGCCCTGAGGGCACTCAGCGTGTGCTTTTGGGGAGTGGAGAACTGGGTGTTAATTTCAGGAATTGGGGGATTCCAGTATCAAAGAAGTAGCAGCTCTGATTGGACAGGCAGGTTGCACCCTGACAATTTTGGCTGCACTTTGACTCCAGTATCTCGACTCCAGGCTATTTTCATGGGATGCACTACGTTTCCTTGAGAATAGCTGTGTAACCTTGGGCAAGTTACTTTATCTCCCTGAGTCTCTGTTTCCTCATCCCTCAAAAGAGGGAATAGTGGTACCTGTCTGATAGAGTCATTGTGAGAATTTAATGAGATGATGTAGGTAAGAAGCTGTAGGTGCCTTCTAAGGAATTTTCACCTATTTCTTTTTTAAAAATAGTTTTTAATTATTTATTTATTTATTTTGAGTCGGAATCTCTCTCTGTTTCCCAGGCTGGAGTGCAATAGCGCGGTCACGGCTCACTGCAACCTCTGCCTCCCTGGCTCAAACAATTCTCCTGCCTCAGCCTCCTGAGTAGCTGGAACTACAGACACGCGCCACCATGCCCGACTAATTTTTTGTATTTTTTAGTAGAGACAGCGTTTCACCATGTTGGCCAGGCTGGTCTCAATCTCCTGATCTCAGGTGATCTGCCCGCCTCGACCTCCCAAAGTGCTTGGATTACTGGGATTACAGGCCTGAGCCACCGCACCCAGCCAACTTTCACCTATTTCTAATGTGAAAACCCATCTTTTATTCTAAGAAATCTAACTTGTAAGACTGTTTAGCTTCTTTCTGTTCCTTGAAGATTAGGGCCTTAGAGGAAGTGGGAGAGAGCTAAGAGGTTTCAGTGTTTGAGTAGGAAACAGGATGGGTTATGGGGAGTTTTGATAACTAGCTTATCTCCTCATAGACAACGGCTGTAGGCCGGGTGCTGTGGCTCACATCTGTAATCCCAGCTCTTTGGGAGGCCGAGGTGGGCGGATCACCCGAGGTCAGGAGTTCGAGACCAGCCTGGCCAACATGGCGAAACCCCATCTCTAATAAAAATATAAAAATTACTTGGGCGTGGTGGTACATCTGTAATCCCAGCTTCTCAGTAGTCAAGCAGGAGAATCACTTGAACCTGGGAGGTGGAGGCTGCAGTGAGCCGAGATCACACCACTGCGCTCCAGCCTGGGCAACAGAGTGAGACTCTGTCTCAGAGAAAAAAAAAAAAAAAAAAAAGACAATGGCTATGTGGTGGCTCAAGCCTGTAATCCCAGTGTTTGGGAGGTGCGCGGGTCACTTGAGCCCAGAGGCTGGAGACCAGCCTGAGCAACACAGAGAAACCCATTTCTACAAAAAAAAAAAAAAAAAAAAAAAAAAAAAAGCTGGGCGTGGTGGCCCATGCCTGTAATCCTAACTACTTCGACAGCCAAGATGGAAGGATGGCTTGAGCCTGGGAGGCTGAGGTTGCATTGAGCTGAAATGGCACCACTGCACTCCGGTCTGGGTGACAAGCTAGAACTGTCTCAGAAACAACAACAAAACGAACCAAAAAAACCAAACAACATCTTATATTTGTGGATGACTTACTATTACTATTTACTATTTTTATTATCATTTGCCTCTATTAAATGATTTAATTATCATTTTCACAATCTCATATGGTATACATTATCCCTATTTATTTATTTATTTATTTAAAGACAGGGTCTCTCTCTGTCACCCAGGCTGGGGTGCAGTGGCACAATCATAGCTCACTGCAGCCTCAAACTCCTGGGCTCAAGGGATCCTCCTGCTTTGGCCTCCCAAAGTGCTGGGATTATGAGCATGAGCCATTGCGTCTGGCCCATTATCCCAATTTTAAAGATGAGGAAACAAAGACATGGGGATGCAAGCCATAGTTGCTGTATTTTTTCTGCTTTTAAAAATATTTTTTGGCAGGTCACAGTGGCTCACGCCTGTAATCCCAGCACTTTGGGAGGCCAAGGCAGGTGGATCACCTGAGGTCAGGAGTTCGAGACCTGTCTGGCCAAAACAGGGTGAAACCCTGTCTCTACTAAAATACGAAAATTAGCAATTAGCTGGGTGTGGTGGTGGGCACTGTAATCTCAGCTACTTGGGAGGCTGAGGCAGGAGAATTGCTTGAACCCAGGAGGTGGAGGTTGCAGTGAGCTGACATTACAGCACTGCACTCCAGCCTCGGCGACAGAGCCAGATTCTGTCTCAAAAAAAAAAAAAAATTTTTTTTTTTTTACTCTAGGAGCCCTAGATCTGTATTTCACTATATTTCAGAATCTACCTTTTTTTTTTTCTTTTAGAGTTGTGATCCTGCTATGTTGCCCAGGCTGGAGTGTAGTGGCTGTTCACCGATACGGTGATAGCATACTTGTAGCCTTAAACTCCTGGTCTCAAGGGATCCTCCTCCCTCAGTCTCCTGAGTAGCTGGTACTGAAGACTCAAGCCACCATGTCCAGTCAGAATCTAACTTTAACATTAATCTACCTTTAAGTTTACCTACTGTGTGCTAGATTACTAGATTAGGAATTTTAAATATCAAGTGTCGTATAATTCTCACAACACCTTTGTGAAGGAAGACTAACTTCTGTCATCACAGAAGAGGAAGGAGAGGTTCAGGGAGATCAAGTGAGTCACTTAAAGTCTCATAGAGAAGTGGCAGAGCCAGGTTATGGAGAGCCCAGATCTCCCAGCACACACCCAGGTGTCTTCCACTGCATTACAAGTGGAATGTAATGCATTCCACTTGGCTGCATTACAGCCAAGAACGCACCAACTGGCTCTAGGGTACTTAAAAAAGTTATCAAGAAAGATCAGGCAGAAGGGTGGCTTGCTCGGTACTTTTGCTACACTAAAGATGTGGTAAAAGATGGTGTTTTCAGCCTCAGTTAATTGTAGATTATAATGTTTCCTAGGAAAATATTGATGATGGAAGAAGGGAGCAGGGGTGCATTGGGAGAAACCAAGAATGAGTGAATTTGTAATTTTATAAATATCAATAATTTATATTTATTTTATGACCAAACTGACCAAATGTCATTTTAGTGTATACATTACAATGAAAAGTTTAGTATAATCTAGCTATTGTCAAATCCTGGCATCTAAACTATAGTCATAGAGCTTTGTCGATCTGGTTATGGAAATTATTTACAATAGGTGTTTTTGTATAGCAAATGTTTTTGCTGGTCTGTATCCATGTAATAGGAACATTTTATGATGAAAGGACTGGATTGTTCAGGGAAGCAAATTATGCTTCTTTCAGGAGTGTTGTTTTGTCATTGTGCAACAATTACTCATTAGTTCCCCTTCTTCTTACTTACCTAAGTAGCAAACCAACCCGTTCATCATTCCTAACCAGAAAACGCCTTTCCATCCCCCAAAACAACTGAACTCATCAAAAGGTGTGGAGTTACTGATAGAAGGGTTTGAGTTGGGCATTGGATGTAAAGGTGTGCATTCCATCTTCTTTCTCCCACTGGGTCCAGCCATGATGCTTTTGCTTGCCAACACAATATCGTGAGCTCAGACTTTGGCAATTCATCTCTGGTTTCTTTACACTGAGAGTGTTTCTAATAATATAATAGATTTTCATTTTGAAACAGATGCCACAGAGGATTCGTTAGCAGGAAAACCCTACTGTGTAACTAACACTATAAAGTTACCAAATGTAAGGTTGGGTGGTTAGATTGTTAGCTTTTGGGGACCAGTTGGTAATTAGATAAGGGGGCTTTGTAAAGAAAAACCAGTTGAAACCAACACATATTAATGGAATGTATTTTGTATATTCTACACTGTTCTAGGTGCTAGGTGCTAGCAGAAATATGGAGAAATACAAGAGTATTTCTCCCAACATTTGCATTATTAGTTTTAGGGTAAAATTTTCTCCCATTCTCCCATTTTTCAAGTTCATGCCTTAGTTTCGTTATAATAAAATCATGAGGATAATGTTCAAAGAACATATACCCTAGCTCAAACATTAAGCTGATAAATTTTCTTCCTGAAATTACTATCTTCATTCTAGAATTTTAATGTTTCTCATTTCATCATCTTCACATAGCTAGGGTGACTTGAGAACAGACTTTAGGACTTCCATGTCATGGAAACACACATTGATTGGTGTAAGAGTGTGGATTGGATAGGTATATTTCTGGAAACCTTAGCTACTTCTTTTTGGTACCATTTCCCAAAAATGAGCAATCCAGGGCTTTTTTTTGGTAAATAAAGGGCAGAGCTGTGATCCAGTCTATAGGCCACTTTGGTCATTTATTTATTTTGACACAGAGTCTCGCTCTGTCACCCAGGCTGGAGTGCAGTGGTGTGATCTCAGCTCGATGCAACCTCTGCCTGCTGGGTTCAAGCAATTCTCCTGCCTCACTCAGCCTCCCGAGTAGCTGGGATTATAGGCATGTACCACTACGCCCGGCTAATTTTTGTATTTTTGGTAGAGACAGGATTTCACCATGTTGGCCAGGCTAGTCTCGAACTTATGACCATTCACCTGCCTTGGCCTCCCAATGTGCTGGGATTACAGGTGTCAGCCACCGCACCAGGCCTATAGGCCACTTTGAAACTCATTACTGTTCTTCATATCACCTGTGTTGAATCAGAGCATTGACCTTCCCAAGTCCCAGTCTCAGTACTTCAGAATGTGGGTATCTCCCTGAGTCAATTGCAGGGCACAGGCTGTTCTGTGTAGTTTCAGCTTTGGGAAAGCAGATACTTATTACAGTGAAATGACTTTTTACAACAGACAGGAATAAGATTTGCTTAAGAAGCTGAACTGCTGCTCTTGATCATGGAGGATGGAATGTTCAGTAAGGGCCACTGGTGAGAGTCTAATAAACTGATATTACTTATTATTGACATTAAATGGACCAGTCTCATGGGCCGGTTACTCCGAAAGTCAATTACCGAAGCCTGTAGTAAAAACTCAGTGTTTTCAAATAATTTAGAGGCTCCAAAAGGTATCAGTAAAACATGGACTGCTGAGTGTCTGAGGCAACAGAGCTGACTGAACATAAACAAGATGGGCATAGTCACATATTTATTTGAAGAACTCCTGAAGATGCCCAGAGCCTAGGGATCATGGGAACGATTCTGAAATGGTTGAAAGAGAAGGAGGGGTTATATCAATACCAAAAGTATTTAGGCCCAAGGACATTGTCTCATTTAACCCTGTGTAATCCTCACAATACCAAGGCATAATTATCCCCATTTCACGGAGGGAAACAGAGACTCATAGTTACAATTCCTAAGAGGCTTGGATAGGGCTGCTTCTGTGCTAGTCTGGCCCCAAAGCCAGTAGATTATCCGTTAGATTCTGGGCCCCTCAGCCTTCTCAGTCTGGGCTTGATTTACTTGTCCAACTTTATCTTCCAACCGGAATGATTGGCTCTTTTTTTTTGACAACGTCATCTCGAACTTTATTAAGTATCTGTTTTCTAGGCTGAGCCTACATAGAACAACCTCTGAACTGCAATGGACTCACGGAGATGTCCACACACAGATGCTCTGAGACTCCACTAGCCAATTCCAATACCCATCCTTGATTTGTTTACTCAGCTTTGCTGCATCTATTTGGATACTTAATCTAACCAATTTGTCCCTTTTTTGAATTTTTCTCTCGCTAATCAGCTTGCAAGATCCTATTCTCATTCTCAATAAGCGCTGCTGGTGCCTGATTCAGTGCTCCGCACGTTGTTGTCTCTCAAGAAATCCTTGCTGGTTGCCTGTAAGGCACCCACTCTCCCTCCTTCCCTTCCCATCCTCTCCCCCAACAAAAGCTGGTGCAGAAACATCCCAAAAGGGGCCAGGTTCCACGTGCTTCGTCCCCTTCCTCTGTCCCCTCACTGTCACCCACCAGGCCCCAAATATAAAAGGCGAAAGGCGCCGTTGCAATCAAAGCCTCAAAACAAAAGGCTCAAGGGGCGACTTTATTGACTCAGCCCCAACCAACTCAAACTTCCCCGTCGTCAGAATGTTCTTTCCCGCCACTACCCTGTCTTCCTGGAGCTGAACTTAAGACTCTTGGTCTGGCACTCGAAAACGCGTGAGGGGTGTGTGTGTGTGTGTGTGTGTGTGTGTGTGTGTGTGTGTGTTGGGGGGAAATGGGAGAGGATAGCAATAGTGCCGAAGGTGGAGGCAGTGGGGTGCGGGGAGAACGTTTCCCAGGGAACCTGAGAGCCCCAGATCTCGCGGCTGGCGACTTCCAACTCTCCCAAAGAAAGCCGCGGGCCTAGCTCGTTCATCAGTGTCACATTTCAATGGCAGCGCGGGGCGGCCTCGGCCAGGTGCCCGCGCGGGGCCGCGCGCCTTCCCGGCACGGCTCGGCCCGTCGGCGATTCAGACACCGCCAACCCACAAAGCCCAGACGGGAGCCCGGGGCTTGGGGAGGCCCCGAAGGCCCTGCGCGCCTCTCCTTCCTGCCGCCCCCACTACCCGGGGCTCCTTCGCGGCCTGCCGCCGGGCAGTGCGGGCCGAGTTCGGGCCTCTGTGGCTGGAGCCCGGCCGTCCCCGCGCCCCGCTGCCGTCGTGGCTTGGGGGTTCTGTCCTTCCTGCCTTCGAAGGCCAGGTCCCTCCTCACCCTCCACGCTGGTTCCCCCGGGAGCCACTGTCTGGGGCCAGGGGAGCCGGACTTTCTGATCGCAGCCCAGCTCTGCGCGACAGCGGGGCCGCGGACACAGCGTCCGCAGAGCGGCAAGACACTTTCTAAACTCGGGGATCTTTCAGTTTGCGAACAGGGTGGCGAGTAGAACTCTACCCCCAGCGCCACTGCTTTTACCCGGCCGCCGCGAGCTGACACCAGAGGGCGCCGTTTTAATGCGCTTCGGGCAAGGACCAGCTCCGGGAGCGCTCCGGCGTCGAGGCCGGGCTCGGATCTCGGGACTCGCTGCGGCGCCCTCTCCCCTAGGGCGCTCGGCCTGGGGTGCAACAGCGAACCCCGCTTCCCTCTTCGCGAGGGGAGGTTTACTGCACAGGATTGCGCCCTGGCTTTGCACAGAATGAGGGTTCCTTGCAGCCGTCCGGGTGAGGAGGAGGAGTGGCCCCTACCTGAAGCCGTGCCCCCGCCTAACTGCTAAAGAACACGTCTGCAGGCGTTGTTCAATTGAGAACGACTAATTAATTTTCCAGCACTTGTGCAGAATACTTTAAAATGGAAAAATGAAGGTCTTCGATGAAAATGAAGCTTGATAGTGTGCACCTGCCACTAATGTACGGTGCACGGCAACTTCCCCTCATTAGAGCGATGACTTGGGTTGAGAACAAGTCATATAGTGAAAATCACTTCAACACGTGCCTGTTCATATGCATAAACTCCTGTGTACCAGATGGCAAAATATAATGACATCTTAAACAGCTAATTGCATAAACCTTGTAATGCAGATAATTGCTGTACCAAAGTAGGAGTTAATAATTTCCCACTGTATTGCTTGACTTCAGAGTAATCCTCAAGGAAAGTTGTGACAATTCTAACACACTAAAGTTCACCAAGAGGTAATTAAAACTAGCAGTTAAATCATTTGACTTTCAAACCCTTAATTATGATTCGGAAGAACTGCTTTGTGGAAACCCAGAATTTACGGATGGTTATGTGATAACATTTAATGCCTGTATTTCATCAAGTTTTCTTTCATATATTTTATTCTGGAAAGTTATTCCAATAGCAAGAGGTTTCCATTTTGGGGTAAGAGTGGTTAACTGCCACCCCCAGTTGGACTGTTGATTTTTTTCAATTAAACATTTATTTATAGAGCCCCTTCTACAATAACTAACTCCAAGCCTTACCATGTGCCTGGCATTGTTCTAAACTTTACAGGTATTATCTCATTTAATCCTCAAAGCAACCATCTGAAATGTGTACCACTGTCATCCTCATTCTCCAGATTAGGAAGCCCAGACATAGAGATGCTAAGTAATTTGCTCAAAGTTGTCTAGAAGTCACTTTCCCAAACTCCTACGGTCTGACCCCAGAGCTCATGCTATTTACCGCTGTAATCTACTGTCTCATGGATTAAACCAGGGCCTTAATAATTTAATATTTCTTTTCTTTTCTTTTTTTTTTTTTTTTTTTGAGAAGGAGTCTCGCTCTGTCGCCCAGGCTGGAGTGCAGTAGTGTGATCTCGGCTCACTGCAAGCTCCGACTCTCGGGCTCACGCCATTCTCCTGCCTCAGCCTCCTGTGTAGCTGGGACTACAGGCGCCCACCAGCACCCGCGGCTAATTTTTTCTATTTTTAGTAGAGACGGGGTTTCACTGTGTTAGCCAGGATGGTCTCGATCTCCTGACCTTGTGATCCGCCCTCCTCCCAAAGTGCTGGGATTACAGGTGTGAGCCACCGCGCCCGGCCAATAATTTAATATTTCTAATTATTGTCTAATAATATTTAGAAATAAAACTAAAATAACATAATTGGAGTATAAAAGTCAGTTGACAGGTAGATGTCTTTGCTGAATTTATCGGTTTATGTCACGATACATTCCAGAAGCAGCTATCTGCTATTTCCACAGGGTAATTCCACAACAGTGAATACACCAAGAAAAATAAGCCTTTGAAACTAAGTTTTTATTTCATCAATACCTAGTTTAGAAGGCATGTGTGTCAAATATTGTATGTTCTCATTCATAAGTGAGTGTTAAAAATGTGTACACATAGACATACAGAGTGGAATGATGGACAGTGGATACTCAGACAGGTGAGAGAATAAGGGGGGGGGGTGATAAGAAATTAGTTAATGCATACAATATACATTATTCGGGTGATTGATAGCCTAAATGCCCTGACTTGACCACATTGCAATCTATGCATGTAACAAAGTTGCAGCTGGGCACCATGGCTCACACCGATAATCCCAGCACTTTGGGAGGCCAAGACTAACAGATCACTGAGGCCAAGAGTTTTAGACCAGCCTGGCCATCATGGTGAAACCCCATCTCTACTAAAAATACAAGAATTAGCCAGACGTGGTGGCAGGCACCTGTAATCTCAGATACTCTGGAGGTTGAGGCAGGAGAATCGCTTGAACCCAGCAGACAGAAGTTGCAGTGAGTCAATATCGTGTCACTGCACTACAGCCTGGGCAACAGAGTGAGACTCCATCTCAAAAAAAACAAAACAAAGCAAAACAAAACCAACAGAAAAACAAAAAAATTGCACACATACACCATAAATTTGTACAAAAAATGAAAAGCATGTGTGGCTTAATGTTTCTCTTTCTTCATCTTCAAATAAAACTAAAATTAGGCTTCCCAGGATATACAATAATGAGCATAGAACAAAATACTCTTTATAAAGTACACAGAGAACCATAGCCTTCCTTCTCCATATTGATATTGTAGAATTTCTCTTTCCTCAGTTTGGGTAGATGTATGGGGGCATAAAATGAGAGATGCCAGCTACTTCCTTAGTATAGGGGCCATATAGCGTTGGAAAGCCCATCATTAGAGATTACTTTCTGTGAGTTGAGTGCCATCTCATTTGTTTTTATGGCTGCATCATATTCCATGACAATAAACCAACTTTTATACAGACTCCCA
This sequence comes from Homo sapiens, assembly GCF_000001405.40. Classification (NCBI taxonomy): domain Eukaryota; kingdom Metazoa; phylum Chordata; class Mammalia; order Primates; family Hominidae; genus Homo; species Homo sapiens. The sequence continues at coordinate 61,040,395 of NC_000001.11, read as the reverse complement.
GTAGAGGAAATGGTTGATGGTTTATTGCTAAGCTCCTAAATCCCTCTGGTCTCTGAGCTGATGGCTTATTTTCCTTATTAAGGGAGAAATCAGTTACAATCATGGCAAAATCCAGGACAGAAAACTTTAAAAATCCTTTTAAAATTGTTTTAAGATGGTAAATCTCATTTATGTTGGTATGCGACTAATTGCTTAGTAGCTCCAATCTGGTTGTCGGAAGGGAACAATATCACTCTCTAACACTGCTAGTAGAAATGTACATTGGTAATCCTCTTCTGGAGGGTAACTTGTCAGTATATATAATGCCTTATATCTTCTGATTATCTGTTCTACTTTTAGGAGTTAATCCTAAGGAAATAATCATGAACTGTTCAAATATTTAGCAAAATAATGTTTGTGACAATGGTTTTATAATGTTGAATATTGGAAAAATTCTGATATTCAATAATTGTTTAAGTGAATTGTGGTATATACATACCTTGGAAAACCATGCAACCATCAAGATACTCTGATATATTAAATGAATAAATTACATTATAAAGTAGTAAGTACCGCATGATCTCATTTTTGTTAAAAATGTTTGTATATATACATACAAAATAGACCAGTAGGAAATATATTTTAGAAAAGTGGAATTATAAGTGATTTCTATTTTCTTCCTTTCCATGTTTATATTTTCTAAATTTTTATTTTATTTTATTTTATTTTATTTTTGAGACGAAGTCTTGCTCTGTTGCCCAGGCTGGAGTACAGTGGCACAATCTCAGCTCACTACAACCTCTGCCTCCCTGGTTCAAGCAATTCTTCTGTCTCAGCCTCCCAAGTAGCTGGGACTATAGGCGCATGCCACCACACCTGGCTCATTTTTGTATTTTTAGTAGAGATGGGGTTTCATCATGTTGTCCAGGCTGGTCTCGAACTCCTGAGCTCAAGTGATCTGCCTGCCTTGGCCTCCCAAAGTGCTGGGATTACAGATGTTAGCCACCATGCCCGGCCATGTATTTGCTAAATTTCTAAAAGTGGGAATGTCTAACTTTCATAATAAGGAAGCAATCATAATAAGAAAACATAATAAGAACATAGTGTAAAATTATTTACAGTCATGCATTGCCTAATGACTGCATATATGATAGTGGTCCCATAAGATGATAACAGAGCTGAAAAATTCCTATTGCCTAGTGATGCCATAGCTGTCCTAACATCCTCGCACAATGCATTACCTTTTCTATGTTTGGAAACACAAATAATTACCACTGTGTTACAATTTTCTATTCAGTACAGTAACATGCTGTCCAGGTTTATAACCTAGGAGCAATAGGCTATACCATATAGCCTAGGTGTGTGGTAGGCTCTACCATCTATGTTTGTGCAAGTACACTCTATGATGTTCACACAATGACAAAATTGCCTAGTGATGCATTTCTCAGATTGTATCCCCATTGTTAAGCAATGCATGACTGTATATTAAAAACAAAATCAACAGAGCAGAGTGTACATCTATCTAGTAATGGTGACAAGGTAATTTGGACTGATCATCCCCCTGAGGACAATGAGAAAAGCTGATAAGAATATAAAAACATCCGCCTTAAGGCATTGGAGAACTAGCAAGGTAGGGAAGAATTATGTGGCCAGTATCTAGAGCATTTGGGCCTAATTTCCACTAGGGTTATTTGCCCATTCTAGAGAGAGTGGCTAAGGATTAAGGTTGGGGAACAGAAATTAAACATCAGTGCCTGCTCAGGTTGGGAGGCCTGAGTTACAACGCTGGGAAGGTCTGAACCCTGGGAGTGTGGGTGAACCAGAAATAGAGAGGCCCCACAGGAACTAAGATCAGTCTTGAATCACCTTTAAATTGGATTGAAGTGATTATGGCTTGAGGGCAGAGACAAATGGGAATCCTCTCTGGGGAAGATAACATCATCCTAGACCTCAAATTAATTCTATGAACAAATTCTGAAATACAAAAACTATTGCATAATAAGAAAACAACTAGGCATATAAGGACATAAGACGATAGGAACGAGAACTGGCAAAATCAACAGGGAATGGAAAAAGATCTATTGGGACTCCAGATATAGGAGTTATGAGACACAAACTTTAAAATTACCATATCTACCATGTTTACAAGAGACAAACCTAAGGCATAAAAATACAGAAAAGTTGAAGAAAAATAAAAAAAAAATACATAATAGTAGCCAAAACACAACTGCTATAGTTATACATATTGTAAAGCATTACTAGAGATGAAGAGAGACTTTGCACTGAAAAAAGATTTAATTCATAGGAAATTGTAATGTACCTAATAACAGTACAAAAATATATAAGGCAAGAATTGACAAAACTGAAAGGTGAGATAGACTAATAAATAGTATAATGGGAAATTTTAATAATCACTTACAGTACCTAAGAGAATCCACAGACCAAAAATTAGTAAGAATATAGCAGATTAAAATGCATTATAATCACATTTAAATTAATGGACATGTGTAAAATAAAGCACACAAAAATCCCAAAATACACATTTTTTTCCAAGCACATGGAAAACTTAATAGACCATAAAGAAAGTTTCTAAAACTTTTCAAAAATTTTTATTTCAAGCAATTAAGCTAAAAATCAGTAGCAAAAACAGAATGGGAAATCCTCAACTATCTGAAAATTAATAAATATTGTTCTATAGTCCCATAGTTCAAAGAAGAAATGACAATGAGAATTAAAAAATAATTTAAACTAAAAAATTGAAAATATGTATCAAAACTAGTGTAATACAGCTAAAGTCATTCTTAGAGAAAGATCTATAGCTTCAAAGATGTATATTAGAAAAAGAGAAAGGCTGTCAATCAATGTGTTAACCATCCATTTCGAACATTTAGAGACAGAGCTGCAAATTAAACAAATAAAATAGAAGATAGGAAATAATAAAGATAAAAGCAGAAACAAATGAAATAGAAAACAGAATAGAGAGGATCAATAAATCCAAAAGTTTATTTGAAAAGGCTAATAGAATTGATAAATCTCTCATGGAAAAAACATGAAAAAGGGAAAGCAAAGAAAACAGAAAACACATCTAATGTCACAAAAAATGGTCATGATTACAAATATTACACACATTAAAAAATTTAATGAAAGGATAGTATAAATAACTAAGCAAATATATTTGAAAATTTACATAAAATAGACAAATTTGCTGAAAAATGAAGCTTTCCAAAATGGATATAGTAGAAAGAAAAAATATAAATGATTTGATAATTATTAGATAAATTGAATCTATAATTTAAAAACTTTTATTTATTTACTTAGTTTTTCTGAGGCAGAGTGTCACTCTGTTGCCCTGGCTGGAGTGAAGTGTTGCGACCATGTCTCACTACAGCCTTGACCTCTTGGGCTCAGGTGATCCTCCCACCTCAGTCTCCCAAGTAGCTGGGACTCCAGGTACATGCCACCATGCCCAGCTAATATTTGTATTTTTTTGTAGAGATAGTTTCGCCATGTTGCCCAAGCTGATCTTGAACTCCTGGGCTCAAACTATCTGTCTGCCTTGGCCTCCTAAAGTGCTGGGATTACAGGTGTGAGTCACCACTACCAGCCCATGATTTAAAACCTTTTAATGAAGAAAATCTGGAACTAAATGGCTTTTCCAGCAAATTCTATCATTTAAAGATGAGATAATGCCAATCTTCTGAAAATTTTTTTCAGAGTAGAAAAAGGGACAGTAATACCCTATGAAGCCAGAATAACCTTAATACCAAAACTTCATAAGTACAGTTTAAGAAAATCATAAACCAATCTCTCTTATGAAGATAGACATAAAAACTTTAAGAAATTAGCAAAAAATTTAGCAATATATGAAAAAGGATAATAAATCATGACCAATTTGGGTTTAATCCAGGAATTCAAGGTTGGTTGGACATTCAAAACTCAACCAACATACTGCATAAATTAAATAAAAGAGACAAATTATATGATCACCTAAATATATGCAGAAAAAGCATCTAATGAGATTCAACACCTATTTTTGATTAAAAACATCTTAGCAAACTTGCAATACAAAGGAATTTACTTATTCTGAAAAAAGTAGCTACAAAAATCCAACAGCAAACATCACACTTGGTGGTAAAATGTTAAAAGCTTTAGAAGTGGGAACATCATAAGGATGTCTATTATCAACATTTCTACTCAATATTGTACTGATCCTAGTTAGTGATTGCAGCAAGGCAACAAGAGAAATAAATGTACTGTCATGTGTCACTTAATGATGGGAATGCATTCTGAGAAACACAGCATTAGATGATTGTGTCATTGTGTGAACATCATAAAGTGTACTTACACAAATGTAGATGGTATAGCCTGCTTCACACCTATGCTATATGGTATAGCCCATTGTTCTTGCTGAAACCTGTACAGCATGTTACTGTACTGAATACTGTAGGCAATTGTAACATAATGGTACATATTTTTTGTGTACTAAATATAGAGAAGGTAATGCATTGGGCCATGACTTTGAGATGACTATGAAGTCATTAGGTGATAAGAATTTTTCAGCTCCATTATAATTTTTTTTTTTTTTTGAGATGGAGTCTCGCTTTGTCACCAGGCTGGAGTGCAGTGGCGCAGTCTTGGCTCACTGCAACCTCCGCCTCCTGGGTTCAAGCGATTTTCCTGCCTCAACCTCCCAAGTAGCTGGAATTACAGGCACGCGCCACTATGCCCAGTTAATTTTTGTATTTTTAGTAGAGATGGGGTTTCACCATGTTGGCCAGGCTGGTCTTGAACTCCTGACCTCATGATCCGCCTGCCTTGGCCTCCCAACGTGCTGGATTTACAGGCATGAGCCACCGTGCCCGGCCTCATTATAATCTTTTAAAATTAAAATTAAAATTTTTTTTTAGAGATGGGGTCTCACTCTGTTGCCTAGGTTGGAGTGCAGTGGTGCAATCATAGCTCGCTGCAGCCTTGAACTCTTGGGCTCAAGCAATCTTTCAGCATCTGCTCCAGAGTAGCCAGAACTACAGGTGTGTGCCATTAGGCCCTGCTTTCCTTATAATCTTATTGGACCACTGTTGTATATGCAGTCTGTTATTGACCAAAATATTGTTATGCGGTACATTACTGCATAAAGATTGGAAAGGAAAAAATGAACTCTCATTATTTATATATGATATGATGGGGAATATAGAAAATCCAGAATACCTATTAATTATTAGAATTCTTAATTGAGTTTAGCAGATCACTGGATACAAGAGCAATATGTGAAAACATTGTATTTCTATATTCCAGCCTTGAACAGTAATAAAATAGAAATTTAAAAGTAATCTTTCGGCTGAGTGCAGTGGCTCACACCTGTAATCCCAGCACTTTGGGAGGCCAAGGTGGGCGGATCACTTGAGGCCAGGAGTTCGAGACCAGCCTGGCCAACATGGCGAAACACTGTCTCTACTAAAAATACAAAAATTAGCCGTAGATGGTGACGCACACCTGTAATCCTAGCTACTCAGGGGGCTGAGGCAGGAGAACCCCTTGAGTCCAGGAGGCAGAGGTTGCAGTGAGCTGAGATTGTGCCACTGCACTCCAGCCTGGGTTACAGAGTGAGACTCTGTCTCAAAAAACAAAAACAAACAAACAAAAATAAATAAATAAATAAATAAATAAAAGTAATCTTTTAAAATAACATCAAAATTTTGAAATACCCAGTAATAAACCTCAGAAAACATGTGCAAGAACATAACAATATTATGTTAAAATACCTAAATTAAAAAGGCATATACCGTGTTAAAGTTGGACAATACAATATTATAAATATGTTCTTTCTCTCCAAAATGATCTATAAGTTTAATGTATTCCCAATGAAAACCCCAACTGGAATTTTAAAATGGAACTTGGAAAGATTATTCTAAATGTACATGTTAGTGCAAATGGCCAAGAATAGACAAGGTACTTGATGAAGAATACTGGGAGGGTTTGCTCCATTGCATATGAAGACTGCAGAAATCAGTGTAGTATTGCCACCTGAATACAAAGTTAAAATAGGAATTCCAGTAAGAGACCCATGCACATATAGCACTTGATTCAAAGCGAGATGTTGTTTCTAAAGAGACTTTTCCAAAACTGGGTCAGTTGGCTATCCTGATTAAAAAAATTAAATGACTTACTGCCTCACACCAGACTAAACATAAACAAATTCATTCACTCATTCCAGGTCACTGTAGACCTAAAAGTGAAGGATAAAACAATGAAGCTTCTAGAAGATAGTATAGCATAATATATTCACAACCTTGGGATAGGGAAATTTTTCTTAAAGTGAATGAAATGAAGCACAAAATCTCAAGAGAAATATTGATGCAGTGGATTACATAAAATTAAGAGCTTCTTTTCCTCTGAAGACACCATTCGGAGAGTGTAAAGGAAGCCATCAAACAGGAGAAGGTATTTGTAAAATACTTAACTGATAAAGCCTATGTCCAGAATAGATAAAAATAACTCTTATCATTAAAAAAAATACAAAATGACAAATCTGGTAGACAGGCAAGAGACTTGAACAGGGACTTCGCAAAAGAAGATATTCAAGGCCAGGCACGGTGGCTCACACCTGTAATCCCAGAACTTTGGGAGGCGAAGGTGGGCGCATCACCTGAGGTCAGGAGTTCGAGACCAGCTTGGCCAACATGATGAAACCCCTTCTTTACTAAAAATACAAAAATTAACCAGGCGCAGTGGCAGGCCCCTGTAATCCCAGCTACTCGGGAGGTGGAGGCAGGATAATCGCTTGAATCTGGGATGTGGAGGTTGCAATGAGCCGAGATCATGCCATTGCACTCCAGGCTGGGTGACAGAGTGAGACCCTGTCTCAAAAAAAATATATATATATATATACATATATGCATACATATATATATATATATGCAAATGGTAAAATAAATAAAAGATGCCCATTAGCCATCAGGGAATAATAAATTAAAAACTACATAAAATATCGCACACATGCCAGAAGGGTTAAAATCAATAGACTGAGAAACACCAACCGTTGGTGTGCATGTGGAGTAATTGACATTCTCGTACATTGCTGGTAGATGTGAAATTGATGCAACTACTTTGGAAAACAGTTTGGCCCTATCTGCTAATGTTGAACATAAGAATACCTTGTGACCTGGAAATTAGTCTCTAGGTATAGATCCAACAGAAATATGTGCTCCAAAAATGCGAAAGTTCATAGCAACATTATTCAAACTAGTTAGAGATTGGGAACCATCCAAGTGTCCATCATCTGTGGACTAGATAAATTAAGTGGTCATATGTTCCCACTTTGTAATAATTCACAACAGTGAAAAATGAATAAGGGCTGGGCGCTGTGGCTCATGCCTCTATGCTTTGGGAGGCCTAGGCAGGAGGATTGTTTGAGGCTGAGTTCAGACCTGGTCAACATATTAAGATGCTGTCTCTGCAAAAAATTTTAAATAATGAACTGGGCATGGTGACACATGCCTGTAGTCCCAGCTACTTGAGAGGCTGAGACAGGAAGATCGTTTGAGCCCAGGAATTCAAGGCTGCAATGTGCTATGATAGTGCTACTGCACTTCAGCCTGTGTGTGACACAGCAAGACTCTGTCTCTAAAGAAAAGAAAAGAAAAGAAAAAAAAAAAAAGAATAAGCTAAAGCTATAGCTATAACTACTTGCAGCAGAATGGATCAGTCTCACAAACATAATATTGATTAAAAGAAGCCCAATACAGAAGAATGTGTAGTATGTGATTCAATTCATATAAAGTACCAAAAAAAAAAAAAGAAAAAAAAAAGAAAGAAAAAACCAATGCAAAACCAAACTGTGCTGCTTATGGGTACGTCTGTAGGTGATAAAATTATAAAGGAAAGCAAGAACATAGTATTCATGAAAGTCAAAATCATGGTAGGTAATGTTTGGAGGGAACTAAAGGGAGGAGTTTCTAAGATGCTGATCATGTTCTGTTTCTTGACCTGGGTGGTGGTATCACACACGTTCACTTTGAACAAATTGTTGAGCTGCATATTTTTGTTTGCATACCTTATATATTTTTGTTTAGTAATATGTTTTAGGTATACATATTTTATTTCATAATACAAAGGTTAAAGGCTGGAGCCACCTGCGTACAGTTTATAAGGTGGCACATTTAGATTGTGCCAACTTTCAGAAAAACATTTTTGCCCACATTAATGGCAATAGTTATAAGAGGCAACATATGCACGGCCCTTGTGAGTTCCACTCAACACTTCTTTTATGGCCAACAGACATCACCAATTACATTGTGACATGCTTTCCAAAGGCCCAGTACGCCATTCTCAATCAATCTGACTGACTCATCATGGAAGTTGCAATCTATTCTCCGTCCCTTTTCTACATATTCTGACTGGTTAAATAAAGTTAAAGGGTCAGGGGAAGGTGCGGTGGCTCACGCCTGTAATCCCAACACTTTGGGAGGCCGAGGCGGATGGATCACTTGAGCTCAGGGGTTTGAGACCAGCCTGGGCAACATGGTAAAACCCTGTCTCTACTAAAAATTCAAAAATTAGCCAGGTGTGGTGGTGCACGCCTGTGGTCCCAGCTACTTAGGAGGCTGAGGTGGGAGGATCCCTTGAGCCTCGGGAGATTGAGGCTGCAGTGAGCCGTGATCGCGCCACTGCTCTCCAGCCTGGGTGAAAGAGTGAGACCCTGTCTCAAAAACAGAAGAAGGCATGGAGTCAGACTAGTTTTTGAACCCAGCGCTGCATACTCTCCAAAACTCACTATATCTTGACATTGACATGGATAAAGAAATTGTGCATAAAATCAACATCAGCCCTAGATGCAGGAACCTAAACAAAGAACTCCTGAGGGATAATCTGTCCTTGGAAAGTAAGACTGAACATAAAAAATGATACAACTCTTCTGGTCACTTGGAACAAAGAAGGAACAGCACAAATATGATCCCTGCCCTTACAGAGTTTACCTGTCAGTCTCAGGCTCCCTCAGGCATGTGTGCCATTTTTCCTGGCTGTCACCCTCCTGTCTGATCCCCTACTACTACTGTTTGCCATTCATTGCCATTGCTGCTATTCAATTCATCAAGAATTTGTTCACTGTCCTGGTGCCTGGAACTGTGCAAGATGATACAAATGGATATAGTGAGAATATGAGACATATTCCCAGTCTGGATGCCATTCCATGAAATTCAGGGATGTAAGATCCATATTCACATTAATGAGGTAAAAATACAGGACCTGAGTGGGATGGAAAAAAACTACTGTAGGATTTTCAAGGCAGGAGGAATTGACAAAAGTGTAAGTAGATAGAGAACACTTCATGGACAGAGTCCTTAATTAAAACTTTAATTAAATTTTTTCTTTTTTTTAGACAAGGTCTCAGTCCGTCACCCAGGCTGCAGTGCAGTGGTATGATCACAGCTCACTGCAGCCTTGAACTCTGGGCTCAGGTGATCCTCTTGCTTCAGCCTCCTGAGTAGCTGGAACCCCACTGGCATGCGCCACCACACCCGGCTAATTTTTCTATGTTTTGTAGAGACGGGGTTTTACCATGCTTCCCAGGCTGGTCTGAAACTCCTGGACTCAAGCGATCCTCCCGCCACAGCCTCCCAAAGTTCTGGGATTACAGACATGAGCCATCTTGCCAGGCCCAAAGCTTTTACTCTTTTAAATGTAAACCCCAGTCTTTTAACATGGCTTAGGGGCCCATTATGACCTTGGTGCCTGACAACCTTTCCACTTCCAACTCCTTGTTTGGTCAGTCTACACTTCATGTTCAAATTTAACCCATGCACCACCTCCTTTAAGAAGGCTTTCTTGATCTCTTGTCAAGCATATTTATGTGTCTCCCTCATGGTCTCCCATATCACTTATTTTCAAATAGCATTTATCACACTATGGTGATTAGTTTAATTTTTTTCCTCAATTCTGTAACCCCAGCACATATGCACAATGATTTTTACATGGTAAGTAATCAATATTTGTTGACTATTGAGGTAATGTATTATAGGAGATAAGGAAGTACATTAAAGGGTTGATAATGACACTGGTGCATTTGTCTGCATGTAGCATCACGAAGAGTATCTGAGAAGGGTAGGAAATCACTCTTTTCCATAGTGCATCTGGGATCACTTCTAGTGACTAGATTCACATTCTCATGCTTAGTTCAGTACCATACTTTTTTTTTTTTTTTTTGAGATGGAGTCTCACTCTGTTGCCCAGGCTGGAGTGTTTTGAGATGGAGTCTTGCTCTGTTGCCCAGGCTGGAGTGTTTTGAGATGGAGTCTCCCCTCTGTTGCCCAGGCTGGAGTGCAGTGGTGCGATCTCAGCTCACTGCAGCCTCCGCCTCCTGGGTTCAAGTGATTCTCCCGCCTTAGCCTCCTAAGTAGCTGGGACTACAGGCACCTGCCACCACGCCCGGCTAATTTTTGTATTCTTAGTAGAGACAGGGTTTCACCATATTGGTCAGGTTGGTCTTGAACTCCTGATCTCAGGTGATCGACCCACCTCGGCCTCCCAAAGTGCTGGGATTACAGGCATGAGCTATTGCGCCTGGCCCATACTTCTTCTTCTTCTTTTTTTTTTAATTCCTCCTGTGAGTTTCTCTATACTTGGCTTTGTGCAGTTCAATATTTCTATCAATTATTTGCATGAGGAATAGATGTTTCATTTAACAAAACCTACAGATGACAGAGAGCCGGAAGGAATAGCTAATACCGCAGATGATAGAATCAAGATTTAAAATAATCTTGACGAGCTAGAATATTTGTCCAAAAATCACAAGATAGTATCCCACAGGGATATATGCAAAGTTTTGTGTTTAGATTGAAAAAAAAAATCAATGGCACAATTATAGAAGCCTAGCTTTATGTAAGTAAGCTGGAAAAATATTTAAGTGTTTTAATTGATCATTGAAGGAAGTTACAGACATCAGCAAGGAACCCTCCCCAAAAAACTCCAAGACTAAAATTACAAAATCAACATACATAATGGATGGGATTAGGTCTATACAAAAGTAACTTCAAGGGTGAAACTGGAAATGCAAATGGAATTTGATTGTGGAATAATCAGTGATATTATGTCTAAAAATAGAAGGTGTCAGTCCAAAGGTAAATGGATGGTTAGCAAGAAACATAGAAAATGAGGAGCCAGGCTGGACGCGGTGGCTCACACCTGTAATCCCAGAGCTTTAGGCGGCCGAGGCGGGTGGGTCACGAGGTCAGGAGATCGAGACCATCTTGGCTAACACAGTGAAACCCCGTCTCTACTTAAAAAAAAAAAAATTAGCTGGGCGTGAAGGCGGGCGCCTGTAGTCCCAGCTACTTGGGAGGCTGAGGCAGGAGAATGGCGTGAACCCGGGAGGGGGAGCTTCCAGTGAGCCGAGATCGCGCCACTGCACTCCAGCTTGGGTGACAGAGCGAGACTCCGTCTCAAAATAAATAAATAAATAAATAAATAAATAAATAAATAAATAAAATAAAAAATAAAAAACAGAAAGTGAGGAGCCAAAGTGGACCAATTGGTATGGTGTCAGAGGATAAGTACATGGCCAGTAGGTAAGTACACAGTCGATGGGTAGGTACATGGCCTTGGGGTCACGCTTTAAAACGAAGTTTGCAAAATACTAATTATGTGATTTTTGAGGAAGTTACCAATGCTTCGACAGTTCTCACCTATACTATGGGGAGAATCATGATCCCTACTTATGGAGTAGTGAGTATTAAATAAGATGATGTGTGATGGTGCTTGGCCATTAGTCAGGGTTTAAATACATGTTAGTTATTATTATGGTTTTCTTCACTGTAGATTGATACACTGGACTTTTTAGTTTCTACACCAGTCTTTTGTGAAATTCTACAAATGGTTCTTTCCTCAAGAGTATGCTTCATTTTTATTGAGCTGAGAAAAAACTCAAATTCCTGAATGTTTGACCCTGAGACTACAGTCATAGTTATTTTTTATAATATTCATTATACATAGTTACCATGTAATGATACCATGGTAACTATGTTAAACAGACCATAATGGAATGTTTTATTAAATTATAAAAATCTATACTCTAAAACTGGCTGAACAAACTGAAATATATCCAGGTTACCATGGCTTAAGAATGGCTAAAGAGCCAGAAATGCTAAAGGCAGCCAGTCTGGTTGTCTTCAATCCTTGAAGACATGTCATGTGGAAGAGGGAGCGGATTTGCTCGCCTCCGTGAAAGGAAGGCCTCCATAGTGAACGGAGCTGCCTCAGAGCACAGAAAGTTTCTCTCCCCTGAATGCACATATTGCAGGCCCCTGACAGGCTATGGAAAAATAGCTCTTTGGCTTTGTATTTATGTAAGGCTGGGCATACGCAAAGAAATTTATCAGCCATTATCTTAAGTCCCCATGAAAACCCTGTGAAATAAACAGAATGTGCAAATCAGTCTTTGGCTTCTAAATCCAGTGGGTTTTTTGTTTGTTTGTTTGTTTTGATTTTTGGTTTTTGAGACGAGGTCTTACTCTGTCACCCAGGCTGGAGTGCATTGGCATGATCTCGGCTCACTGCAACTTCTGCCTCCCAGGTTCAAGTGATTCTCCCACCTCAGCCTCCCAAGTAGCTGGGACCACAGGCCCGCACCAGCATGTCCAGCTAATTTTTGTCTTTTTTGTAGACACAGGATCTCGCCATGTTGCCCAGGCTGGTCTTGAACTCCTGGCCTAAAGCAATCTGCCAGTCTCTGCCTCCCAGTGTTGGGATTACAGGTGTGAGCCACCACACCCAGCCTGTTGTTTTTTGAAAGTGTGTTCTGAAGTCACTTACATCAGAATCACCCATCTGATACCTGGGCCAATCCAGATACCTGTGCCATATTTCTAGAGATTCAGATTCATTGAACCTGGAGCAGAGCCCAGGAAACTGCACTGGTTCCAGTCCAATACTTTTCTACTTCTCTGCTAAACTTTCTACTATAATATCAATTTTAAGGTTATTCTTTCAATGAATATTTACTAATTCCTCCCATGTAGCAGTCTTGGTTTCAGAGGCTGGCAGATACAGTGGTAAATAAGATTAAATAAGTCTCTTTTTCTTGAAGCTTATAACTAGTGGGAGGATACATTTTTGAAATAAGCAAACCAATAAAAATTGAAAAACATATCAGTGAGACAGGCTTGTCAAGAAATAAACAGGGTGCTATTGCTGAGAGTGACCAGTGGCTTTTCTGGACTGGAGCATCTCTCAGATGGTGATGTTAACCTGAGAGCTGAATGATAAGAATGAAACCACCATGCAGAAGGTCAGGGTTCCAGCTAACCAGTTGTCTAGTGCCAAGGCCCTAAGAGGAGAATGAGCCTGTTGTAGGTAAGGAGCAGAAACAAGGGCATTGTGGCTGGAGTGTGCTACATGAAGGCAGAGTGCAGCATCAGGTCAGACAGGTTAACAGTTCCCAGATCATGCACAGCTTTGGAAGCCAGAGAAACATCTGATTTTATTTTTAGATGGGAATTGGTTGGAGAGTTTTAAGCCAGAGAGGGTAAAATCTGATTTATATTTTTAAAAGGTCCCTCTGGCTCTTGTGCAGACTCTACAGGGGTGTGACGCCTCGTTATTAAATATATCATACTACCACTGGAGAGAACTTGCTTTTCATGGGTGTCTCTGTTCACAGTATATAGCACTTCATAGTTTACAAAGCATTTTTTTTTTTTGAGACAAGAGTCTTGCTCTGTTGCCCAGGCTTGAGTGCAGTGGCACGATCTTGGCTTACTGCAACCTCTGCCTCCCAGGTTCAAGCAATTCTTGTGCCTCAGCCTCCCGAGTAGCTGGGATTATAGGCACGTGCCACCACGCCTGGCTAATTTTTTCTATTTTTAGTAGAGATGGGGGTTTCAAAATGCTGGCCAAGCTGGTCTCAAACTCCTGGCCTCAAGTGATCCACCCGCCTCAGTCTCCCAGTGTTGGGATTATAGGCATGAGCCACTGTACCTGGCCTACAAAGCATTTTTATATACCCTATTTTATTTGATACTCTAAAAAATCCTATGAGATTCATATATCTATAATCTTCATTTTACTGGTGAGGAAACTGAGGCTTATAAAGAATGAGATTCTTCTTAGGCCACGTATCTTTTAAAGGAAGACATTGGAAGATGGGGGAGATTTTACATAAAACTCCGGAATTTTTGCTTTTCAGAAAATAAAGGCTGGGCACTGTGGCTCACACTTTGGGAGGCTAAGGTGGGAGGATTGCTTGAACTCAGGAGTTTGAGGCCAGCCTGGGGAACATAGAGGGACCCCATCTCAACAAAAAGTAAAAAATTGGTTGGGCGTTCTGGTGCACCATTCAGTCCTGGCCACTGAAATTCAAAAAAACAAGCCAGGCCTGGTGGGGTGTGCCTGTAGTCCCAGCTACTTGGGGCACTGAAGCAGGAGAATTGCTTGAGCCCGGGAGGTTGAGGCTGCCCTGAGCCCAGATCGTGCCACTGCAGTGCAGCCTGAGTGACAGAGCGAGACACAGTCTCAAAGAAAAAAAACAAAACAAAACAAAAGGATGTCTTCACTGACCCTGCATTCCTCTTGGAGACAGTGGGCTGGAGCTGCCGGGGAGCTGCCTCTGAAGATGAGACTTGCCCACTCCAATCTCACCATACTAGGTCGGCTTCAGGCTTTTGTTACCTGCCAGACCCCTGGACACATCTGAGTTCTAGAATGCTGCTCTCAGGTATCCCCAGCCTGCTCCTTTGGTACTGTATCACAAGCCATTTTCTTCTTCCCCCATCAAACATGTTTCCAGAAAGAGAGAGAGGAAGCCTGATGCAGCCTCATTGACCCTAAGCAGAGGACGGTGAGGTTGTTCCCCCAGGAGCTTAGTCAAATGCAACCTGCACATCATACAGATTTCCTCTTTCTTTCTTTCTTTCTTTCTTTCTTTCTTTCTTTCTTTCTTTCTTTCTTTCTTTCTTTCTTTCTTTTCTTTCTTTCTCTTTCTTTCTTTCTTTTTCTTTCTCTCTCTTTCTTTCCTTCCTTTTTTCTTTCTTCTCTCTCTCCTTCCTTCCTTTCTTTTTCTTTCTTTCTTTCTTTCTTTCCTCTCTTTCTTTCTTTCTCTCTTTTTTCTTTCTTTCAAAATTGACAAGTAAAACTTGTATATACATATGGTGTACAGCATACTGTTTTGAAATATGTATACACTCTGAAATGACTAAATCTAATTAATTAACATATGCATTACCTCACATACTTTAATATATTGTGTGTGGTGAGAATACTTAACATCTACTTAGAGCTTTTCAAGAATACAATACACTTTTATTAACTATAGTCACCAGGATGCACAAAGAACAAGTTTTCTCGAACCTATTCCTCCTGTCTAACTGAAATTTTGTATCCTTTCACCAACATCTTCCCAATCTCCTCCTTCCCCCGTAACCCCTGCAAAACCCCTGGTAACCATCATTCTTCTGCTTCTATGAGTTTACATTTTTTAGATTATTGGATGCTCATTATAGCTAAATTCCTGCTCTGGAATGAAATGCTTCCCCTTTCAAATTTGTATATGGAATCCCTGACCTACAATGTTGCTGTATTTGGAGATAGGGCTTTTAGGAGATGATTAAGGTGAGATGAGGCCCTACTTTGAGAGGATCGGTGGCCTTATAAGAAGAGGAAGAGTGAGAGATATTGCTATCTCCCCATGTGCATATGCCAAAGGAAAACCATGTGAAGACATAGCAAGAAGAAGGCCGTCTGCAAGCCAGAAAGAGAGACCTTACCAGAACCTAACCACACTAGCACCCTGATCTCAGACTTCCAGCCTCCAGAACTGTCAGAAGATACATTCCTATTTTTTTTTTTTTTTTGAGATGGAGTCTCACTCTGTCGCCCAGGCTGGAGTGCAATGGTGCGATCTTGGCTCACTGCAACCTCCACCTCCCAGGTTCCAGTGATTCTCCTGCCTCAGCCTCCTGAGTTGCTGGGATTACAGGTGTGAGCCACTGCACCCAGCCTACGTTTCTGTTTTTTTAAGTCCCCCAGTCTATGGTATTTTGTTGTGGCAGCCTAAGCTGAGAAGACAATGTCCAACCCCATCCTTTCCTGACCCCATCATCCCTGCTAGAGCAGGGACAGCAGGAGCATCCCCTACTCCATCCTGTGGTTGAGGTTGGTCTAGAATTGGCCTTGCTGTTATAAGGTGTGGGATTCATTGTGCTTGAAGTGTTCTGGTGTTCACCAAGATGCAATTTTCTTTTAATGACCGGCCTTGTGCATATATTAAGGCTTCTGATGGTCTTTTCTATTGTGCTTCACTTCCCCTGTTGAGCACAACACTATACTAATCATCAGCCTGCTGGAGAAGCAATATGGCTTAATGATTAAAGATGTGTATTCTAGAGCCACCCTGCTGGAGGCTGAATCCCAGCTCAGCTCCTTACTAGCTGTGTGACCTTGGGCAAGTTACTTAATCCTTCTGTGCTTCTTTGGTTTCCTCATTTGTGAAAGGGGTTCATAATAGTGGCTATGTAAAAGGTCCACTTCGGGATTAAATTATTTAATACATGGAAGTGCTTAGAACAGTGCTTGGCACATAGTAAGCCTTATATAAAAGCTAGCCATTATTATAATTGCTTGAGTTGCACTCCATCTCTCACCCAACTTTGGTTGGCCTGCTCGCCTCATTGTCTGGGACTTGTTTCCTGTTAGAGAAGCTACCTGCTGGAGTCCTGCTCCGAGTGGATGCGTCACATGCTTGGCGATGATTCTTATCTCACTGGGAATCTCCAGACACTATAGCCCACTACTGGATTTGAACCCTTTGGGTACTGACTTAAAGGTTGAATTACTCTTTCTTGAAACACAATGCCCTACCTAACCCAGATAATAGAATGAAGATGTGAAATTAATGCAAGCAGCTTGAGGCCTTTCTCTATTCCTAAATAGTAATTTAAAAGGGAGGGCCCGGTGTGGTGGCTCATGCCTGTAATCCCAGCACTTTGGGAAGCTGAGGCGGGTAGATCACGAGGCCAGGAGTTTGATGGTGAAACCCCGTCTCTATTAAAAATACAAAAATTAGCAGGCATGTTGGCACACTCCTGTAATCCCAGCAACTCAGGAGGCTGAGGCAGGAGAATCTCTTGAACCTGGGTGGCAGGGCTTGCAGTGAGCTAACATCCCACCATTGCACTCCAGCCTGGGCAAGACAGCAAGACTCCATTTCAAAAAAAAAAATGGAGGACTGTTTATTGTATCTCTATGTAAGGGCTCATCAGCCAAGTGGGCTTATATATTATCTTTGACTGGGGGTAAGACGGAGATTAGGACTGGTTCTCAAACATGGTGAGGAAGGATCTAAACTCTCTTGAGGAACTTTTTTTTTTCCAAGATCGAGTCTTGCTCCTTTGCCCAGGCTGGAGTTCAGTGGCACTATCTTGGCTCACTGCAACCTCTGCCTCCCGGGTTTAAATGATTCTCATGCCTCAGCCTCCTGAGTAGCTGGGATTACAGGTGTGTGACACCACACCCAGCTAATTTTTGTATTTTTAGTAGAGACGGGGTTTAGCCTTGTTGGCCAGGTTGGTCTCGAACTCCTTGGCCTCAAGTGATCCTCCCGCCTCGGCCTCCTGAAGTGTTGGGATTACAGGCATGAGCCATTGCACTGGCTGAGAAACTTATTCCTAATGTGGTCCCTACATTCCACAACCAGAGCTTCTGTTTCAGTAGGTCTGAGGTGAAGTCTGGAAACGTGTATTTTTAGTAAGTGCTTCAGGTCATTCTAATGCATTTGTTTAGCTGACTTATATTTGAGAATTCCTTGTCTAGATGATTTTTCAAGGTCTCTTTTAGCCTTTGGAATGTAAAATTCCAGAATGAATAGAAAGCTGGAATACAAAGAAATAACTTAGAGCAAGGTAGTACTTTATCAAAGCATTTCCCAGGTCAATACATGACTGGCAAAAGCACAACCTGGCATGCTTATGTAAGGTTTAGTCTAGATTTTAATTTAAATGGTGTGCTAGCTAGTTCTAGTTTATAGAAACCAAAGAATTAGTAGCAGTGTCCATGTCAGAAAATGGAATCACATTTTAATTATCACAGCCTCAATTTGTGAACAGTCTGGGAAGGGCTTCTGGCATGCTGGTCTCATTTAATTTACTATGAAATATTAATACTTTCTAGGAAAGATGGATAACTGACACTTTCAACAATGTTTATTTGCAAGAATGAACTACCTTGGCCAGGTGCGGTGGCTCACACCTGTAATCCCAGCACTTTGGGAGGCTGAGGTGGGCAGATTGCCTGAGGTCAGGAGTTCGAGACCAGACTGGCCAACATGGTAAAACCCGGTTTTTACTAAAAATACAAAAAAATTAGCCTGGCGTGGTGGAAGGTGCCTATAATCCCAGCTACTTGGGAGGCAGAGGCATGAGAATCGCTTGAATCTGGGAGGCAGAGGTTGCAGTGAAGTGAGATTGTGCCACTGCACTGCAGTCTGGGTGACAGAGCAAGACTCCGTGAGGAAGAAGGAGAAGGAGAAGAAGAAGAAGAAGAACAAAAGGGTAGCTAACATCTTCTAGGTGCTAACTAGAATTTCAGAATTGCTGGAAAAAGAAGTATCCTTGTAGGGAAGACCTAAATCTTGGAAACGACAGCTCAGGAGAGAAAATGCCATTGTCCTGTATTTAGCCGAGACAGCCTGGGATTTGTGGAGCAAGCTAGCTAGTGTCAAGGAGGCTGCAGGCACTGCACATTAAAAGGCATCTCCTCTTTGATGAGTGTTTAATTTGGCCTTGTAAAGTGTATGAAGTGCAGGCATTTAATTTGTTTGACAGAAGCAAGCCCAAAGCACCTTCTGTAATACCGTGCCACACGGTTTCATGACTCTTACCACATGTTAGGCATAGTCTGGGAGTCTATTAAATAAGCTTTGAGTCAAAACACTAGTTTGACAAAGATCTGTTTTAATTAAAAGACACAAACCTCTCTCTCCTGAGCCTCAAGCAGGGACATAAAGGAGAGCACCATCCACCCGCCTGGCTAAGGAACACTTTGCTCTTTCCTGTAAGAGGACAAAGATGCTTTGGGGCTGGCAGGTAGAAATCTATCAGTGGGTCCTGGAATGTCTGATGTTGCTGGCCTCCTGTAAGATTCTCTTTCTGCCAACAATGCTGGCTATCTGCCACAATATCAATTATCCCTAGCTGAGACAGTAAATGATCTAGGATACCACTTTTTAAATATTATGTTTTAACAAACTAGAATTAGGAAACTCTACAAAATTAATGCACTTTGACACCCCCTGCATCAATATCCAGATACTCATAAATCAACCATACCCATCAGGCTCTTCTGCCTCAAGCATGTTAAGTGACCATCTTTAAAAAATGTATTAAATATTTCTCCAATTGGAGTATTCTATATTTCCCTGTTATGGAGAATGCACACCTCTTGGAGAAGTGTGAGAGATGACAGAGTTGGCTATATCTAACTTGGAGTCCAAATCATGCCTCCTTTTTTTGGATTGTCCACCCTGACTTTCCATTTCTTCAGCAAAGGGCCCAAGCTTTCCTGTCCATCTCATCTCCTGCCACTTTCCCACTTGTTCTGTTCTCTACACTCCAGACACACTGGTCTTCTTGAGTTCCTCTATTATTTTATTTTATTGAGATAAAGTCTCGCTCTATTGCCCAGTCTGGAGTGCAGTGGTGTAATCTTGGCTCACTGCAACCTCCATCTCCCAGGCTCAAGTGATTCTCCCTCTTCAGCCTCCTGAGTACCTGGGACCATGGGCATGTGCCACTATGCCAGGCTAATTTTTGTATATATATTTTTTGAGACAGAGTCTTACTCTGTCACCAGGTTGGGTGCAGTGGCATGATCTCGGCTCACTGCAACCTCTGCCTCCCGGGTTCAAGTGATTCTCCTGCCTCAGCTTCCCAAGTAGCTGGGACCACAGGTGCATGCCATCATGCCCAGCTAATTTTTGTATTTTTAGTAGAGACAGGGTTTCAACATGTTGGCCAGGCTGGTCTTGAACTCCTGGGCTCAAGCAATCCACCCGCCTTGGCCTCCCAAAATGCTGGGATTATAGGCATGAGCCACTGTACCGGGCCTCTTGAGTTCTTTTAAGAGCTTTATGTGCTCTTCTGCCTCAGGACATTTAAAAAAGGCACCTGTCTACTGAGAAATCCCATCTGACTGCTAGCCCCTACACCCCCAAACACCTTCTACTGGTTTCTTTGTTCATTCATTCATTCATTCATTCATTCATTCAACAAGTATTACCGAGGGGCTGTATATGCAGAACACTTGAGTGAATGCAACTGATTTAAAAATTCTCATAGCATCTACATTCTAATTGAGGGGGAATCAGACCATAAATAAACATAATAAATAAGTAGATTATATAGTACATTAGAAGATGATAATTGATACAGAAAAACATAAATGGGTAAGGAGTATGCAAAATGCTTGCAATTTTAAATAGGATGGTAGGAAGCTTTTATTGATACTGTTGCATTTAAATTAATTCTCAATTGTCCTTAGACTTCAGCTCAAATGAGCTTTCTCAGGAACATCTTACCTTCCAGGATAGTTCTATCAGTGAGTCTGAGAGTGTGTGACTAGGTCATTCCCTATTATATGCTCTCAGCATTCCCAGTACTTTTCATTCATAGTTCTTAGTACCATTTGTAATTGCATACTCATGTGATTATTTATTAAAGAATGTCCTGTCTGCTACAGTAAGCTCTATGAAGGCAAGGGTGAGATACTTTTTGATTACTGCTCTCTCTCCAAAGCTAGTTGAATTGAAGTGCTCAATACATATTTGAATTGAATGAATGAAAGAACCTGTGCAGTATGGATAAAATATATACATCCAGACTACTTTAAGAGAATCAGTTGGGATGATGAATGCATGAATCCTTTTTATAAATTGCATAGTTCTATAAACATGCCAGGCATCATTATTTCTGTGGATAAAAAACACTCTTGTATTAACATGGTTCTGTTTATTGATGTTGTATGCTCCTGAATCTCCTTTATGGAGGCAGTGTGGTTTAGAGGACTGCCTGGGATAACTCAGCTCTGTCACTTACCTCGTGACCTCACTATTTCTCCAGCTCCTCCTCTATAAAATGGGATGATAATAGTACCAACCTCACAGAGATGTCATGAGGATTAGAAGAGTTAACGTCTCTCAGGTGCTTAGAGTAAGGACTGAATAGAGTAAGTACTCAGTACATATTATCATGATTACGGTTGTTGTTGTTATTATCTGCCAAGCTTTTAACTGCATCTAGGTATTTATTGATTGACTGAAATCTTTCTTGGTTTCTTCCTAAAGATGAGTGAACTAGAAATTCATTGTTCAGTGATGTTTCTTTAACATAAGTCAAAGAGTAAGGCTGACTCTCAGGCTCCATCTTATAGCTTCAGCACCTGTTCTAGTTCATCAGTGACTTCTGTTTTATCTTGGTGGATCCTTTTCAATTGTTTTGACAGCTAGAAGTTAAACTAGAGCCATGGATGACTGAGAAAACTAGGTTCAAATCCTGGTTCTGCCACTTACTGGTTGAAAGACTTTAGGCAAGGTATAAAACTCTTTGGGGTTCACACTTTCACTCATAAAATGAGAATTATAATAGCTCCTTCACTAGTTTGCAATGAGGATTGAGTGAGATGATATCCTTGAAGGGCCAGTGCAGAGAGAAGTTCTACAAATATTAGTTTAGTTCTGCTTACCTTGCCCTTTCCTCAGGAGCAAATGTAAATTTTAAAAGAAACCTGGAGACACAATGACATTGTGGTCTGCAAAGAAGTCTCTGACAAGCATTCTAAATCAGGGGGTTAAATTCAACACATGTGGAACCCACTATACATGCCCTAAAATAATTCATATTATTGGCAGAAATCAGTGCAAGAAGCACAGTGTTGGGCTGGGCACGGTGGCTCATGCTTGTAACCCCAGCACTTTGGGAGGCCAAGGTGGGCGGATCACCTGAGGTCGGGAGTTCGAGACCAGCCTGACCAATATGGAGAAACCCCATTTCTACTAAAAATACAAAATTCAGCCAGGCTTGGTGGCACATGCCTGTAATCCCAGCTACTCGGGATGCTCAGGCAGGAGAACTGCTTGAACGCAGGAGGCTGAGGTTGTGGTGAGCCACGATTGTGACATTGCACTCCAGCCTGGGAAACAAAAGCGAAACTCAGTCTCAAAAAAAAAAAAAAAAAAAAAAGGCACAGTGTTTATTTGTTGTTCTGTCATCCAGGGAAGAAGTTATTTTTGAAATATTCTTTTTATTACCAGAAATGTATCAATTTACATAGAACTAACTAATTAACCAGAAATACCAAACCAAATACATTTTGTGGATTGCAGAAAAATTTTACAAAACAACTTCTCCTTTGTTGACTAACAAATACTAGTTAGGAATAGTTGATGGCATAATAATCATAGGAGTTAAAAAGAATCTTCTTGAATTATTTGACGTTATTTTTTGATGCTTGTAATTAGGAATTGCCTAATTGTGTATGTATGTGTGTGATTGTGACAAAAATGAAAGTAATTCCAAAATGTCCCTTTCACATGCATGAAGACTCTAGACTTCCTTCTTTCCTCCCCTGGATCTTTTGCTAACCTTAGCTGATAATTTTCACCAATTGTTCACTTGCAAAATATGTTTTTCAATATATCACAGTTAAACCCTTCAAATTATGTTCCACTTCAAAAGACCTGGTTTCAGTTTCCAAATCTTCCTTTTCCCCATGTTTTGGGTTTTTGATCAACAAATGTTTATTGAGGTCCCACTGTGTAAGTGGCAGCCTCCCAGAATGGCTTTCCCAGTGCCCTTGGTGTTCCAGATGTTGGATAAATTGAAAATCCATGAATCTGAAGTTAAAGCAGAATTAAAATTATGTGTGAACATGAACTGAGTGCTTAGAGGACAACATGCTGTTCACCACTGGCAGCAACAGAATTGGGGGATTTATTTTCTACTTATTGGCTTAAAATGTGAAATTTAGATGTGAGGGGGCCTAGCCTACCTGTCCTTAGGGAATCTTAATGCCAAAGCTACTCATTTTAATTCATCTGACGTTTGTTTTTGCTTGGTGAATGCTCAGGCCACTCACTTGTTCTAGTTAGTGCCTTTGATAACATTTCATGGTCTGTAAAATAAAATTTGGCATTCAAGATTCTTCACTATGTTATTGCTGTGCATCTTTCCATTCCTATTTCCTTTTGCTCCTTTGCTGGCCCTTAATGGTCCAGCCAAAACATATTTCTTACTGTTCCTCCTCATTCACTGAGTACCTATTCTTGGCCAAGCACTGCTTCATTAACTTTAAAAAACATTTTATTCCCTCACATTTTCTGGGAAGGAATTATTGTTATCTACACCTTTTAGATGAAGACACTGAGGATTAGAGATGTCAAATGACTTGTTCAAATTCACGGGTTAGTACAGGAATGAGCTGTGATTTGAGCCCAGGTTTATAGTGGAAAAGGATCTTCCCATCATGCCATGATACCTCCTTCTCAAAATGCCCCAGCGCTGTCTCATCATGCACCCTTCTTCCATGTGGTGGCAGAATAATGCCCCTTCCTCAGAGATGTCTATGCCACAATCCCTGGAACCTGTGAGTATGTTACCTTACGTGGCAAAGGGGGATTAACTTTGCAAATGGAATTAAAGGAGAGGATCTTCGATTATGCAGCTGGGTCCAAAGCAATCAAAAGTGTCCTTAAAAGGGAAAGAAGGAGGCAGAAAGGTCAGAGAGGGAGATGTGACGAGAGAAGAATGGTTAGAGAGAAGCACCGTTGCTGGCTTTGAGGATGGGGAAGGGATCATGAATCAAGGGCTATGGGTGGTCTCCAGACACTGGAAAAGGCTGGGAATCAGATTCTCTTCTAGAGACTCTAGAAAGGGCTACAGCCGTGCCAACACCTTGGCCGGTGAGACCCATGTTAGATTTCTAGCCTACAGAAGGGTAAGATGATAAAGTTGTGTTATTTTAAGCTATCAAGTTTTTGGTAATTTGTCTTAGCAGCAATAGAAAACGATCCCACAAGTAGCTTTCTTTCTCTACACACGCCAGCTGCCCGCATGTCACGTTCAAGGCTGAAATCCACCATTCTCACCAATCCCACTTACTCTCAAAGCCTGCCCTTGGGGAAGATCTGAAGCCGATCTTGATGAATCATATCATTCTAGACAGAGTATTTGCTGATTGACTAACTGAATGAACATAATAGGGACTCAATAAGCATTTCTAGCACATAATAGGGACTCAATAAATGTTTGCTGATTGACTAAATGAATGAAAGGCAGACAGGTTTTCTGAATTTTCTAGTAGTTAACCAGCCAACTCTTGTAAAAAGGTGGCTTGAGACTCCTATAAGTAATCACACAATCACATTTTGTAGCAGATTGGTGCTAGCTAGGGAATGACGGTGTGTCCAAAAGGCAATGAATTAAAACCCTGCTTTGGCATATCCCCTTTCAGAAATAGGAGCAGTCTTTCAAGCAACTTGAAAAATAGGCTTCAGTAAAAGTGTAAGAAAATATGTGCAATTAGACACAATCAGTAAAGTTGTCCTTGACTGATGTCTACATTTAAGAGAGTTTAATTAAATTATGAAAAAGGCCGTTCTGATAGAACTGTCAGTCTGGCTTATCATGTATGTACATAAACTCTGCATGGGGTTTTCCTTCAAGACTTCTAGACCCTCAGTGAACACAAAGATACAAGGAAGTATCAATCTATTACTTAAGAGGGGAGAATCTGGTAGGTAAGTTTGAGAAAGCAGGGGAGCTAAAGCCATCTGTCAGGGTAGGTTGAAAGAAATGGAAATCCTGCAAAATGCTCTTTCTCCTCTCATTCATTCATTTTGAAAATATTCATTCAGTATGTACTATATGTGAGGGACTGTGCTAGGTGCTGGCAATGTACTGGAGTAGAAAAGATAGACATCAAACACAAATATCTACATCTATATCTATCTAATTATAAATTACATTTATTATGATTATGCTCCCCCCAAGCCCAGAATGCCTTCTCCTCTTTATTTTGTTTACATGCATTCAACATCCTTGCAACAAACAAGAGGTAAGGAGTAATGCATTTTGTATAAAAAATATGTCATGTCTACCTTGGCTGGGTGTGGTGGCTCATGCCTGTAATCCTAGCACTTTGGGAGGCTAAGGTGGGTGGAGTTCATGATCAGCCTGGCCAACATAGTGAAATACGACATAGTGAAACCCTGTCTCAACATGGTGAAGCAGCCTGCCCAACATGGTGAAATACAAAAATTATCTGGGCGTCGTGGCACATGCCTATAATCCCAGCTACTCGGGAGGCTGAGGCAGGAGAATTGCTTGAACCCCGGAGGCAGAGGTTGCAGTGGGCTTGGACCCTGCCACTGCACTCCAGCCTGGGTGACAGAGTGAGACTCTGTCTCAAAAAAAAAAAAAAAAAAAAAGAAAAGGTGTGTCTACCATGTGTCAGATATTGTGCTAGATACTGGGGACACAAATATATCTTCAAGGTGCTTGCAGTTCTAATGGGACATGTAAGCAATAAAATAACCAATAAACAACAAAAATAATAATGCAAAATGAAAAGTGTAGTGACAGAGGTAAGTATAGTTGCTGCTAGAGGAACACAGAGCAGAAGAGCTGCCTGCAACTCTCCTGCCCTCTCCTCTCCCATCCCCTTTGAGCACCTCTCTCCCTCCATCTTCTCCCCTCACCCCAGGCACAGAGGCTGGCCACGGGAATGGTAGAAATTGAATAATATCACCAACACTTTTTACTAAGGAAAGCCAGCTTTGAATGAAACTCAGCACTTCTGCCTACCTTCTGTTCCTACACAAGCAGAGGAAGGTTAGGCTGCAGACAGGGCCATCCATCCTGGGAAGATGGGAGAGAAATTAAAACTGCTGCAATGAAAGAGCTTCCGGTCAGAGTAGAGGAGCTGCCCAGAGGAGGGGGTCCTGAAAGCTGCAGGAGTGTTCAAATCCCACCTGGACTGGCTCCATCACACAGTTAGTTGCTCTGAGGTGCCCCAGGCAGAAGGCACTGATGTCAAAGTCAGCAGCAGAACCGGTTGTGGCCAAAGAATGCTCAGCTAAATTTCAAATAGGAAATACATTTAATTTCACTAATTTTATTTAAAACGTTCTAAATATTGTTTTTAAAGGCCTCTGGGTAAAAGAAGTACTGAAATACCAACAGTGCCATTTTGCCTTAGTACTGTGATCCATGGCCAGGCTCACAACTAGCAGTCATGGGATGAATTGAGATTACAGACACATTTTGCTGTTCAAGCACATTTTAACATTTGAGAATAAAAATGTCTTTAGGTGGGGCTAAAGGCTTTCTTCTGTTCATAAAGTTCTGAACACTCTGTTGGCTGACATTGCCATATATGTTACATGTCTGATCCCAGAGGGCATTTGAGGTTGCAGCCTTTGATCTAGGCTAACCATTTTATGTTTCAGACAAAGAAGTCAAGGCTTGGAGGAAAATGTTCTGTGTGATACAGCAGAGTTAGGACTAGCATGCCAGTGTCCCCCTGCTCTAGCTCTCTCCATGACAGGTGCTCCTGTCATAGAAAGAAGCAGAGAAGTACTTCATGAACACAGTGTGCCCAGGCGGCAGCCAGAGCTGCCTTCTGCCAGGAAAAAAATCTCCTCTGATGCCAGTAAATGCAAGCAGTGGGGTTTGGGGGAAAACCTGGGTGACTTATGTCAGGTTCTTTGCAAACTATGCAATTGTTTGGCCTTACACTGAAGATAAATGACAGATTTCTCTGCATAGGATGGTCACATCCCCTTTCTCCCTGTAGGCTGCCCATTGCAGGTTAGAGATAGCTGGGTGACCATGGAATGAAAGGCAGGGCAGAGTGTGGCTGAGGGAGAATTCATCACTTTGAAAACCCTCTGAGCCAGGGTCACTTTGGAATGCCTATTTGCAAACTCAGATGTGGATGGGTGGGGAAGATTATGCATTAGGGCTTATCTCGCCCTCTCAGCTGGCTTTCTGTTATCCCTGGGCCCTGAGGTGGGGGCTGGCAAAGGCTCTGACCTATTTGCTTGGCAAGTTTGGTCTGCATGTGTTCGTCTTCCACACTCCCAAGGAGTGGGACTGGGGGAGGTGGGGTGAACATGATAGGAATCCAGGTGGGAAAAAGAAATCAAATCCCCAAACTTAAACCTAAATTTACAAAAATATACAATGACCGGCTGGCCCCAAGTATGGGAAGAAGGCAGGCCAACAATTTTGGGAAGAACAGACATCTGAGAGGAAGGTGAGCTGATAAACTGCCTTTTCCCCGCAAGCCAAGGCATGCTCTGCTCTTGGGACTTTTACATTCTCCCAACACACTACTTTCTCAACTGGCCCCTTCATCGCCACTAGCTATGGGGGTTGGGGGGTTCTCTGGGTGAGGTTCACAGGTTTATGACTCCCTAAAATTGGGCAAATCTGGAGATTTCCCACCTACCTGGCATCCTGAAAGGTGACAGAAAATCAGACCATTTGCTGCAGAGGAGCCTGTCACTTTTCTCAGAGGGTCCCTACTTTGCAGAGTCCTTATAAGACACTGACAGTCCTCTCCCTCATCCCTACCAGCTGCATTCAGGGGCAGCTGGAGGGATTGTCACCCTCACTGTCCAAAAAAAGTCTGGATGTGCATGATGTCTGCATTCAGCACCCTCACCCTTGTCTGACAGATGGCTTCTGAGGCCACTTCTGTTGCAAGAGCTCTGACCCTGGAGTAGAGACTTGGGTTCTATTCTACTGACATGAAGTCGCTTTTTTTCTATGGAAAGAGGTCTCAAAGTGTTTACCTTAGCAGATTAACAAAAGATCTCATGACTCCAAAAAAGGGCACAGAACCTTGTCCTAGACTGTGACATTCTTAAGAGAAGAAATGATGACTCACTTATGTTTTTGTTTTATAGGACCTAGTGCTGTGCTTAGCACTCGATTAGCACATGGCAAAGAATTCTTAAATTTACAGAATGCTGATCATGTGTCCAGCACTGGGCTAATAAAGAAACAGATAAGGTATACTCTTTAACCACAATGAGCTTAAAATTTAATGAGGGAAAAGATGCATATAAGGTGTTCCCACACAGTAAAGAGGAGCAAAGCATCCTCTGTGGAGTGGAAGAGTGTAAGCAAGGGTAATTCCTCCTGATGTTGCCCTTCTGCACGACATCTCTTCGAATTGCTTATGAAGAAATAGCACCAGCCTTGCACCTGGAGTTTCCAACTTTCCAGCAGAACCATGTAGGGTCAGCTCGTGGGTGACATCCCGTATATACCTGAATAGCCTGCCCTGCTACCATGGGCCAGCGTTCATGGTATCTGGGCTCAGGCTGACTTGCTATGTTTCTTACAGGTACTCATCCACTAAATAGACTCCTGGCTACCAGATTCACTTCGAGAAAAAGTTTTCGGTTGTCTTTTAGCGCTCATTTTTGAAAGATGGTCCACCTGGTGCCTACTCCTGGGCGCTGGATGAAGTCCAGGGGATGACAGCAACATGAACTCGCTGTGGATAACAAGTCCTCTGTTATGACTGGATGCGTTTGCAGTGCTATAAATAACTCTATCAATATTGTGATAATGGCACTTTAAAGAGGTCTATTTTACAAGTGCTGAATGTAAGAGAGACCACAGCTGCACTCATTAATTCTGAAGTATGCCTCCCTCTATGTACAACTTGCAGGTGTAACAATAGGAGTGTTGACTCAATGAAAGTCTAGATAATGTTTGGATTAAGGAAAAGGTTAGAGTAACATTGTTAGCTTCTCCATTGTGTTTGGCATAATGAAAACAAATTATAATAGCTTAATTGGAAATAGGGGGAAAAGGCAAAACATAACTTTGTTACAGATTTCAGATGCTCACAAATAGCTCCTCCCCCCTCAAGAGCAAGTATCATAATTGACAGCAGTAGATCTTTTGATAATTAATTGCAGTAAATTATCACTTGGCACAAAGAAGGCATAATTGTAATTAATTTACAACCTTCCCAGCATAACGCTGAATTAGAAATGGCACTGCCGTAATTTTTCCAAGTGAGGAAACGGAGGGTAAAAATAGTGTACCTTTTTTTTCTTTTTTTGACATGCATTCAGAGTTGTAAGGCAAGCCCTGCTTGTTGTAATTTTTCTGGTATGATCATGGCATCTCTGTGACTCTCTTGGGTTAGGGGTGTTTAATTTAGATTGTGACTGTTGGCTCTGGGCTATGATAGCTACCAAGAGGGGTCTCCTGAAGAGCTCTGCCATGGCTTCCTATCTCTAGCCTCGAGTTAGTCACTTAACCTCGGCATCTTTCTGTGTCTGTGTTTCTGTATCTGTCTCATTCACTGGGGTGCAGGAAACCTAATTAATTCAGACAATAGGCATCATTGTGGTAAAAAATAATATTATATTTTTACTTTTAAATTTTTATTTCTAACAGCCTTATTGAGATATCATTGACATATAAAAATTATGTATATTTAAGGTGTACAACTTCACGTTTTGATATACATCATGAAATTATTACCACAGTAATGTTAATTAACACATCCATTACCTTTACATAGTTACCGTTTTGTGTTGTGTGTGTGCGTGTGTGTATTGAGAAGATTTAAGATCTATGTTCTCAGCAAATTATAAGCATATAACACAGTATCATTAACTATTTTCATTATGCTTTACGTTAGATCTCCAGAAATTGTCTTGCATAACTAAAATTTTATACCCTTTGACCAATACCCCTTATTTCTTCTTCTTGTATTTTTATGTTTTCTAATTAAATGAATTAAGAAAGTTCTTTTTTTTCTCAAAATGTTTCAGTGTTTTCTATTTGTAGGGTGATGCAGATCATGATTAAGAATCTTTGCCATAGTACAATTTTATGGTGATTGTAAGAGATCAAGAATCAATCTAATTGCTCAACAATTAGAAACAGAAATGAGGAATAAAAACTATTTTCACTGGATTCTAGCGAACAGTTTATAGCATTTCATCAGAGTGCCTGGGAGAACAAATCATCAAGCTATAAAAGATTACATCTGGGCTAGAATTAAAGTCAAGCGGATTCATTAAGCCAAATGGTGGCCCAGAGATTACTGCCATGGCGTTGCTGCACTGACCAAAGGCTCAAGGGGTCATGGACTCTTCCTTCTCCTGCTACATATGTTCCCTTGAGAGAATGAGGAAAATGGCCCTTCTGGCAATCAGGGCAAGAAATTGGTCTCAAAGTTCTGTGGAGTGGTTGGTGATTTAAAAAAAAAAAAAAATTAAAGATAAAGATCATGGCCCTATCAGGAAGAGCAATATAATAAAAATGAGCCTTATTAAATTATTTGAATACTTTGAATGTTCTCCTTAGCCCTATTGTTATAAACACTAAAATAAGATGACTTTGTAACCAGAAGCCTTCACCACTGCTGCCTTGCCTGGAAAATGAACTCGGACTTGACCTATATGTAACACCTTCTCTGGGGGTTAATAAATCATTCAATCTTCATGCAAGTTTCCTTTCTCAAAAAAAAAAAAATACCCAAAATGCTTTAAGTAACCTCTGCTACCCTGCACCCCCTCCCCTCAAATAATGTTCTCCAGTTGGGTTGAATTAGTCATGATAGTTTTACTGTGCGAACTAATCCATTACCTTGGCATGGTGGAATATCCTGGAATGCCCTAGACCATTGGACTACGAAAAATGTGCAAACTAATATTCACAAGTGTTGGAGTTTAAACTGTCCGACATATCTCAAGAGACTTCAAATCGAGCTCAAACTTTAGCCCTAGTTGCCAAAGGTCCTGATGCTTATGTTACTGAACTCCCTATATGAATACCTAAAACAGATTACAAGGAAATGTAGACACCACCTTCAAGGGCTGTGTTTAGTGCCATAAACCTAGGATGTTAGAATGCTCACTGAGAATCACTGGGAACAGAACTCCGATTTTCCAGTCTAAAACTGAAACATGATTTCTATGGAGCAAATGAAGGTAAGAAATTTCTGACAGACTCTCATCTGTAAAAGGAAATAGACTTAATCTGTGCTGTCCTCAAAGGATTAGAAAAAGGATTCATGAATAGATGCTTCAGAGAGGTAAATTTTGGCTTACATTTATAGTTGTTATATAATGTTATGTTATACACTGACAGGCAAAAAGATGCCCATCAGAGGAGGAATTGGAATAGAGAGTGGAGATCGTAGGCAGGCAGGGTAGAAGGGATTGATGATGGGATCTAGCAGGAGGTCTAGCCCAACACTGAGGGCCTTCTAAATTAGTATCCAGCTCTGTGGGTGGAATTATTGATAAATTAATGATTAAACTTAAAATCATTCATTTGTTCTTCCAGTCATTCATTTATGCAACAAATGCTTCTGCAGCCTCCCAGTGTGCCAGGCCCTGGGTGTGCCCACTGCTCTGGACTTAGATATATTCCCTAGCCTGGGGCTGTTCTTAGTCAGGCTGGCCAGTGTGCCTCAATATTTTGGTAATTTTATTTCTCACTCTGACTAGTATCCCAAAGAAAGAAAATATACTCACTAATAAGAAGAAAATGGGAAGCAAAAGTTCCTGAATTCTATATAAGATTTAGCTTAGACATAAAAGCTTGGTCTGGTCCCTGCCTGCCCCCTCTCTAACCTCATCTGATGCGTCTCTCACTGTCATTCTTCCCCCCGCCCCTCTGCCTCACCCCAGCTGCATTGGCCTTCTTTCTTCCTTTCTTTAGGTAAAATCTTATTCAGAAGCCCAATATGTAAATGAAGTCAAAGCAGACTTGGCTAGACTAAAGTGAAGGTAATTTGCACAAATCCAGGGCTGCCACTCACATGGGATTCTATGTGAAGGAATGATGTCCCTGTGGCACTCTGTGTCTGTGGGCAACTTAGGAACTGCCACCATCACGATTACCTTCGCTTTAGCCTAGCCAAGTCTGCTTTGACTTATTTTGTATATTGGGCTTCTGAATAAGATTTTACTTTAAGAAAGTGTTCTGCTATAAAACAAACCTTTTGAAACCTCACTGTTTGCTAATGTACCAGCTGAAGCTTGGGTAGCTGAATGACCTATTCTTGACTTTACAACCACAGAAGGGCAGAGTTGAGGCTTGAACCTGTGACTCTGGACTCATGGGGATCACTCTGGCCTCTTCCCTAGGCTGCCTGTCTAGGGGAGATGTGGCAAATTACAGAGATGACATAATGGAAAGCAAATCTGGGTTGGGTATTGGAAGGGACCTTGCGCAATGAAGGGATGAAGACTGGAATGTTCCAAGCTAGCCACCATTTTGGACCTTGCCTGCATTGGTTAGACATGCTTATTCCTTTACTCTCCCCTGAAGATATGTACCACCCTTGCCCTCATCGCAGCCCCCCACCCCCCTTAACCCCTCCTCACTTCTACCTTGATGGGTTCCCCCGGACCCACAAGGAAGCCTTTTCTTTCTCAATTTTGAGAACATTGGAGATTAACACCAGGGCCCTTTCTCTGTTTCCCAAAATTGCTGGGTGTGCAAATTCTTCAAATTCTACCTTATCCTCTGGTTTGGACCTAATTTAGACCTCCCATTCAGCATTAACCTATGTCTGTCTCTAGGACTTTTCAACACCTCAGATAATCTTTTGCAAAGAATGGGAATGTTTGTTATTGCTGTTCTTGGTCATTAGTCGTAACAAAAAGGCTAATTATTCTGAGAGTCTTTTATGCTTTCTGCTTTGGAGTGAAACAATCATTCTCCTCTTGACCCCATGACCTCACCAATCACGTGTGGCCTGGTGAGAACTTGGGGAGTTCAGACTTAAAAAGGATTTCTGGTAGTATTCAAACCCTGGCAAACACAACTGTAAGAAAGTTACTGTCAGTGTGTCTAGTTTGTAGTTACAGTCAGCAAATGTTACCAGTTTGAAGTATCTTAACTCACTGAATTCTCTGACAGGGCTGGCAAAATCTGTGTTTTTACAGCGTTAGATGTTCTGGCTAGAGTATATATAAAATGGACATCAGCTGGGCGCAGTGGCTCATGCCTGTAATCCCAGTACTTTGGGAGGCCAAGGCGGGTGGATCACGAGGTCAGGAGATCAAGACTATCCTCGCCAACATGGTGAAACCCTGTCTTTACTAAAAATACAAACATTATCTGGGCGTGGTGGTGGGCGCCTGTAATCCCAGCTACTGGGGAGGCTGAGCCAGGAGAATGGCTTGAACCCGGGAGGCGGAGGTTACAGTGAGCCAAGATCATGCCACTGCACTCCAGCCTGGTGACAGAGAAAGACTCTGTCTCAAAAAAAAAGAAAAAAAAAAAAAGGACATCAGATGGTGTCTCTCCCACCCATTAATGGAAACAAGACAAAATTCAAACCCCCATTTCAACGACTGTACAAGTACTAAAACCTCCCCAAGATGGTGGAATCTTACCCTGTGTCTTCTGTTCTCTGGGTCACCTCTGGCTTTGAGCTCTACTCTTAGTTTAATCACCCTGCCTTTATGGATTTTCTCATGCCTTGATGTGTCTGGTACCTTACCACATCAACTCAGGTGTGAACCCAACCCTTTCTCCTAATTTTATCAGGAAAACCACTTGTAACTAGGCTTTCAGGCACATAGAATGGGAGGAATTTTGATTGCAGTAACACAGAAAACTTGAAAATTTCACATTAGGGATTTTTGTTTCTGAAATCTCTTTAGCCAGTTTGACAAATTGGACTCCAGTCTCCTGCCATGTGGCAGAACTTACCCCCTATCTCTTTCCTGTCCTCTTTCCTGTCCCCTCTCCTGTCCACTCTGTCACCTCTAGCAAATAAAAACAAAACAAAAAACCCCATAAGTTTGTGTCATTTCCTCATGCAGGGGAAATGAGCTCTTAAGCTTTTACTTTCTAAACTCAGACCTAAACCCATCAAGGTCTTTAGCAGGACAACAGGCCTTTCATGTAACAAGACGCTCCCCTCCTTAGAAATAGAAAGCACATAAACAAGCAAAAATTGCCCTTGGTTACATATGGAATCAGTGTGGATTATGGAACATGAGAAAAGACCTGTGGTGGACATTAACTAGCACAGGGTGTCCTGGTTCCCAGGAAAAAAGGCCTGGGCTTGCAAGCATGATGACGAGGGACAAAGGGGGCAGGGTCTCTGCAGGGCATTTGCAGGCAAAGTGGCTTCCCTTTTGCTGACTCTGCATTCCAGGCGGCTGTCACCACTTGCTCTTTGGAAAGGGGACCGCAGAAAAACGTGCCTTGCTTAGAAATGACAAGCTCACCAAGCCCTGCTGGAGGATGGCTTCTGAGTGACAGGCACATCGTAAAGAGTCCCTGCCCAAAGCTTGTGGTCTCAGTCAAGCATCCTTATTGCCGCTAATATGAATGAGTGTGAGTCTGTGCTGTGCTTTTGGGCAGGGCTTCCTCTTTGCAAGATCCCAGAGACGGGAATTTGAAAGATGGTTGTTAGATCTATATTAAAATGGGAAAGCCAAGCGCAAGAAGCAGCTGGAGCTAGTGGGATGCACACAGGTTCAGAGTCAGGAGATTCTAGTACTGGCTGTCTCTGCTTTACACTTGCTGAGTGACCTTGGGTAAGTGATGCCTCATCCTCTGGCCTCAGTTCTGTTATGGTAAAGAGAGTGGTCTTTGGTTTTCAAAGTGTGTTCTTCAGGGGTTCTGTGAGGCATTTGCATGAGAGTGAAGAGAGGTGAGGGGACAAAGAAGCCCCAACCAGGACAGCTGTAACTCTGGTTTTCCCTGTTTTATTGCTAGTGGCACTTTTTTTTTTTTTTTTTTTTGCATAAAGGATTTGGCTGTAAAAGAAATCTGAAAACTACTGCTGTAAAGGATGGCTGTCTTTGGTCTCTTCTAGCGCTGACATTACATGATTCTAGATGGAGGCACAAAAAAGAATGGATGCTGGGAAAGACGCAAGCACAAGAAAAAGAAATTCCTGCTCCAAATAAATCCCTGGCCAATCTCTCTTAATCTCTGAAAGTTTAAAGATTTAAAATATACTTTAAAAAAACCTGCAGTTCTCAGCAAATAAAGACTACTTTAAATTATTTAGGTTTGTTACCCCCACAAATCACCTATACAGTACATTCTAAATAAAAAGCTAATAACTCTCTCTCTGCAAGAAGTGTCCCTTCCAAGGGCTATGTATAAGGCATTAACCTGCACTGGGAGAAAATAATACTAGTGATTTCCAAATTACACTCATTTTAGGAAATAACTGAAATAAATGAATTTGGCCAAATGCAGCCTGCTTATTTCTTCTGCATTGAAATGCAGGGGTAATATTTTTCTGCCAGCAAGTATTGGAAACAAAATCACTTAGAGCCGTACTTAAAGTAATGTTTTGGAATCCATCATAAAACTACTTTAGTTACATTTCCAAAGCCTTTTGCTTTTTATAGTGCTTAGAAGAGTTGGAAAGGGGCTGAGGGAGGGAGAGGGGGAGAAAGAGGGACCCAGAAAGAGCTGTGGGCTCAGGGCTTCAAATTCAGAGACCGTAGTAGTCATCCAAGGCAACTCTGTACCTGTCTCTGCTTGCAACATTCCTGCCTCTGGAAGACCCCCTCCAGGCATGGCTAAGAGTCCATTCCTTTTTCTGACAGATCTAGTTATTGGGAAATGCTTGGCACAGAGTAAACACTCAATGCTTGTGAGTTAGTAGAAATAGCCTGCCCTCTGGTTTTCACCCATTGGTTCTGGTCAGCCCTTTCTCTCTGCTGTACTTCTGGCTTTGCAGGGAGTGCTCAGGACAATATTCCTTCCAGGGTGGCCCACAAGGGTCCTTTCTCAAGAGGTGGTTGAAGCATACTGACTAGAGGGGGCTGGGATGCTGGCGACGCCCTCTTTCTCCCTTTTGCCTTGGATGGTGCTGAATGGCAGGGCTAATTCAGTGTGTTAGCTTAGGCTGGAAAAGCAGAAGTGTCTAAGATGAATAAGACAGGGAGAGGCAGGCCATGAGGGCACGGGCTATAGCACAGCAGCTGGAACCCTGAGTGCTGGTCCTAGCTGGGACCTTCCTAAAGGACTGATGGTGACAGCTTACTTCCTGTGTCTGAACTTCCATTTCCTCATTTATAAAATGAAGATAACAATGCTTACTGTATAGAATGGCAGTGACAATTCAGCCCAGGAACATTTATTGAGCACCTACTATTGTACCCAGAACTGTGCTACATCTCTGCCTTTAAGGAGTTCACAGTCTAAAGAGTAGACAGAGGCCAGGCTCAGTGGCTCACACCTATAACCCTAGCACTTTGGGAGGCTGAGGTGGGTGGATTGCTTGAGCCCAGGAGGTCAATGCTGCAGTGAGCCATGATTGTGCCACTGTACTCTAGCCTGATAG
Source organism: Homo sapiens (assembly GCF_000001405.40). Taxonomy (NCBI): domain Eukaryota; kingdom Metazoa; phylum Chordata; class Mammalia; order Primates; family Hominidae; genus Homo; species Homo sapiens. The sequence continues at coordinate 61,004,065 of NC_000001.11, read as the reverse complement.
ACCAAGACCCTGTCTTAAAAAAAAAAAAAAAAAAAGAGTACACAGATGAGTAAACAGACCAGGGTAAGGTAGTACAGAAAGTACTGCAAGTAAGGATAACTGCCGGGTGTTAGAGGAATACAGAAAAGGAGCCTCAACCCAGACAGAGGGTGAGAGGAGGCTCAGGGCAGACTTCTTGGAGAATGAAAAGATGAAGCGAGGGCTGTGATTTGTATTAGAAGGAGATGAGGCCAAAGTGCAGGCAGGGCCAAGATCACAAGGACCCTTGTATATTAAGCTAAGAACTTGGATTTCACTCTTGGTGAAGGGAAGCCACGGAAGGGTTTGATGTAGTGATGAAATTTGCTGATGTATTGGAAAGCACCTGCCACACAGCAGGCTCTAAGCAATGTTCATTTAAAATTTTTGAGCTGAGGTCATTTTTTTTTCAGGAGTGACCTGGCATATCTTGGCTTTATGCAAGTGAAGAAATTAATGATAACAGAGACTTAGTGCTATGAAAAGAGCACTGGATCAGGAATTAAGAGACTTGGGTTAATCCAAGCTCCCCTGCTTACTAGCTGCGTGATCTTGGGAAATTCACTTAATATCTTTGATATTTGGTTTCATGAACTCTAAACTGAGATTAACAATGCCTACCCTATCTACTCAGAGTGCTATAAAGGGTAACTCACTGTATCAATATCAGGTGTTCATGTTGTATTTTTTAGAGCTCCCAGAGGACTCTGGGAATCTAAGGTCATGGGACGGGGAAGGAACATGCAGGCAGGGTCATGAAAACAGAGTTTTGGGAGGAGACAGATACATCTCTTCCTTTACTTTCTCAACCCACACCTCCTAAGCCAGTGAACTATATATGCCATGTGCATCTCAAGATGGCTGAAGCCGAGTGGCTGAGGATGGAAATAGCCCTGCTGATTTATGAGCAGGAGGCAGATTTGCTTTAATATCGCAACACAAGAAGTCAGGTCTCTTAAATAATATGGCTCATAGATTTACGGCTGTGCTGCGTGCTGCTTTGGTGCTGTCTCTGACCATGGACGGTGCTTTACTCTGGAAAGGCTGAAGTCAGCAACTTCCGAGACACTGGGAAATAGATCCAGTGGCAGCAGCCAGTCCACTGGGTCAGCTGTTTTCAGCGTGGCCCCACTCCCTCCCACACCTTTGTTATATGTTGTCAGAATGCTGGGGACCTTTTCAGCAAGCAAGGGGCTGGTTTGGGTCCTGCAAAGCCAGAAGTACAGCAGAGAGAAAGGGCTGGTTCTTATAGGGTACTATTTTGGAGATATCAGGAAACCCCAATATCACCTTTGCCCCTGACCGTTAGTGTTATGCCACTGGGGCAAAAATCACTCCCTTGTTGGGCCTTTCAAAATGCACAGCAGAAGGGGGGCTCTATAAGTCATTGGTTTCTTGATAATAACAATGATGTATTTATTCCACAAATATTTAGATAGCATTTATTACAACCCAGGAATTCTTAGGCTAGTCTCTACTTTTCCTAAGACCCCTCTGAAGTCAGGCTATTATCTTCATCTTACAGATGAGGACACTGAGGTGTAAGCAACTTTGCCAAGGTCACAGAGCCACTGAGAAATGGAGACAGAATTTGAACCTGACAGTCTGGCTCTACTGTCTGTGTTCATGATTGCTATGCCATAAATAATAATAACAACCCCAAAGACAGTAGCAATGGACATTCACCCTGTGAGGTAGTTACTATTATTTTCATGTCCATTTTGTAGATGAGAAAGCTGAGGCTTACAAGAGGATAGGACTGGTAGAAGTCAGGTAGGTAGTAAGTGGCACAGCTGGGATTTAAGTTCAAGCAATGTGACTCCAGAGCGTGTCTTGCTAAATGTGAATGTGGTGAGTGAATCTCTTCTTGTTCTTTTTGAAAAGAAAGTGATAAAAAGAGGGAGAAAGCTTTAAGGGTAAATGTGGGAATAAACCTACTTATTTTAGCTTCTGCCAAGTGATGGCCCTGTCAGTCTTGCCTGCAGGAGGTCCATTTCAGTGTGGTGGGGATGACGGCTGACCAGGATACTGTTGAAAATGCACAGTGTTATGGACAACCAGGCTCCCTGCACTCTGTTCTCTTTAACAGGGGGATTTGGTTTCCTTTCCATCCATTAACTTTCCTCCTGGCTCAATAACTCCTTCAGCCTTTAGAAATCATTCCTGTCTTGGAATCTTCTGTCTTGCCCACCTCTTATCTTCCAGTTCTTGTATCTGAGTCCTTGACTTCCCCCTTGTCCTTAATAGTTCAATTTGATGACCTGTCCATGTCCTATTTCCTGCAAGACCAACCCCTGTTTTGCTTTCTCCAGGCTCCCAAGTGCTGGAGGTTTGGCTCAGACCTCCAGGCCTGTGCATGTGGCTTGCTGTCAAACCTGCCATGTTGACGGAACACCTGCTTTTATATCTTCACTCATTTGATGCACATGTATGGAGCCAAGAGAACACTTATCATGTGCCAGGTACTGTGTTAGATGCTGAGGATACAGAGACCCACAAGAATCAGTCCCTTTCAAAAAAGAACTCATGATCCACTGGGAGGAAACAAATCAGCAATTACAGCACAATGGATGGAGTGGCATGACAGTTGTGAACACGCAGCACTATTGGAGCAGAGAGGAGGACGATCTTAAATCAGATGGGGTGTGTGCAGGTGTGTGTGCATGTATGTGTATTGTGAGGGAGGGAGGCATGGGGTGGTGGAGAAAGGTTCAGCCTTGCCATAGGTGAGTTTTGAATATTGAGGGAGTGGGTGAAGAAGGAGAAGGGATCAGTGTTTGTACAGAAGAAATGGCAAAAGCGAAGGTCCTCAAGTTTGGAACAGTGTGGCCGGCTTGGGTAAATTTTAGCAACCTGGTATGGCTAGAATAAGGAGACAAAGGAGGGGACATAGGAGGGCGTGGTGGCCAGAGCTGCAGGGGAGATGAGAGAAAAGGATGGGCCTTGTGCACTGAGTTACAGAATCAGAAGTTTGTTTTGTAGGTGATGGAAAACCAGTAGAAGATTTTAAACAGCGGCATGCTCATCATGTTCAAGTCACCTTTTCAGATTGCCCACTCCACTCAGGCTGTCCACAGCTTACTGCGACATGCAATTTGTGCCCAATTTTTCTGCTTTCACCAAAGGCCCTGTACCATTGCTCTCCATCTACTCCAGAGGAACTGTGCTCCACCCACTAGATTGGACACCCGGGAGCTGGGTCAGGTGCCCCGCTCCATCATAGTCCTTCCCCCAGCCTGGCAACTCTGGTGGGCTCTCATACCAGTACTTCTGGGCTGTCTGAGGGTTAGCAAGGAAGCCAGTGGGGCTGGCACAGAGAGAGTGGGAGGGGAAGAGTTAAAATAGCACAAGGTCAAGTCCTGACACTGACCTACAGTGCCCTTACGGTGTGCTCTTTGTTACCTTTCTAATAAAGATTAGTGTAAGGACTTGATCTGGTACTTTTACTGAGATAGAGAACCAACCATTGGAGGTTTTAAGTATAGACATGACATGATTTGATTGACATTTCAATAGGATCATGACAGCTGCAGTGTTGAAAAAAACAGTAGTGTGGCAAGAATGAAAGCAGGAGCCTAATTCAGAGGCAGTCGCCTAATCCAGATGAGAGAGGACGGCAGCTTGGATAAGGATGGGAGTAGTGGACATGGTTGGATTCTGGGGATATTTAGGAGATAGAGATATTTAGGAGATAGAGATAGAATTTCCTGTTGTATTAATGTGGACTGTGAGAACAGAGAGAACAGAGAGGGAGTCAAGGGTGACTCCCAGGTTTATGGCCTGTGCCATAACCCTGATGGGTTACCATCGCCTGAGATGGGCAAGACACCTGAGTATAAAACCTTTCAGTGTCCCTGACAGATTTTGCATGAGTGTGACGTGACCAGGAGACCAAAGGAGAGGCCCTGAAGATCACAGGGGTGTCTAAGGGAGTGGTGTCTTGGCCTTGTGGCTTCCACTACAGGGTCTAAGGTTTGGAATTTCATTATGGGAAATGTTTATTTCTGGAAAATACAAGCAACTTAGTCACTTCAGTCTTTTTTTTTTTTTTTTTTTTTTGAGACAGAGTCTTGCTTTGTCACCAGGCTGGAGTGCAGTGGCACGATCTCGGCTCACCACAATCTCCACCTCCTGGGTTCAAGCGATTCTCCTGCCTCAGCCTCCTAAGTAGCTGGAACTACAGGTGCCTGCCACCACGCCCAGCTAATTTTTGTATTTTTAGTAGAGACGAGGTTTCACCATGTTGGTCAGGGTGGTCTCGATCTCCTGACTTCATGATCCGCCCTCCTCAGCCTCCCAAAGTGCTGAGATTATAGGCGTGAGCCACTGCGCCTGGCCCTATTTTCAATATTGATATATTTCCAAACACCTGTGTGCTACATCTGCGGTTCTATTGTGTCCTTCCAAAGGTGCTGCCTTACTTATCCTATTGCTAAGTGACAGGATTTATGGTGGCCTCTTGTGCCAGGCTCTGTGATGTCAATGTTTGCTAATCAGAAACTCTGGTGCAGGGACTCAGTAATGAATGGGTCTTTCCACAAGCCTTGTATGTTTAATAACTGCCTGGTTATCCGCAAGTGATTTCCATGGGAGTGAACCAAAAATTGCCTATCAGTCCTAATGAAGAATGCCACAATTTCTTCTGCTTTCCAGTTACTTTTTAATTTCCACACCACCTGCTCCTAGTTCCACCAGGGCAGACTCTGCCAGCATTATCATTAAGGACTTTGTCTTCCTGTGATGTGTAACTCATCATATCACGGTCCTGTCACAGCTCAGGAGCTTAAAGAAGTGCTTGCCAGTGTAGCAGTATCTCTGGCCTGAGAGACATAAAATGTGCTGCTCCACTTATATCTAGATTTTGGGCCCATCGACAAAGCATGCCACAGCATTACTTTGTGCGTGTGTATTATGTTTGGCATCAGGGTAAATTCCACCCAGGCAGAATATGTGGAAAGTACAGGGGCCTTTGCATCAGAAAGAACTGGTCTCACATCTTAGCATTATTACGTACTAAGCTGGTGACTTCAGGTAAGTTAATTATGTCAATTATGTGCTTTGAGCTTCCCCAGCAGTAAAATACGTATGGCATCTGCCTCATAGGATTGTCATGAGGAATAGGAAGGCATAGAGGAAGCACCAGGAATGGTTTGGCATGTGGTGAGCTCATACTACTTGTTAGTTGCCTCACCTTGCCTTATGGATACAGTCTCACGAACTTCCTTGTCTGAAAATGGAGATACACTGAACATCACTAGAGGTCAAGTGCTTTGGTGCCAGGAGACTTAGGTCTGAGTCCTCATTCCTCTTACTAGTTGTGTGGTCTTGGGAAATTACTTAATCTCCTTGTGCTCAGCACCTAAAAACAGATATTAGCCGGGTGTGGTGGCTCATGCCTGTAATCCCAGCACTTTGGGAGGCCGAGGCTGGCAGATCACGAGGGCAAGAGATCGAGATCAGCCTGGCCAACATGGTGAAACCCCGTCTCTACTAAAAATACAAAAATTAGCCAGGCATGGTGGCTCACGCCTGTTGTCCCAGCTACTCGGGAGGCTGAGGCAGGAGAATCAGTTGAACCCAGGGGGCAGAGGTTGCAGTGAGCCGAGATCGCGCCACTGCATTCCAGCCTGGTGACAGAGCAAGACTCTGTCTCAAAAAAAACAACCAACCAAACAAACAAAAAAACAAAAACCAGATGTTAAGAACATTAGCTTCCAAAGATTGTTGTATGTCTCAGGTGAGCCAGTTAATTCATGGAAAGCTTTTAGAGCAATGCTGGACACAGAGTAAGCTCTCTACAAATGTTAACTGTCATCATTCCATAAGGTTCCTTTTCCATCAAGGGCACATTTAGTTTGTAGTTAACAAATCCCTATATCAACTTTGCAAAGTCAGCTCAGATACTTGATTTCATTTGATTCTGATAATCCTGAGAGGTAGGAAAATAACCTTTTTTTTTTTTTTCTTTTTTTGTGAGGCAGGGCCTTGCTCTGTTGCCCAAGCTAGATTGCAGTGGCAGAATCATAGCGTACCTCAGCCTCCACCACCGGGGCTCAAGTGATCCTCCTACCTCCGCCTCCCAAGTAGCTGGAACTACAGGTGCATGCCACCATGTGTGGCTATTTTTTTTCTTTTTGTAGAGATGGGGTCTCACTCTGTGGCCAGGCTAGTCTTGAACTCCTGGGCTGAAGCAATCTTCACACCTCAGCCTCCCAAAGTGCTGAGATTACAAACATGAGCCCCCATGTAGCTTTTTTTTTTTTTTTTTTTTTTTTTTTTTTAAAACTGCTATCTAACGTACAGGTAACTGAAACACGAGCAAAAACGTAAATTGCTCGAGGTCACAGACTAAGTTAGTAGCAAAGCCCAAGTTAGAACCTGTCTCCTCAGCCCCTACTCCCAATTCTTCTCCAGTGTGTTGTACTGATTCCCATCAACAGCTGGATGGAGGGTATAGGCCAAGTCCTTGGAGCAGTGCGGAGTCTGGTGACCTATGATACTCTTGAATCTATGACCCTATCCTCATTTTTCATAACAACATCACAGTACATTCATTGAGCATGTTCTTTGTGTCAGGTACTTTACATATATATTTTGTTAAATAACCCCACATCCATCCAGATTAGGCGATAACATTCCTATTTCATAAAGAGGAAGCGGAGGTCTAGGGGGAATTAGTAACTAGCCCAAGGTGAAGCAGTTGATGAGTGGGGCTCTGGGATTTGAATCAAAGTCTGTCAGGCTACTCCAAAGCCCATGCTTTTTTCAGTGTGCTATGCTGCATTCTTTAGTGCCCAAATTAAGCACTTTCATAGGCTATCTGGACCCCCTTGTACTGCCTATTTCTTTGAGAAAGAACACTGGATCCATTTCCAGATATAGCTCATATTATTAAGTTGGTGCAAAGGTAATTGCGGTTTTTGCCGTAGCTGCACAACTTTGAGTAAGTCGTGTAACCTCTCTGAGCCTAAATTTCTTCATCTTTAGAGTGGGGATTACATACGCCACACCTGATCAGTAAGAGCAAACTTCATAAGACTCTCAGCCTGCATCTCTCTGGGGTATTGGGAGAGGACTACGTATAAAACGTATACAAAAAGACTTCACAGACAGAAACATGATGTACTATTCTGTTTTTTTTGGAGATATAACTCACATACCATAAAATTTAGCCTTTGATGCCTTTTTTTTTTTTTTGAGATGGGTTCCCACTATGTTGCCCAGGCTGGCCCTGAATTTGTGGGTTCAAATGATACCCCTGCCTCAACCTCCTGAGTAGCAAGGACTACAGGCATGTGCCACCATGCTTGGCCAAATTTTGCCTTTTAAAATGTATAATTTGGTGATTTTCTGTATCTCTTCAAGGTCATGCAACTATTACCAGTATCGAATTCTAGAACATTTTTATCACCTCCCAAAGAAAACCTGTAACTATTAGTCGTCATTCTCAGATTTTGACAGTGACGAATCTACTTTCTGTCTCTGTAGATTTGTCTATTCTGGACATTGTATATAGGTAGAATCATTTGTGACTGGCTTCGTTCATTTGGCACAACTGTTCAAGGTTTATCTACATTGTAGCATGTGTCAGCACGTCAGTTCTTTTTCTGGCTGAATAATCTTCCATTGTATGCATATCATTTTTGTCTATCCACTCACCAGCTGATGGACATTTGGGTCGTTTCCACTTTTTGGTTATTATGAATAATACTGCAATGAACATTCACACATTTTTTTTAATATGAGTATGTGTTTTTTTTTTTTTTTTTTTTTGAGACACAGTCCCACTCTGTCACCCAGGCTGGAGTGCAGTGGCGCGATCTCAACTCACTGCAACCTCTGCCTCCTGGGTCCAAGGGCTTCTCGTGCCTCAGCCCCCCGAATAGCTGGGATTACAGGCACGCGCCACCACACCGGGCTAATTTTTGTATTTTTAGTAGAGACAGGGTTTTGCCATGTTGGCCAGGCTGGCCTCAAACTCTTGACCTCAGGTGATCCACCTGCCTCAGCCTCCCAAAGTGCTGGGATTACAGGCATGAGCCACCGTGCCTGGCTGAGTATGTGTTTTAAATTCTTTTGGGTATATACCTAGAAGTGGAATTGCTGGGCATATGGTACCTCAATGTTAACTTGTTGAGGAACAGCCAAACTGTTTTCCAAAGTGGCTGAACCATTTTATATTCCCATCAGTAATATATGAGGGTTCTGGTTTCTCCACATTCTCACCAACGTTTGTTATCGTCTGTAAGGCATTAATTTTATAAAGGCTATATCTTTATTTTGAATACTTCTTATCTTATATACCATTTAAAAGACCATACTACTCAGTCAAATAGATGAGAAGATTTTCAAAGTTCACGGGTTCAAGAGGAAAAAGTAAATTTGCTTCCTTCCATTTGTAAAATAGCTTTAACAGGAAAGAACATGTAACTATTGGCTTTCATATCCTTTTTTTTTTTTTTTTACCATTTATTACTAACATTTATTCTTATTTACCATTTGTTCATAACGTTTCTTCTTTATATTCTCTTGTTTTGAGAAATCATTTCAAGAATCTTGGAAGAGACTAAGTTATATGACCTTAGGTCCATAAGACCTGCTGTTGTACTGGTAGCAGTAGTAGTAGTGATTATGTATCTCTACTATGTGCTAGGCATTGTTCTATGTGCATCATGCATATTAACACATTTAACCTTTGCAACCACCTTATGAGATGGCTACTATTAAAATCTCCATTATGCACTGAGGAAATTGAAGTACAGAGAAGTTAAGTAACTTGCCCAAGGACACACAGCAAGTAAGTGGTGGAGCAGAAACCTAAACCTACAGTCCATGTATTTAATCACTTTCTGCAGTGGTATTAATTTTTATAAACTTTGCCTGAGGTTTCCACCTATTCTGGGCTAAAACACTCTCAGATTCCAAGGTCTCTGGGCAGAGCCTAGGCTTGTTGAAGTAGGTTTTTACAGTACCAAGGCCATACCAAGGGACTGTGTGAGTAATACTATGAATAGAAACAGCAAACAGAGAAAATTCCAAGTTAAGACTCTAAATCCTCCTTTCCTAAGACTTCCTTGATCCCCTCATTCAGAATTATATCTTATGACAGTTCAGTTCAAGAAATATTTTTGTGCCAGACACAGTAATAGTTACTGAGATGCAGAGATATTAAGAAACAGTTCTTCTAGCACCTATAGTAGTTTGGCTTGTAGTAATTGTTTACATATTTTTCTGTTTCTTCCCTAATTTTCTCTGTACTGCTCCTTTCCCCAGGTGAATAAAAATGAAAATAAAATCTAAGTTTTAGGGTAAGCCTTTATAACCTCCTTATATTTCTGTGATAAAAATTGCCCTCATTTTTCTAGGAGGAGAAGGTATGTGTTATGTGGTCTGTTTGTTTTCCCCCAAAATTCATATGTTGAAATCCTAAACCTCAAGGTCATGGTATCAGGGGGCAGGGCCTTTAGGAGATGATTAGGTCATGAGGGTGGAGCCCTGATGAATGGGATTAGTGCCTGTATACAAGAGGCTTGGAGGAAGCTCTTTTCCCTTCTATCGTGTGACGACTCAGTGAGAAGGTGCCCTCTGTGAACCAGGAGGTGCGCTCTCACCAGACACCAAATCTGCTGGCACCTTGATTTTGGACTTTCCAGACTCCAGAACCATGAGGAATAAATTTCTGTTGTTCATAAGCCACCCAGTTTATGTTTTTTTTGTATAGCAGATGGATGAAGACAGTATGGGATCCCCATTTCTTGTCTTCCCTCCCAAAGAGATACTGACCTGATTGGAGAGATCAAGAGAAGGAAGAGGGCATGCTGTTTTCAGCTTGCTTCTCTCCACCAAGCCTAACATGTTGCTCTCCAAATCCCGAGCCTCCTCTAGGAAGGCAAGGAAGTGGCACCAACATCCACTCAGTTGCTCAGGTCCCAGATCTATTAGTGTCTCTGATTTCTCTCTCTTCCTCATCCACTACTTTGAATTATATGTACATTTTGTGAACTCTTTATAAAAAAAAATCACACAGCTGTCCACCTCCTTCCACCTCCACTTGCCCCTGGTCCAAGGACTTTCCTGCCATCATCTCTCACCTGGGCCACTGCCGTTAGCTCCACTCTTGTCTCCTGCAATTCTTTCACTACACAGAAGCCAAAACAATACTGTTCAAACATAAATCAGGTTACAACACTCTCTTGCTCAAAACCAGGCAATGACTTCATTGCACAGAATAAAATCCAAATTCCTAACCAGGGATAAGGCTCTTTGTGATCTTGCTCCTGGCCACGCCTCCCACCTCTTTTCCTTTTAGTCTTCCCCTGCTCACCCTTAATATTCTTTGAATGCTTCTTAAATTGCAAGAGGATTTTTTCTCAGACTCTTTGCATTTTCTGTTGCTTCTGCTAAAATATTTTCTAACCACCTCTTCTCCTGAAAACTTGGCATGGCTCATTCCCTCTCTACATTTGGGCTTCTGTAGAAATGTGACTTCCTGAGTATGGCCTTCCCTGACTCTATCTAACAGTTACCCTTTCTCCCTACTCCCACCTCTGTCATTCTCTATCCCTTCTTATCCTGTTTAGTTTATATTTGTAGGAGCTATCACCAGCATCTTACATGTTTAATGGACTATGTCTCTCTCCTTTGTTAAATATATGCACCATGAGTTTCGGTCATAGTCTTAGTGCCTAGAGCAGCCAGCCACATAGTAGATCTCAATACATATTCCTTGAATGAAAGGAAAAACCAAGCATGTGCAGCTCCATTCCTTTCCCCCTGCCCATTTCCTTTTTCAGAAAGTCCTGTTCTCAAAATGCACACAATCTTCACTCCTATACGGGTAAGCTGACAGGTAGCTATCAGTTATCTTTGTCCTGCCAAGGTCATCTGCCAGGGAGCAGATAGTCATGTGTTAGGTCTCAGCTTAAATTGTGAACTCTTTAGGAGTGCCTTCCTTGGATACTCTGTCCAAAGTAGATCACCCTCAATGAAGCTATTCTCTTTCTCAGCATCCTTTTGGTTTTTTTCTTCATAGGGCTTATCTTTTATTTACTTCTTACTGTAGCCCCTGGCACAATTGCAAAACTTCTTTGGGCCAAAAACCTTGCCAGAGCCTTGGAGATATGACATGGTTACTGTTCTCAAACAGCCTTCACCCTAGTTGGTAAGCTGAGGAAGCAGAACAGACAGACATCATTCTGTCTGCAGCAGAATTCTAAACTGTAGAATATGAGGGAGGGGACATTTGTTGGGGTTGTTGCTTGTACCAGCTAAGCTAAATTCACTTGCAATGGAAAGACATGACCCTTCCAAGGACTTACTATGTAATCTGTTTCCTTGTCTATAGTATAAAGATACCAATACACCTACCCTATTGGAATAAGGGTGAAATGAAACCGTATATACCTATAAAGTGCTGTCACTATGTAAGATACATGCTAACTTACAATGCTTGGTGTTGAAAAACAAAAATGCTTGTAATTTCAAGCCAAAGACCATTTGATTCCTTCCCTTTCTGTTATTAGTGTTGACAGTTTGGTATGTATTGCAGCAGATTCTCATGGGTGTAAGCAGGTTGGTTATGATGGCAAGTGGTGCACAGGCCCTTCTTTTCTTTCCTTTCCCACCATCACACCCTTCTCCTGTAGCTTGCCCTGGAATGTTGGACAGCTGGCCCAACTGTGTCCCTTGGCAGAGCCAGATGTGCTAAGTAGAGCCAATAGAACAATAAAACTGAGACCAAATATGGTGCATGGTGTTCTGGAGAGCACACAGATTGATAAAATCCAGCAAATCACCCAAACTTGATGCAAGATTTTCCGGAAAAATGATTGGAGAAGTCAGGTAGCATTATTAGGCAATTCAGCATCTAAATGGCCACATCAACAAGAGCTCTAGCCAGATAGAAATCAAGTTTTCTTTCCAGTTTGGCAAATACGGAGTGTGTGCTCCACGCCAGGCCCTCGTAAGAACTGGAGTAAAGAAAAGAAGCTCAAATCCTGTCCTCAAGGAGCATACATTCTAATAGGAGGAAGAGGGACAATAAACATAATAAGTAAGTTAGGTGGCCGTGATGCAATTTTAAATAGAGCAGACAGGCAATGTGAGGCCTGAGCAAAGAGTAGAGGAAGATGAGCAAGTCATGTGTGAGTCTGCATGAAATGCATTCCAGGCTAAGGGCAGGAGCGTGCCCTGCAGGTGCGAGGGGCAACAAAGAGACTGGTGTGGCTGGAGGAGACTGGGCAAGGGGCAGAGCAGTGGGAGATGAGATCAGGGCAGGAACGGGCTCCAGGTACTGTGGGGTTGTCTCGTAGGTGATCTTGAGATTGGGCTTTTATCCCTGTGAAATGGGGAACCATTGAAGGGTTTTGATCAGAAGAATCGCCTGACACATTTAAAAGAAACTGGATTATGGAGGAGTCATATGTGGAAAGAAAGACTGATTTGAGTACTATTCCAATAATCCAGGTGAAAGATAATGCTGGATTGGGCCTGGATGGGAGTGGTAGAGCTGGTGAGAAGTAGGCAAGGTGTAGACATGTTTGGAATACAGAGCCAACAGGATTTTCTTAAAATTATTGTTGATGAATCAAGCTCAGTTAATGTGCTTAAGAATGTTGTCTCTTTCTGTGAGTTTGTAAACTTTTCAGTTTATTATCTCATGTGATCCTTATGACAATCTTGGGATGTGGGAGGGGCCAGCAGCCCCATTCTCAGGACAGAGAGGTGAAATGGTTCTCCCAGGGCCACACAGCCTGGAAACTGGCTGAACTGGGGTACTCAGCACCTCAGTCCCCTGACTCCTTTTCTAGTCTTTCCTTCTTGTCAACTTGCTGCCTTTAGACTTGTGCTCTTTTAAGAATCTTACGCTCTATTTTCTGAGCTACCAATGAACCATCCCCATCTTTAATGGCTTCACTCATATCCATCCAAATTTCAAAACACAGTGATTTAACAAGGACAAATGGGAAAATCTGCAGTGCTGGAGGGAAGACTTTCTGGCTCCCAGGCCCTGAACCCCCTCCCTCTGTCTGTCCCCTCCCCTTCCAGTTCTCTGCTCCCTCCGACCCTGTGAGTCTGGACTGAATTCAATTATTCCTCGCGCTCTCATTACAGTCTGACCAAGATTTATGAGTTGATAATTGTCTGAAAGTAAGACCACAAAGTATCATTTGTGTTTGGGGCTGACCTTCCCGGTGACCTTTAGGATTAAAGGCAAAATGAAAAGTGTGATTTCTGCAGAGCCAAACAGGGTAACGTGATCCAACCCGGCTAATAATCCAAAGCCTCGGATTTCCCTGGTTGAGGACATATTAAAGCTGGGCACAAAGGCGGACAACTAATCCTGCAGGTTCATTTCACAAATTAATTTTTTTTAAGGCATCACAACCTCCCTCCCTCACTTTAGGGTGCATTCTGAGTGACGTTTTCCAAACAGGATGATGACAACAGCTCACACCTCTGAGGCCTTTATTGGATTATTTTTACAGGCCATTTAAAAACACTTTTTTGAGAGGTCCTAATTGAAAACAGACCTTTCCCCTTGCTTGAGTTAGCAAACAGAGCATCGCTGGGGGTGAGAGGAAAATGAATTCATGGAAACTTTCCCAGATCAGTGGGTGAGACTTGACACTCACTTCCCCGAAGCACAGCACATGCGCAATAATGGCCCTTCCTGATAGTTCTTCCTCACATGCACCAGCTATTCAAAGACAAAACTGCAAAGAAAACACTCCTTGAGACTCAATATAAAGCTTCCAGCCAGCCTGAAACATTTGTGAGGCATTTGTGGTTCCCTGTTGGGAATATGTAATACTGTGTCATTCTGAGTTAGAAGGCCACTTCCTAAGGGAAGAGGGGCTGTTGGCCTGTGTCCCACGTGGTGAATCATAAAATGAAAAGGCCTAATAAATATGAAACTGTGATAACGTCTTCCCTCTGCTCAGGCAGCCTCTATTTTTAGTTCAATATGTATCTATTGCACCCAGCACTGGGCTGGGTCCTCTGAAAGAAATCCCGTAAAACCTCAAGGAGCTCACAGGCTGGAATATTCTTTCACAGGCAAGCAAGGACCCAGGGCTGTGCTCAAGCTGGGCTACAAGGGCTGGACCAGGGTCTGGGGTTGGGCATAGGTTGGGCTGACTTGCAGTTGCTGGCCTTGGAGAAAGGAGAAGCAAAGCCACTGTGATTGGAGGAAGGAGATTCAGGAAGCAAGGACAGCTCTTAGTGTCAGTTCCAATGGTTGGGTATGAGAAAGAGGGAGTAAAAACTGGGGCTTCAAGAAGGCAGGGACTATAGTTGTATTTCCTCCCAGTGTATTCACAGTGCATCTGGTTCACCAAAGGTAAGATCAACCATTGCTGAACTTAACAATTTGCTTCCTCCCTTTGTAGTCAATTGTGGTGATATCTCTAAATGCACATATTATTTTACACCAAGTATTTGAGCATTGTCTGGGAATCAGGTGTTTATTCCACTTTGGAGTATTTCTTCATGTATTTTTTGCCTTCTCTATGACATTTTAAACCCGTCTAACACACACATGTACCTGTACTGCATAGCAGGTACAACCACAGTCTCCTCTGGGGTTAGGCTGCCTGTTGCATCTGTAAAATGGAGCTATCAATAGTGAGATCGACTATGTAAAGCACTTAAAACTGCACCTGGTCTACATTAAGTGCTCAATAAACTTGAGCAATTATCATGATTAGTCACTAATACATGTGAGCGGTGTAGGTCTCACAGATATCTGTGACACATTCCAAAACCCTCCTCACTTGTTCCTGAACTATTCTTTTTTTAAACAGGAGTTGGCCCCAGCCCTGTTCTGATCTGCATGTTCTTTGTGAAGTCTGCCTTCAGCTCTTTTGGTCTAGTGTTAGGACTTTATCTCCTATGTGTCTGGCTTTCAGCTCTCTGTAAATATTGGCTTGGCCTAGTCCTGTATTTCTTACCATTCCAGATGGCTTCAAGTAAGCTGTCAGTTCACATCTGGCCTCTTGAATTGCCACCTGGAATCCCTGTTCTGACACTGTTGCACTGGTCAGCCCTCTATCCAAGTGAAGTCGTCCCAGTGGTGCACTGGAGTGGATTGCAACTGCTCATGAGGGCCAACTGTTAAAAGCTACAGAAATTTTGTAAGCTGGTCGTCAAACACAGCCACTATTAAAAATTAAATGGTATCAATTCTCAATTAAATAAAATATATTTAAAACAGTTAATAAATACACAAAAATCATTGCCTCCAAATTACTTTATTATATTTTACCATGTTCCAGACTCTCAAGGTGACTTCATCCATGGCGGCTGTGTGGCAGCGAGCTACTTGCGCATCTCTTCTGTTCCGTGAGGTCATGTTGGCAGCTTGAAATTGATCAAGTGGGAAGCATTTACATCACAGAAATTGGTAAGAGCTGCAAATTAGGGCTTCTTTCCCCCTGGACAGCTGGTTGTTTAACACTGACCAGCACACCCCCGGTTCAGCTCTCTCGATGTGGCATAGGAGGCTGCTCAGGCTTCAAACACAATGGCTGCAACTACTGGCATAGCAGTGTGTCCCTTACTGGACTGTGACCAGGTTGAGGGTGGAGGACCAACATCTATTCATCTTGGGTCCAGAATCCCTCTTTCTCTATGCTGCCCTGTCCCCAGCCTATTTGTAGAATAAAAATTTGAATGTGAGTTTACAAAAAAAAAAAAAAAAAAAGAAAGAAAAAAAAGGCCTCTGGTAACATCTGCCAAGATCCCTTTTTGGGGATCTTAACAGCGTGACAGGTAGAGAAAGGGTGAATGACAGCGAAGACTGTCATCCCATCCTCCCCACTGTAACTGGAGGGAGCTGGTGTTTGGTTGGGGTGGAGTGACCCCCAGGACACTTAGTGACTAATCTACACCCACACATCTTGTGCCAGGCAATCTCCATCAGCAATAATTGTCTTTTGAAAATGGAGTAGGGGTGAGAGAGAGAAAAAAAGAGAGAAACTGAGGGGGTGGGGAGAGAGAGAGAGAGAGTCAGTTGTGTAGATAGAAAAAAAGACAATGTTGGACTGTAGGAGGGAGAAGGCGAAGGAAGGATAGAGTGGCTGTTTAAATATTACTTAAGGATGCTAAACATGTCTCAAAGTTAGAGTTTTTGGTGATCAGACTATCGTTATAAATGCTTGCATTTAAAGCTTTTGCCTGATGCCTGCAATGGAATGTCTAAACAGTGCACATTTCAGCTCCTTGTAACTGCAAATGGTAGAGGTGCCAAGGAAATAATAAATAGCCCTGGGTTTGGTGCATTCATAAATTTCATATAATGATAACTAGTTAACACTTTTCCAAAGGTCCAAGGAAACAGCCAGGATGACCCTTCACATTTAAAACTCAGCTTCACACATTTTATAATTAAACTGCCTTCCAGGTGACTTATGACCTGGGGTTTTTCCTTTTTCCTGATAGACTGCCTTGGCATCTTGTAGGGCTTGACTGTTAACCTGGGTGTCTGCCTTTTGGGAATAAGCCTGAGTTCTGGAGAATAAAAAGCCATTGCTTGTGCTTATGCAAAAGCAGATGTTCAAATGGGAGACTCTGACCACCTCACTTCCCAATAACCTGAGCCACATCATTAGGAACATCTCTGTTAGGAATGTTGCAGGCCAAAGTTTGTGACTCTGGGCACATTAAGACACCAGGAGAGATGAAATTGCTCTTCAGTTGGAAAGTTGTCTTCTAACCTGTAGTTTGGGACAACTGGGATCTTTAGGGCAATCGATCTGAATCTGTTTTAAAATTTGCCTCAAGCATGCTGTTGGCTTTATTTCTAAAATAGTCAATTTAATCATGTAGCTACAGACTGTGGACACATGTCCTATGTCTGTAGGTTTCCCTGCTAAGTCAGAGCCAGGCACTATAGTATCTTAATGAAAACTAATGCATGTTTACTGTTATTTCTATTTAAAATAATAATAATGATGCTAGCAAACATGATTTTATGTATTATATATATTATATATTTATTATGGTACATTGCTATAAGCCAGGCAGCCAGGCATACTCTAAGAATTTAATATGTACAATATCATTTAGTCTTATATAAGATGAGTGTTGTTACTATCATTCTCTTTTTTTTTTGAGATAGAGTCTTGCTCTGTTGCCCAGGCCGGAGTGCAGCAGTGCTATCTCTGCTCACTGCAACCTCTGCCTCCTGGGTTCAAGCAATTCTCATGTCTCAGCCTCCCGAGTAGCTGGGATTACAGGCACATGCCACCACGCCTGGCAAATTTTTGTATTTTTAGTAGAGATGGAGTTGCACCTTGTTTTAATTCTATTTATATACATTTGTATGTACTGGGTTATCACATCAAATGTATTTTTTTTTTTTTTACTGTGGATAGCAGTAAAATAAAGTTTGAAGAACAATTTTAAAGCCAGCAGGGACTTATAGGGGTGGGGTTTTTTAAGTAAAGTGACTAGGCAACTAGATCACACCTGCAGGCCTGCCATGTAGGGTGACCAGCTGACAGCTTTGTGTAAGTGGGTTGAAGATGAGTTGGGATGGAACCAAGGTCAGGCAGGTGAGTTAGGAATGACTGCAGTTGTCCAAGCGGTGGCTGATTTCTTTCCAGTCGTGGGAATATTGTCTGCTGTGCATTTTAAAAATCTGCCCTATTCCAGGCAGGGTGCAGTGGTTCACACCTGTAATCCCAGCACTTTGGAAGTCCAAGGCGGGCGGATTACCTGAGGTCAGGAGTTTGAGACCAGCCTGGCCATCATGACAATACACCATCTCTACTAAAAATACAAAAATTAACTGGGTATGGTGGTGGGCACCTGTAGTCCCAGCTACTTGGGAGACTGAGGCAAGAGAAGCACTTGGACCTAGAAGGCAGAAGCTGTAGTGAGCCGAGATAAAGCCCCTCCATTACTCCAGCCTGGGTGACAGAGTGAGACTCCATCTCAAAAAAGAAAAAAATCTGGCCTACTCTGTTCTGCTGAGAGGCAGGATGACATGAGGAATAGGGGCATGAACCCCAGCCAAGTGGTCCTGAGCAAGGTCTCTAACTTCTGCCTGTCTTAGTTTCCTCATCTGCATGATGGGGATAATACTAGTACCTGCCTGTGGGCTTATTGTGAAGATTAATTGAGTCTGAACATTCAACCTCCTAGACCAATACACATTGCTTAATATAATTTTGAGATTGACAGGAAAAATGGCAATGTTACAATTACGGATTCATCTATTTGTTGCCTATTCAAAAGCTGTTTACTGAATGCCCATAGTGAGCCTGGAACTTTGCCAGCCCGGGAGATACAGGCCAGTGGAGGAGACAAATCCTGATGCTATAGCAATAATAAAAATAAAATAATTATAAGGACCACTGATATTTGTTTAGGGTGACTAGATTATTAGCTCCATGAGGACGTGGAATTTTACTTGTTGTTTTCATTCATTGCTCTATTTTTAGCAATTAGAGCAGTGCCTGGCACATGGTAAATATTGATTATTGGATAAATATGCCAGCCACTATTCTAAACAGATGTATATGTAATGATCACCCCATTTCACAACAACCCTATGAGGTATAGACTGTTCATATTCCTATCTTGGAAATGAGATAAGTGAGCCCAAGGCCACTCATTTAGTAAAAGGTGACCCACAGCAGCTGATGCCCAAGGTTCCTGCTCTATGCAGAAGAGATAGTGCCTTAAATTCCTGAAGCTGTCCCCATGGCACCCTGTTTAGGGCACAGCTGATGTACAGTAGGGCTCCACTGTGTGTCACCATGCTTGGATTCTGAGCTACAGCGATTGGGGAGGATCCTAACACAGTTCCACTCTGGGGTGTCTGCCTTTGAGACAAAGTAAACATCTTAGGGCCATCTTTTTGTGCCCACCTCCTTTCCAAAGCACTCCAATCAATCAAATGATATATCAGGAATTTACCATGCAACCTGCAAAAGCTGTGGGGAGGATGGGAAAGTGAGATGGAGTTTGTTCTTTCAAATTCCACAGACTCTCTCTGAGGAGAAAGGGTTCGCACACAAGGGGAGACTATGAAAGACAGTAGGGGTTTGTGATGAGTTGTAGGAGCTCTGAAGTGGAGAGCCCAGGGCCACTTGAGTGGTAGGTGAAGGTCTGAGACAGAGCTTGGAATTGTACGTCTCCCATGGGGCCAAGAGATGCATGAAACCCCGTGTCTACACAACCTCATCAAGCAGTTGCCCATTCTCCTAGTCACTGGTCTCTACTGCCCAGGGACCCTCATGTCATCTCTGCATAGCTTTGCCTCCTCAAAAGTTCTTTCTTATCAGCCAAAATCTGCTCTCTGGTAGGTTTTGGTTAACAGGATGACTCAGAATAGAAAGAGTGGATGAGAAGCTGCCAGGGAGGGGGAAGGCTTGAGGTGCAGCAGCATGTGATGGCTGTGAACCCTCATTGACTGAGGACTGGATTTCCCGGATGATAGCAAATGTGAGCTAATGTCTGTGCTAAGCCATGTGTCTTTGAAAAAGAACTGTTAAGGATGTTTTCCCTTCTTATTACACACACTAATTTCCTCACCAAAATAACAAGTCCTGAAGGCTTGCATCTGCTGGGAAACTGTATCCTCTGGGACCATGTTCTGCATGTAAGTTCATTTGGAGTTTGGCCTGCGCTGGGGAAGCCTGCCTCTCCTCAATTCCTTGTGTTTTCCTTGGACAAAGGAGAGACCTGTGTTTGCTCCTTTATAAGTCTGAGAAGCCCCCTCATGGCTCGGGCCCCAGCTTGACACTTTGCTGGGTGGGGGACTCACCTGAGATATCTTCTCCTCCTGTGAACCCTGGGAAGCCCCAGCTGTGCCGAGAACAAGTTGCTGAGTGGCTTGTTTTGGTTCATGGAGCTGACCCACCAGTCATCGGGCCCTGTGATTGATGCAGGGCCCGTGCTCTGGGTTATGTGAACTCGGAGTGTTTTCAAGGGAAAATTTTGGTCATAAGGCAAAGCCTAGCCAGGTTTGAGATAAGTGTGAAAAACACATTACAAAAGGAAACAGACTCGAAGTTTCCTGACAAGGGAAACATTTAACCCTATGTTTAAGGAGTGTGAGAAGCACACACTCAGAAACCATGCACGTCTGTGTGTGCACATGTCCCTGTGGACAGAACGGCTGAGTGTGTGCGACGGAAAGTGTGTGAGTGTGTGGTGTGGGTGTGCACGTGTTAGAGAGGGAGAGAAAGAGAAAGAGAAAGAGAGAGAACAGACGCACCTGGGGAAGGCAGGGATATTAATCTTGCTAAAAGCAATCTGACTCCATGGGATTTATAAGGATCCAGCTAAAATCAATGGGAAGTTTTATGAGACAATTTTCTTCTTGCCGGCTCTGGGGATTGTTTGAACTCTCATGGAGCTTAGGATGGCACTGGCTCAGAGCTCCCCCAATCCTCACACCTGTGCATGAGACAATGTACATTCTCCACATCTGCGCCTCTCACCTGACTTATCTCCAAGGACTGCCATGGAGGGTCCCTGGCCTCCTGACTCCCTGGCTCTCTAGCTCAGACCTGCAGCTTCTGGTTAGGGGTTTGGAGGTCTGTGAGGAGAGGCAGAGGGGCGGAGGGCAGTCAGTATACTTTGTCTGTGGTGTACAGATAAATGTGAGAGGCCAGGAAGATGCACACAGGCCTGCGGGCCTCGAATAGCTCCAGTGGTTACCTGTCAGTGTCAGAATAAGGTCCAGAGACCTTGGTACAGCTGCTTCCTACTTAGCCTTTTCTATTCTCTTTCGCACCCAGGCATCCCGGGTCAAAGTGACGCTATCGGCCACTCCTCAGATGGGGTGCTTTTACAATTCTGTGCTGCTGGTGATGTTCCCTCAGCCTGGAGGGCCCACTCCTCCCCATTTCTCCCTGATATGAATCTTCCAGTTTAATTTTGAACTCTTTTAAACTTTCCAGAAAAGTATGGAAAATATTTACCAGAAACTTATATAGCCATCATTCAGCTTTAAGAGATGTTGATATTTGCTAAGGCCCTTTTCCCTTTTCCCTCTCCAGAGGTGAGTCAGGATATAACCATTGCCAATGTACTTTTACTGTATTTAAATATAGTCACAAGCAATACATAGCATTGTTTATGTGCCCTTATATTTTGTATAGTGGTGTTAATCAGCCCATATCCTGTGGGGAACCATTTGGCAATGCCTGACAAGGAACATACACCAGTAATTCCACTTGTGATTGTTCGTGCTAGCAAAAGATCTTGCATGTGTCTGAAGCATGTACATGGAGAGTCAATCTAATAATGTAAAAGTGGTAACAACTTAATTGCCCCTTAGTAGACCAATAAAGATAAGCTGTAGTTTAATAAAATGAGATACTATATGGTGGTAGTTAAAATAAATAAGATCTACTTGCATGATAAACATAATATGTGGAAAAAAGCAAGCAGCAAAATTGTCTGCTCATTTTTTATGGCTAAGTTAAAAATGTAATCCTTCTCTTTAATGAAGTGTCCTGTGAAAAAATCCCATCTAAATGTAATTAATTGCTCTCTCTCTCTCCATAGAACTTTATAACTTTATTTGTTTAAGAATTACTTCTTACCCTTCACTTTCCATCACACATACATTATGAGCTTCTTACATGCAGAAACTGGGTCTTAGTCATCTTTGTATCCCCAATGTCCCAGGCTGAGAGCTTGCTTACAGTTGATACTCAGTAAGCAGTTGTGCAGAGAGAAAAATGCTTATGTGTGTGCTTTAAAATACTCCCATGAAGGCCAGGCACGGTGGCTCATGCCTGTAATCCCAGCACTTTGGGAGGCCGGGGAGGGCGGATCACGAGGTCAGGAGATCAAGACCATCCTGGCCAACATGGTGAAATCCCATCTCTACTAAAAATACAAAAATTAGCTGGGCGTGCCTGTAATCCCAGCTACTCAGGAGGCTGAGGGAGGAGAATTGCTCGAACCAGGGAGTTGGAGGTTGCAGTGAGCCAAGATCACACCACTGCACTCCAGCCGGGTGACAGAATGAGACTCCATCTCAAAAGAAAAAAAAAATAATACTGTGTATCTCAGGTCATGAGAGCTTTATTATCCCAGTGTTTCTGATGAGGAAACTGACTGAAGTGCATTATGTCAAATGACTTCCCCTCTGTCACTGATGGCAGTGAACGATGAAATCCAGGTGTCCTGTCTCTTGGCCACTGGGGGAAGTGGGAAGATGAGGATCCAGTCGCTCTTGCACAACATTGCCGTGTAATTAACTTCAAGACAGTGGGATGATTTAAATTTTATGTGACTGACCTGATATATATGGAAAAGATGGTGGAAGACTTTCTGGAAATCAGGAGAGCAATACATGAAGAACCTTAGAGATTGAGTGAGAAAGCTGAGGCCCAGAGAGGGAAAGTGATTTCATTTCAAGTCAGCATAATTGAATAAATATATTTGAATATGCATTATGTGCCAGGTGATTGCCTAAGTCCATCCAGGTAGAACAAATGGAGAGATCACTGGAAAAGTGCCTAGCAGAGCACTGGAACAGAGCAGGGTTCAATAAATGTCAATACCCCACCCCCTAACCTTTTTTCTTTCTTTAAGGGCAGAGCCAGGATGAGAACCCAGATTTCCGGATTCCAAGTCCAACATCTTTTCAACCATCTCATGGTCATCCAGAAGTGCAACCAGGAAAAAGTCTGTAGGGAGATCATGCCTGTAATACTCTTGCTGGTTAAAAAGAGTATTATGGATTTTCTGACAGCTCTTTTGCTGTGTCACATCAGCCCCCTGTCTGATTTTATGCTTACATGGCCATTACTCTCTATTAGCATACTAATAAATGTTTATGAGATTATGCTGTATAAACTATAAACTTTTACATATTATTAATTAACCTCATACATTGTATTGGGAGCTCCTGAACATTTACTGACTTGTAAAACAGGATAGTGGCATACAGGGAGCCGTGTCTGCAAAACTGGTCTTATTTGCTCTATCTGGAGGAAGGGTTGCATTTTCATTTTTGCGACTCTTAAGTGCAAGCCACAGATAGTATAGTATTTGAAAACAGAAGACCTGGGCTTGCCTCTTCCCAGCTGTGACCTTAGGTAAATTTTGTAAGCTCTCAAAGGCCCAGTTTCCAAAATGGGCATAATAATACCTATCTGTGGGGGTACATGGCAGGTACCTAATAAACTTAAACTGAATGAAATTGAACCAATGCAGGGAAATGAGTGGAAATGACAGGAAGCCAGTTTGATTTGTTTCTGATGAAAAGACCGATGATAGGGATTCCCAAGAATGGATGGCCTACATTCCGATGTGGTAAATAATGTGTTCTCTCTGGAGGTGTGCAAGAAGCTGGACAAGGGGATTCTGTA
Organism: Homo sapiens; assembly: GCF_000001405.40. Classification (NCBI taxonomy): domain Eukaryota; kingdom Metazoa; phylum Chordata; class Mammalia; order Primates; family Hominidae; genus Homo; species Homo sapiens. The sequence continues at coordinate 60,980,705 of NC_000001.11, read as the reverse complement.
AGGAATGGGAGGGTTTCCTCCATTGCTATGATTTAAGAATTCTATGAGTCTCTCTTCCTCTCTCTCTCTTTTTTTTATTTTTATTTTTTAGATGGAGTCTTGCTCTGTCGCTCAGGCTAGAGTACAGTGGCGCAATCTTGGCTCACTGCAACCTCCGCCTCCCAGGTTCACGCCATTCTCCTGCCTCAGCCTCCTGAGTAGCTGGGACTACAGGCGCCCGCCACCACGCCCGGCCAGTTTTTGTCTTTTTAGTAGAGACGGGGGTTTTACCATGTCGGTCAGGCTGGTCTCGAACTCTTGACCTCAGGTGATCTGCTCGCCTTGGCCTCCCAAAGTGCTGGGATTACACGCTTGAGCCACTGTGCCCTGCCAACTCTCATTTTTTAAGGCCAAAGAGGAGGCAAAGTGGGAGTGGTACTTCAGGTCTTAGATTCTAGTTTTAACTTAGTTGCTGACGAGTTTTGCAAATTAGTCTAGACTCTAGACACTTCAATCCTGTCTCTATTCTTTTATCTATAAAAGAGCTACACAAATTTGATGTGGTGATCAGAGGAGAGAATGGCTAAGAAAGCACTTTCAATAATACAAGGCTGATCTTTAGAAAAATATTAAGTTTAGGCCGGGCGCGGTGGCTCACGCCTGTAATCCCAGCACTTTGGGAGGCCAAGGCAGGCGGATCACGAGGTCAGGAGATCAAGACCATCTTGGCTAACACGGTGAAACCCTGTCTCCACTAAAAATACAAAAAATTAGCCGGGCATGGTGGCGGGTGCCTGTAGTCCCAGCTACTCGGGAGGCTGAGGCAGGAGGATGGCATGAACTGGGGAGGCAGAGCTTGCAGTCAGCCGAGATCGCACCACTGCACTCCAGCCTGGGCGACAGAGCGAGAGTCCGTCTCAAAAAAAAAAAAAAAAAAAAAAATTAAGTTTAGCAGCTCGGTTCGTTTCACTATTTTTGATGTTGATAGCCGAACATCCCTGCTTTGAATCTTCTGCAATGCTGCAAAAATGTTATGGGAAGAACCCAGATCTGAGAGTCAAGTGACCAAGTCCAGGCTGTCACTAAGCTATGAGACTTTGGTGGAGTATTTCTGTCCTTTGCATCCCAAGTAACTGATCTCACGTCTGTAAAATGAAGCTAACAAATCTGCTGTGCCAACATCATGGGGGTGTCCTGAGAGTCAAATAAGGTAATGGATGTGATTTAGTGCTTTCAAATCAGCCCTCAATTTAGCTATTTCATCAGCTGTGTTCTCATTTTCTACCCTACAAGGCTGTAAGACCTATAAGTACAAAGCCGTTTTTTAGATCTTTGTATTTGCCAGTGCCTAGCAAAGTGAATTCATTGATTCTGGACACATTCATGACATGCCTATTTGGGCCAGGGATAGTGGTAAGTTTTGGGGTCAGGGATGAAAAAGACATGGCCTCTACCCCTAAGGAGCTTGCTTTGCAATAGAGGAGTAAACTATAAACATATCCAAGAATAAAGTTAAAGGAAACTGATACTGAGATCTAGCCTTTAAGGGCCCCTGCTGTGTGTGAGTGTCGCCACCTCCAGGGCAGGACAAGCTTCACCCCCTCTCTACTCTTGCAAAGAACTGACAGGCACCATCTTCTGTGTTTTCGATGGCTGCCTCTGTGTTTCTGATGGCCACATAGTTTTTGGGTTTGTGTGTTTCCCTGCCCTTGGACACGTTCTGATGGAGTACAAAGTGGTAACTGACTCCTGGGGTCTACTCAAGGTGGCTGGATGTAAAAGATTGGTGAAATGATTTAAAGCTTATAGAGATGGGTAAGTCCCTAGGGGTTAGCAGGTACTTTCCAGGGAGGAAGAGGATGCCTCTTATAAATACAATTACTATTGATTACTGTCAGATTCTTTTATCTGATTCCTGCCCATTAGGCCCTCTCTTTGTTGCTAGAAGCTCTCACTTGCCCTCTGCCCCATCTTACCTCTAGAAGTGCTTCTTAAATGAGTCCTGCAGAATCCTAGTGATCCTTGAATAGCTCATAGGTGCTAAGAGAGCATTCAGAAGAATACTTCAAAGCTTGACAATGAATAACCATTTTACTATTATGACATAAGTGGAAAGAAGGGCCAGCTCATCTCAAAACGATGGCAACAACAGCAAGGTCAGTGAATCCCCATCCAGCTGATTAGCAGCAAGAGGCTTTGAGTGGCAGCCTGACTGTGAGAGTGTGCATAAGGGACACTTGTAGACTGCTTTGCATCCAAGGTATCTTCCCTTAGCATTTGACAACAGTACCCTACTTTTGCTTTGGGAGAACTGCCACTCCCTCATTCTCAGTCTTATACTTTCATATGTCCCAGGGGCCGAGCACTTTACATAGGCAAAGGCAATATATGAATTTTATTTTCTGGTCATAGGAATGACCACATGTTCCAGTTCAGGCCAGTGAAAGAGACAGAGAGTGGTGGTCCCAGGCTTGTGGAAGAACCTACTGGAAGAGACAGTGCTGTGTAGTGTGATGTGTATCTGAAGCTGCTGGGGCGATGAGGAGCCTACATTGTGAGTCTGAGAATGGGGCCATTACCCGAAGAGCTGAGTCAAGATTTAGATCCCGGACATATTATCTGAGCCTGGGTCAAGCTGTGTCTGAAGCCAAATCTGCTCACAGACTTTCCAAGATATTCCTTTATCTAATTTGAGCCAGGGCTGGTGGAATTTTCTGTCATTTGCATCCAAAATATTCCTAATATTATACAGTATGTGGTGTTTTACTTCATTTTTGCAACATGTTTGGCTAAACAATAATATATTAAATAATAATAATATGTAATAATATATTACATTATAATATGTAGTAATATATTACATAATAATATGTAATAAATATTACATTATAATATGTAATATATATTACATTATAATAATATGTAATAATATACATTCCTCTATTTAATCATTATGCAAAGCTAAGAGGTAAAATTTATGATCAAATTTATAAATTAAAATACTGAGTCTCAGAGAGAATGAGTGACTCACCTGAAGATACACAACTGATAAATGATTGAGATAGGACAAAAATGTAGGGCTCCTGACCACAATGATCGCTAAAGATGCCTTTTTCCCAAACCAGCTACTTATGGAAAGCAAATATAAAAGAAATGCAAAGGAAACCAAAGGTAATGCTGGTTGCCACAATGTATTTTTTTGTTGGGAAGTTTCATCCAAAATACATGGTTCCATCCAAAGGTAAAAGACCCTCAACCATATTTCCTACGGCCAGTGCCGTGGTCCATCAGGCCTTCATCACTTCTCACCAAGTTTCCTCCAACATTTTTCTAGATGGTCTTTTGCCTCCAGTCTCACTTCCCTACTATCCATCACTCACAGTAGGACAGAATCATTTTTCTAAATGCAAGCTGGATTATGGTATTGTTTGCTTACAGCCTTCAATAGTTTGCATAGCTTTTAAGTACAAATCCGGCTTTGCACACAAGACACTTCCTGATCTGACTCTGGTGTTCTCTTCTGCTTCATCTCCTCATTCCTCCAGTAATAGTGAATGACCCAGGGTTCTCTGAGGCTGATCCATTGCTCTACTTTTGTGTACACCATTCTAGCTGTGTGTGGAAACTGTTGCTTTTTTTTTGTTTTTTTTTTGCCTGGCAAACCCCTCTTGTCCTTAAAATCTCCTTCATCCTTCAGATGTTGTTTTCTCTAGGAAGACTTTTGTGATCCCTCAGACTGATTTGAATGTTTCTTCTCTGTGGCCCCGCTAGACTCTGGATCTATCTCTCCTTGCACTCTCACACTGTAGAGTAACTGTGTATTACATGCCAGTGTCTCCTCTAGATTGTGGGAAACAATTGTGCCCTACTCCGTTTTACATCAAGGGCCTAGCAGCTTGGCACATAACAGTCAGTGAATGTTTGTTGCATGGATGAAGAAGGAAAGGGAGGAAATAGGCCAGGCATGGTGGCTCATGCCTGTAATCCCAGCACTTTGAGAGGATAATGGGGAGGATCACTTGAGGCCAGGAGATTGAGATTGGCCAGGGCAATGTAGCAAGGCCCTGTCCCTAAAAAAACTAAAAAAAATTTTTTTAAAGGGAGGACATATGGAAGAAGAGGCCAGTACTTTCTCTTTTGTTTGACACTTTCGTTTAAAGTATTATACACTGGTGTTATATAGTTTCTTTTATTAAATTCAGATATTATGTTCTTCCTAGCTTTAATATTTGAATAAATTGCTTTGCTTTTTTTTTAAAGAAAAATTTCATGGTGTTCCAAATTAAGTAAACAGTGTTTATTTTTCTGTGACCTTGAAACACTTGGGAAATGTTGCATGATGAAGTGAGGAAGAGGGGTGGTGAGGGTTTTGTGAATGGAGAGAGAAAGCGGACATTTGGAAGCTGAGAGCTGAGGTCTCCTGGTCCCATTGCTAGCTGAAGCCTTTGGCAGGATGAAAATGATTTATGTTGGGAATCTGAGAGTAGCTAACTTCAGTTTTCGTGGACAGAAACATTCTTTCCCCAACATGTCAAGTTGGGGGTCTTGTGCTTACTGAGTCTGACAGTTGGTACGGAGTCTTGTCTCCAAGGACCTTGTCTTAAATTTGCCCCTGAAAACTTCCAGGGGAACGGCTTTTGTTCCTTGGGTTTATGCATTAGTTGGGGTTCTTTCTAATTAAGTTGCTTACCTGCTGTTTCTGGTGAGTATTAAGTGTGTATGTGCTGAGCAGGAATTTTCCATGTTAGGTCTATTATTTTATGAAACTGATCCTTAATTATCAGCTCTCACATATTTGTAGAAAGTTTAGCTTCCATGTCAGATTTAAAAAATTCATGTTTCACCAGAGGCATTTTATACTTGGTCCAAAATGTGAAATGAGCTTTTGGCAAGTTGATTTCTTGACTGGGTTATCTCACTGAACCATCCTTCCCTCCATCTATCCCTCTGTTTATCCATCCACTTATCCATCCCTCAATCCATCCGTTCCATAACCATTTTCTGAAATGCTATGCTTTTCCCTGCACTTCTGTAGGAACAATGAGGAGGGATACCTAAACCCAAGGTGGGGCCGGGTGGGCGGGTGGAGGACAGGGGCAGAAAAATCTTCCTACAGGAAAGATGCCTGAGATGAATAATAAGAAGGGAATGGGACTTAGCTACGTTGGTGGCTGGAAAGCAGAAAGGGGGCTTATTTCAGGCAGATGGAGCAACAAGGGCCAGTGCCCAGAGGCATGAGAGGGCATGATGAGTTCCAGGGACTGAAAGCCGTTTAAACAAATATTTACTGAGCACTTTACTTGTGCCAGGGGCTGCACTGAGATCTTCTGGAATGAGCTTTGCCACATGACTACAAGAGTGAAGGCCTAATGCTGAAGCAATTGCTAAGTATTAGGGTGAATGGAACATTTACTAAATAAATTTGATCTAGATGGCAAAGGCAATGGAGGAGCATGAGAGACAGGGAACTACATTCTATTTATTGTCTGCTATATGCCAGAAGCATTACCTTCACATTCTCTGTGATGTTCCATGTACTGCTGTAGGAAGAATCCCCATTCGAGATAAAAGATAAGGAAATAGAATCCCACAGAAGAAAAGCAAACAAACACTGCCAGCTTTGGGGACTAAAAACACCCATAATTTTTCTACTGTACAATTCTGTCTATCATCAAGAAAGGTCTTCCCTTTGACAGATGGCTCCCAGGATTAGAATCTCCCTCATTTTTCCCTACAGCATTTGGAAAGAGAGCTTAATCATACAAGCTACGACTGTAGGGAGTCTTTTCTGAAAGAAGGCCCCCTAGCAGGGAAACTGAATAGAAAGAATAGAAAGGGAATGTCAGGGAGACATTTGAGTTTGGTGCTTTGGACCAAACCGTCTTTCAAGACGCATCTTAAATCCTCTTTCCTTTGACAAGCCTTCCCTGACTACCCCAGACTCTACCCATCTCCCCCTGCTGTGCTCTGATTTAGGAGATGGTGGCTGTGCAATAGACTTAGCAATTAATCATACCTGCCCTTGTGACAGCTATTGTACTATTGCCTTAAACTGGTATTTTACTCTGGCCTTAGAATTCATCTTTGTGCATGTACATTTTCTCCAATGAGATTATAAGCACCTTGAGGACAGAGATTTTGTCATAAACATATCTTAAATCCTTCCTTCCTCCCCAATACCTAGCGCAATTCTGTCCACATAGTAAAGGCTCAATAAATGTTTTTTAGTTTCGTATAAAAGGCCCTGCAAGGATTTCTGAATGAAAAATATGAGAGAAATCAAATAAATTAGTTTGAGGAGCAGGTGATTTAGATTTATTACTTATGGTGGAATGCAAAAATTGCCACAATAATTTAAAGCAATTCTTATCAAGAGGCAGAGTCTATTTCCCGACTCCTTGAATCTGGGCTGGCCTTGTGATTTGTTTTGACCAGTTGAATGTAGTGAGCTTAATGTAGTTTGAGGTCTGAGCCCAGGCATCAAGAACCCAGCAGAAGAACTGCACAGCTGATACCAGCCCAAATCACAAACCTACAGGACTGTGAGTTAAATAAATGTTTTTTTATTATAAGTCACTAAGTTGTGGGATGATGTGTTAGGCACCAAAAGCTAACTGTTGCAAGATCTTCTTTAATTATCAGGATAAGCCCTTGAGATGCATGTTAGCATCCTATTTTATGAGTTAGGAAGCAAGCATTCAGGAGCAGTATGACGTAGAATGATCATAATTAGCATCTTTCAGAGCCATTGTTAGTGTCTTTTAGCAAATGTTACCTGGATGGGGAAACATATCAGGAGGCACATGTCTCAGCAGGCACTGGTCTGTCTGATGGGGAGGGGGACAAAGGAGTGTTTGTTGGCAGGAGTCAGGAAAAGTTCAGACCATGGAGAGTTCAACAATGTGTTGAAGGAACAGGCAAGACAGAGCTTGAGGGCTCTTGGGTCCATGCGTTCAGGCTGAAACGATGTAACTTGGGAGTCTATAAAGAGGGAAATGATAACAACAGTGACTAATAAATTCACTGAACATTTCTCATGTGCCACAAGCTGTGCTACGTCTCTAATCTTCACAAATGTCCTAGGTGAGGCTGAGATAAATTAAATAGGTCATATAACTTGTAAGTGATTAAATTGCCATCGAAACATAAATGTGTCTAACTCCAAAGGGAAATAGCAAACAGCTAAAAATGCCCTTTTCATTATATTGTCTGGTCTGTAAAATCAATTTCTTCCTAACTTGCAACAAACCGAATGGGCACCTATATGTCATTGCAGGCAAAACTCTTCGTATGCCTTGGAACAAAGCCATACACAGCTGAAAACTCATGACTTGTCCCATATTGGGCATGGAAGGGTGGTTTCTCCAGTTTGATAAAATCAGGAGGTCCTCTCTGCAACATGCTTTTGTGATAACATTATGTGGCTTAGCAAGAGTTCTACAAACAGGGCCCCTTTGAAGGGATCTGTCCCTTCTGCTTTTGAAGTAGGGTGACCACAGCCCTCGAGCAGAGACCTTCAGATATCCTCAGGCGGTGGTTTCATCTAGACTAAACTAGTTACAAACCCTTCCACTTATCTAATAGTTTATGCACGGTGCACACATATGTCTTGTTGAATTGAGTAGCACAGCTTTGTGGGATTCACTGGGCAGCACGTGTGATTCCCATTTTATAAATGAGAAAACTGAGACTCAGAAGCTAACTGACATGCTCAAGGTCATAAAGTTAATCTGTGGTTGAGCTAGGACTGGACTTGGTCTGTTTGACTCCTCCTCCCATGTTCTTGACTGAGTCAACACAAAAGCATTCCCTATGTATGAGGCATAGAGACTACAGAGATGTTTTAGGCTGGGCTCCTACACCCAATAACAGCAAATGTCTGGTCTAAATGCTTTACTTAGAGTAACTAATTTAATTCTCATAACAACCCTACGAGGGAGTGCACTTTTTACTCTTGTTTTATGCATGGGAAAATAGAGGTACAAAGCAGTAAAATAGATTTGGGGTTCACATACAGGTGGTCTAGACAGGGAGTCCTTTGACTTAGCCACAGCACCCCACTGCCCCTATGCTTAGGGAAGCTACTGGGGAGAGGAGTGAGATGCTGAATAACAAGGAGACCTATGACAGCCTGGTAACAGCAGGTCATGCCTGCTTGGGTTCAAATACTTGGCCCAGTGCTTAAAGCTGTTTGGTCTTGGGTAAGTTTTTTGTGTGTGTTTATGTGTCAGTTTTTCATCTGTAAAATGAGATTTTGAGATTGCTCACTTCATAGAGAGGTATTATGAGAATGTAATGATTATGTGTGTATGTGTGTGTATGTGCATGCATATGTTCAAGTGTGTGTGCGTATGTGTGTAGCTAAGAATAATCTCTGGTCCTCCAGTTAGTATGATTTGAGAGTTTGCTATCATCATCATTGCAAGGCTATGAAGTGAACTAATTTCCAGACACATAGCGCAGACAAGAGTCACAGATTCTGAGAAGAGGGAGAATTTATTGTCAGCAGGAATGGTCAGGACAGGCTTCAATGAGGAGGTAAGAAGATGTTAAGTGGATCTCGAAGGATAGAATCACAGAGTTGGGAGTTGAAGAGACTTCAGCATTCATGCAATCATATGAGTTTATCTCATAGAAGAAATCTAGGACCACAAGGGAGAGGTGATCATGCCATGTTTATCCAGCTAGTTGGGGACAGGGCCTTGACTGGAACCCAGGTCTCCTCCAAACCATGCCTGTCTGAATTTTTCTGGGCTAGAAAAATTAGAAACCCTGCATCCCCAGTCAATACTGGTGCTCCCTCTTGTAGTCCTCACTCCACTCTAAGCACCCTTTACTACCTTTCCTCTGCCATCCCTTTGGGAGAGATGCAAGTGAGCAATGAATTCGACAGTGATAGGAAAGACCTCCTACAGAAGCAAGGGACTTGATAATCTATAAACAGTTCCTGGGTAAAAACCATGAATGTGTACAGAGCACCTACTATCAGGTGCTTACTGAATTTTCTCAATCTCCACCGTAACTGCTATCATTCTTTGTACAGATAAAAAACCAAAAGGCTTAGTTTTGTAGTATCTTAGTTTTGGTAATTTTCCCAAGATCTCACAAAAAGAAAATGTTTGAGCCAGGATCCGAACAATGGTTTATAAGATTCTTCTATCCACCCACCCATCCATCCACCCACCCATCCCTGCACACACCCATCCATGCACACACTTATCCACCCACCCATCATCCATCTGTCTATCTGTTCATTCATCTTTCCATCCAAGAAACCTTTACTGAGAGTGTGTTCCATGTAAGGCAGTGTGCTTGGTGGTATGGAGCTAAGGAGATACATAGCCCCCTGTCCTCATAGAGCTGAGTGGGGCCTCCTTGAGGGTACTGTTGGGATAGTGTTAGGGAGGAGAGTGATGAGGAAATGGTTTATGTGGAAACTGGGCACTTGGGAAGACCATGACAAGAGGATCAGTGGGTTGCTCCCTGACTCCTGCTTCTAAGGTTGCAGATGAGTGCCCAGCTGGCCAGCTGGCCACTGGCATAGTCTGCCTCTTTGTGTAAAAACTAGTGGAATCACATATGTGCTGCTCCCAGATGCAGTCTCGGCACCAACACCTTCCAAGCAGGAGGTTCTGTCATGGTGCTGCCTGCCAAGCCTTGTCCAGAGGACTGAGGCCACTTGGCCAGTTGCACTGGGCCCTGTGCCTGTGCAGAGACTGTCTCACCACAGCAGCTGGGGGCGGCAGGGAAGGGCAAGAGCTTCTTTTGTGTGTGTGTGTGTGTGTGTGTGTGTGTGTGTGTGTGTGTGTGTGTGTTTAAGCTGGAAAGAAGCCCTTTTTCACTGTGCTCTGTACTTGAGATATTTCACTGAGTGGGAGACAAAGAGGCTTTGTGTGCTCTTCAAAGTGCTCTCTGCTGACTGTGATACACATCCAGGAAAAACCCAGACCAAAGCCATGAAGTCACCCCAAGTTCAAACCCAAAATGCAATTTGCAGTGGTTAGAAATGACAAAGGATGGGTGGTAGGATCCAGAGAAAAAACAGTGAAACCCGATGGACCTTAAATAGATCTGAGGGCACTGATTTGATTATTTTGGGTGAAATCTTTTAAGAAAATCTTGTCAGATTCTTCACAGAAAATTTGGTAAAGCCTATATTTCATCGCCAGCCTAGCAAAGGTAAGACCCACGTTAATTTTCTTGGAATATCACTGTTGTTTTTATTCTTAGGGTGTATGTTAGGGAGAAGAGCAGGGAGGTAGTTTGTCAGATGTTGTTCTTTCCTTGTTAAGCTTCACCTGTTCTTAAGAGCAACTTGCACTTTGTCAGCCACAGAATAGTGCCTGCCGTTCAGGCCAGTGTTTTAGATATAATTGAATTGCTGGGACGCATTAAACATCATAGGGTTTTTAGCGGAGAAATAATTTAATGATGTGGCCTTTAGGATTGTTAATTAGCACTGTCTGTATGAACATGTAACAATAACACCACCTACCGTAAAAGCGAATGTTCTACACTTCAGGACACTCATTTCTTTAGGGCTTCCCGCAGAGAAGCAGTCATTAACTCTTTTTTTGACAAATGCTTTTAGACATGCTCTGTAGGGCCGTGAATTCACCCTTCCCTCCAATCCTGAATCCTTCTCTGCATTTATCCACAAGGCAAGCTGGCAAACAGGGAAACAAGGAGAACTGTGTGCTCAGCCCTCCAGAGTGGCACGGATTATGAGGAGGTGATGGTCCTTCCCCGCCAAGATCCTGAGACACTGTCACTCCGGAATCCAAAAAGAGATTCAGGCAAGGATGTGGGAAAGTTGGAACCCTGCATGCTGTTGGTGGGAATGCCAAATGGTGCAGCTGCTATGGAAAACAGTATGGAGGTTCCTCAAAAAATTAAAAATAGAATTACCATATGATCCAGCAGTCCCACAGGGTATTTATCCAAAAGAATTGAAATGAGGATCTTGAAGAGATATTAGTACTCCCATGTTCATTGCAGCACTATACACAATAGCCAAGATGTAGAAATGAACTAAATATCCAACAACAGATCAATGGATAAAGAAAATGTGGAACACACACACACATACACACACATCCCAGAATATTACTTAGCCTTAAAAAAGAAACTCTAAAATATGTGACAACATGGATGAATCTTGAGGACATTATACTAAATGAAATAAACCACTCAGAGAAAGACGAAACTGCATGATTCCACTTATGTGGGGTATCTAAAATTGCCAAATTCGTAGAATCAAAGAGTGCAATGGTGGTTGCCAGGAGCTAGGTGGAGTGAGAAATGAACAGTTGTTAATCAATGGACATACAGTTTTAGTTAAGCAAGATGAGTGAGTTCTAGAGATCTGCTGTACAACGCTTTACCTATGGTCAATAATACTGTATTGTGTGCTTAAAATTTTGCTAAGAAGGTGGCCCTCATGTTACGTGTTCTTACAAAGTTAAAAAGGAAAAAAGTAATGGGATTGGCTCACTGGAGGAGAAGCTGTTGGCTTGCATCCTGCCTGCCCTGATGAAGGGAATGGTCAGGGGCTTGTTTCTCTGCTGGAGTTCAGGCGGGTCTGTCTGAGCCATGGGTCTGGAGGAGGCCTGCATAGGCAGCATGCCATAGGTTTCTCTGGCTTCCTGAGAACAGAGCCTGATAATGATGGAGAAATGAGAGCTTCCCACTCCTTCTTCTGTTTACATTAGAACAGCCAAGTGTTTCTTCAACCATCCACCATTCCCTTATGTCACATGTCTTCTGAAGACACTTTACCTCTTCAGTGAGGCAAGAGCAGCAGCATGAAGGTATTTGAACACTAGATTGTGCCTTGTTCTTCAGTCAGCCAAACTTTTCCCTAGCCATGTTCTAGGCCTTGATGTCTTCACGAAACCTCACCTTCCAACATCTCACTCTGGCCACAGCCCCCTGTCCTGCTACTTCTCTTACTCCTCTCTCTTCTCACAGCCTTGTCTGGCCTCTGGTCCAGAGATGGCCAATGCCTGGTGTGATTGTTGCCACTCTTTCCAGCTCATTGAGAACCTCACAGACTGATCATGCCACTCTCCTATTAAACCCAGAGGTTGCTTTGGGATCCTTCTCAGCACAGGTTCCATCAACTGGAGTTGATGCGTGAGATGAAAACTATTTGCCATTCCAGCTCCAACTCCTTGATCCACTTTCTCTCAGTCCATCAGGCAGGACAGACTCCACACACTTGCATTTGAACTCTTCATGGCACCCCTCCCCTTCCCTTGCACACGCACATGCTCTGTCTGTCCAATGATGTGTTCTCTCCACTTTCTCTACTCTCATGCCCAGAGCACTAAGTATTTTTGGAGTATTTTGCATTATGATGTGTAGTTAATGCCACATAAAAATTTGTGGTTTCTACTTTGGAACTGTCTTTTATTTGTTCTTTATTAGTATCTTCTTGCATTTCCCAGAGAAGCCTTCCAGAGCCTATCTTGCCTTTTCAGTTCCCCAAACCACACCACCTCCCCTCCTTGTCTGTCAACCTCACCTCCCATTTCCCTGAGAAAACTGGCAGAGGCTCCCTATGCCTCCGCCCCTGCCTTGTCCCCCACCCTCTGCCCACATGCACCCTGTCTCTCCCTTTGAGAATCTTTGTTATCTTCCTGCCTAGAGTGCTGTGGCTTCCCCCTTCTTTCTCCTGAGATGTTCCCTTTTCTTCCACACTCAGCAAAGGGTCATTTCCTTGACAAAACTTTCCTTTGCTAACTGACCCTCACCACAGGCAGGCTGGGAAGTTCCCTCCTCTCTCTTCCCTCCGTATCTCGTATATACCTATATTAAGGTATTAATTCCAGGGAATTGTCATCTCTCTCTCTCTTCTAGTCTAGTTTTCATCCCTGACTCTAACAGTATCTGGAATAGGGCAATGATTCAAGTTGTATTTATTGAGTGAATGAATGAATGCATTGGGAAACTGAGGCAGTGAATAGATTTTGCCCATCTCCTGGAATTGGTCATCTCCTTATCCTTCCTGTTAAATTTCACCATCTGCACTTCTCTTTTTAAAAATGATATTTATCATTTTCTATCATTGGTGTTACTTATCTATGTACAAGTCTTATCATTCCTACCACACTGCAGCTTCCTTGAGAGAGTTATCTAGATCGAAATCAACTATGTGTCTCCCAAAACGCAGTAAGTCACATGTGTTGTTTTTTCAATATTTGTTGGATGAATAATTCTTAAGTTATGCTTGTATTACTTAGAATAAGGGTCCAGTGCAGTCTTGTTGAATTAAACTGAATTTAATCCTTTGTCATAGATATGCTGATGTCGTTTGTTGTGACCCTACCCAAATCTCTTCCGGAATTGTAGTTCCCATAATACCCACATGGAGGTTGTGGGAGGGACCCAGTGAGAGGTAATTGAATCTTGGAAATAGTTACCCACATGCTGCTGTTCTTGTGATAGTGAGTTCTCACAAGATCTGGTGGTTTTATAAAGGGCTTTTCCCCATTTTGCTAGACCCTTCCCCTTCCTGCCATCATATGAAGAAGGACGTGTTTGCTTCCCCTTCCACCATGATTGTAAGTTTCTTGAGGCCTCCTCAGCCATGCAGAACTGTGAGTCAATTAAACCTCTTTCTTTTATAAATTACCCAGTCTCAGGCAGTCCTTTTTAGCAGCACGAGAATGGACTAATACAGTAAATTGATACCAGGTAGTGGGGTGCTGCTATAAACATACTTGAAAATGTGGAGGTGACTTTAGAGCTGGGTAACAGGCAGAGGGTGGAAGAGTTTGGAGGACTCAGAAGAAGATAAGAAGATGTGGGAAAGTTTGGAAATTCCCAGAGACTTGTTGAATGGCTTTGACCAAAATGCTGATAGTGATATGGACAATGAAGTCCAGATTGAGGTGGTCTCAGATGGAGATGAGAAATTTATTGGGAACTTGAACAAAAGTAATTCTTGCTATCCTTTAATGAAGAGACTGGTAGCATTTTGTCTCTGCCCTAGAGATCTGCAGAACTTTGAACCTGAGAGAGACAATTTAAGGTATCTGGTGAAATAAATTTTTTAAGCAACAAGGTGTTCAAGAGGTGACTTGGGTCTGGGCGCGGTGGCTCATGCCTGTAATCCCAGTACTTTGGGAGGCTGAGGTGGGCAGATTACTTGAGGTCAGGAGTTCTGAGACCAGCCTGGCCAACATGGTGAAACCCTGTCTCTACAAAAAATATAAAAATTAGCTGGGTGTGGGCCAGGTGTGGTGGCTCATGCCTGTAATCCCAGCACTTTGGGAGGCTGAGGTGGGCATATCATGAGGTCAAGAGATTGAGACCATCCTGGCCAACATAGTGAAACCCTGTCTCTATTAAAAATACAAAAATTAGCTGGGCTTGGTGGCGCACACCTATAGTCCCAGCTACTGGGGAGGCTGAGGTAGGAGAATTACTTGAACCTGGGAGGCAGAGGTTGCAGTGAGCTGAGATTGTGCCACTGCACTCCAGCCTGGTGACACAGCAAGACTCTATCTTAAAAAAAAAAAAAAAAATTAGCTGGGTGTTGTGGTACACACCTGTAATCCCAGCTGCTTGGGAGGCTGAGGCAGGAGAATTGCTTGAGCCTGGGAAGCAGAGGTTGCAGTGAACTGAGATTGTGCCACTGCACTCCAACCTGGGTGACAGAGTGAGACTCCTTCTTGAAAAAATAAAATAAAATAAATAAATAAAAGAGGTGACTTGGGTGCTGTTAAAAGCATTCAGTTTTATGTATTCACAAATATATTGTTTGGAAATGGAACTTATGTTTAAGAGGGAAGCAGAACATAAAAGTTTGGAAAATTTGCGGGCTGACAATGTGATAGAAAGAAAAATCCATTTTCTGAGGAGAAATTCAAGCTGGCTGCAGAAATTTGCATAAGTAATGAGGAGCCACATGTTAATTGCCAAGACAATGGGAAACATTCTCCAGGACATGTCAGAGACCTTCACAGCTGTCCCTCCCATCACAGGCCAGGGAGCCTAGGAGGAACAAATGGTTTTGTGGGCTGAGCCCAAGGCCTTGCTGCTTTGTGTAATCTCAGGACTTGATGCCCTGCATCCCAGGCATGGCTAAAAGGGGCAAAGATACAGATGGGGTGTGGCTTCAGACGGTGCAAGCTTCTAACCTTAGCAGTTTCCATGTGGTATTGAGCCTGTAGGTGCACAGAAGTCAAGCACTGAGGCTTGGGAACCACTCCCTAGAATTCAGAGGATGTATGGAAATGCCTGGATGTCCAGGCAGAAGTTTTGTGTCAGGGACGGAGCCCTCATGGAGAACCTCTGCTAGGGCAGTGTGGAAGGGAAATGTGGGGTTGGAGCCCCTACACAGAGTCCCTACTGGAGCACTGCCTAGTGGAGCTATGAGAAGAGGGCTACTGTCCTACAGATCCCCAGAATGGTAGATCTGCTGACAGCTTGCACCATGCACCTGGAAAAGCTTCAGACACTCACTGCCAGCCCATGAAGGAAGCTGGGAGGGGGGCTGTACCCTGAAAAGCCACAGGGGGAGAGCTCCCCAAGGCTGTGTGAGCCCACCTCTTGCATCAGTGTGACCTGGATGTGAGACATGGAGTCAAATGGACCATTTTGGAGCTTTAAGATTTGACTGCCCTGCTGCATTTTGGACTTGCATGGAGACTGTAGCCCCTTCATTTTTGCCAATTTCTTCCATTTGGAACAAGTGTATCTACCCAATGCCTGTATCCCCATTGTATCTTGGAAGTAACATGTTTTTGATTTTATAGGCTTATAGGTGGAAGGCACTTGCCTTGTCTTAGATGAAACTTTTGACTTGGACTTTTAGGTTAATGCTGGAATGAGTTAAAACTTTGGGGGACTGTTGGGAAGGGATAATTATGTTTTGAAATGATGTGAGGACTTGAGATTTGGGAGGGACTGGAGAGAAATGATATGGTTTGTCTGTGTCCCCACCCAAATCTCCAAATCTCACCTTGTGTTGTAGTTCCCATAATCCCCATGTGTTGTGGGAGGGACCCAGTGGGAGGTAATTGAATTATGGGGGAGGTTACCCCATGCTGCTGTTATTGTGATAGTGAGTGAGTTCTCAAGAGTTATGTTGGTTTTATAAGGGGCTTTTCCCACTTTTGCTTGGCACTTCTCTTTCCTGCCATCATGTGAAGAGGGTTGTGCTTCCTTCCCCTTCTGCCATGATTGTAAGTTTCCTGAGGCCTCCCCAGCCATGCAGAGCTGTGAGTCAATTAAACCTTTTTCTTTATAAATTACCCAGTATTGGGCAGTCCTTTATAGCAATATGAGAACAGACTAATACATATGCCTAAATATCTGAAAAGGCCTGAAAGCTGACTGAATTGTTAAGTTCATGAGGGCAGGGCTGGTGTGCCTATCTTGTTTAATATTGTTCCTAGCAGAATGATGAATACTAAATAAATATTTGTTGATGAAATAATGGACAACTTTTACCCTACCCTTAGGAATTAGCAAACTCAAGTAGCTGAGAATAATTCTAGAACCACTTTTTATGAAGTTCTCTAGAGTGGACAACATTTTTTCCCTGAGTACAACTAACAAACCAAATGTCAGGAGGGGAGGTTGTCATAAGCCATTCACTCTGTTCCTTTGTTCATTTGATGAATAAAATTCCTTTTTATTTAGAATAGAGGTAGAATTTTTTTAATCCTGGACTCTGGCATGGTGTTTGAGTCCCCAGAATCACTAGCTCAGACTGACAGACATGTTATCCTTCCTGCTTAAACACTTTCCTTAATAGATGGCGTCTGGTGCCCTTAAACGCAAGTGCATTCCCACATGGGAGAGTGGCCATATTTCAGCTGTAGTGATGGGGTGGGCAGTGCTCTGTCAGATCAATTATGTACAAAGGTCATCTTCTCTAAGGTTCTCTCAATTTTTTTTTCTCCTGACAGTTCACCTTGTGCCCAACCTTCTGTCTCCCTGAGTCAGACCTGCAGACGATTGCATGCCACCAGCTGTCTTCACTCCTGAGAACATGACACAAAGGAATGCTCCCTGTCAAGTTCTTCATTATCCTTCTGATGAATTTCCCCTGGTTTAAACAAGTTGGTGGTAGACAGACCTTTCTCGCATTTTCACAGACGTGCCAGGAGGAAACCCAGCGTCTCTCAGTTTCCTTTAAATATATGAGGTGGTATCTTATTGTGACCTCAACTTTCTTCTGTTTTCTATTCACCTCATTTTCTATTTCTTCTGAAGTAGTAATGCCACTTTGACCACAGTGAACAGGGCAAACCACCCCTGGGGCTGTTTAGAAGAGCAGGGAGTTCTCTGCCAGTGTCTTCTCTCTTCTGTCTGGGTCAGCCTGGGCAGTGGTCAGGGGAGCTGTCTGGCTTCCTAGCAGGTGTTGTTGTTTGTGAAACTTTATAAAACCCTCTCCTGGGGTGTGCAGAGGAGATGACGGCATCACATTCTGTTATTTCAGTGAAGTTTTTGTAGTCTGACTTGGCAGAAGCCGGTCAAAACATAATGAAAGCAGCTGGCAGGGGGGCACCATGTGGGAGTATCAGAAAGGCAGCAGCTCCTGTCCACTTCCAAAAGTGTAAAGTGGCAAGTCAGGTCAGCAATTTCCCCAGTTACATTCAGGATGTGGCCACTTCTTCATGTTGCTAACTTATACTTGATCTGAGCTAACATTATCGCTCCATCTGAAGTCCTGCAGTGGCCTCCCCTCTTGTCTCCCTGCAACTTCTTGTCCCCTCCAAACAGTAGTCAAAATTATGTTTTTATAATGCAAATCATTGAAAATAGTTCAAATGCTTCCATGGCTTCCTCTCTTAATTAGAATGAAACCTAATTTCTTGTGATGACCTGCCAGGCCCCCGAGACTTCACTGCCCCTCCTTTCAGACCTCCTCTTCTACCATTCCCTCACTCATCACTGCAGCCTCCTCCTCTTCTGTGGAGGCATCAAGTCCATTCCTGCCTTATGGCCTTGGCACTCGCTATTTCTCCTGCCTAGAAGGTGTTTTAACCAAACCTTTGCAAGGTTAGTACCTTCTTGTCCTTGAAGCCTCAGCTTATAGGCAACTTTCTTGGGTGAAACCTACCTGACCACCCAATATAAAGCAGACCCTCCCATTTTGCCCTGGTTTATTTTCTTCACTGTACTTCTCTCTTGCAGGATTCTTCTTATTTATCTTATATGTTCCTCTATTATCATCTGCTGTCTCCGAAAGAAATTATTCCCATGACAGCCTTTTTTGATCATCACTATATCCTCAGGGTTAAAAAAAATGCTTGTGGTACCGTCGGAGCTTAATAGGTATTTGTTGAACATTTGAATGAATGGATGTAGTCTTTGCATTCTTCTGTGTCTTCTTAGACTGCCACCTGTATTTTTCATTTATACTTTCTTTAAGACGTAGTTGATTAGAGTTTAGGACCTGGATTCTGACAACATTGTGTTCAGGGTCCCATTTTGCTGCATGCTAACTGAAGAACCCTTGGGCAAGTTAACTCTCCAAGCCTCAGTTAACTGATCTCTACAATGGGGATACTAATCATAGGGCCAACTTCTAAACTGGTTGTGAAGATCAACTGGTGTAATACTTGGTTGGCCCCTGACACACAGCAATTGCTGATTAAAAATAAAAATTTGGCCAATTTATGCAGGGTAGAGTGTATTCAACTCAAAGCCTTGAGAGGAAAAATAGAGGTCCACAGAAAATTTTAAATTATAGGCCTTGGTGCTAGAGTTATCTGGATTGTTTTTTTAAAATTTATTTTATTACAGGGTCTCACTGTGTCACCCAGGCTGGAGCACAGTGGTGCAACCATGGATCCCTGCAGCCTTGAGCTCTTGGGCTCAAGCAGTCCTCCCACTTCAGCCTCCTGAGCAGCTAGGACTACAGGTGCATGCCATCATGCCCAGCTAATTTTTTTTTTTTTTGCATTTTTTGTACAGACAGGATTTTACCATGTTGCCCAGGTTGGTCTTGGCCTTCTGGGCCCAAGTGGTCCTCCTGCCTCAGCCTCCCAAAATGCTGAGATGACAGGCATGAGCCACCAGGCCCAGCCGAGATCTGGGTTCTAATCCTAGTGCCACCATTTGAGTGTCTTCTTTAGTTTTTGATTCCTTCTTTGTAATGTGGAGAAACTTATGCACTCCTTGTAGGGTTGAGGTGAAGATTAGAGGTCATCTTTACCAAAAGGCCAAGCTGGTGCCTGGATTTGGGCTCAGTAAGCAGCAGCCACTCTGACTGTGTCCTTGCTTCCTGGGTGGTGAGGTTTGCAGTGTGGAGAGGCAGAAGGGAAGCAGACAATCTAGCAATCTGTGGAAATTTTTTTCGAATGCTTTGATAAGCTCAGGCCCAGGGGCTGTCTCATTTGACTTCCTCTTACTCACCTTCCTGTCTGGTTGGCAGTCACCAGGCTGGAAGCCATGCCATGGCCCCTCACTGGTGGGTCAGTATGTTTTATTTCCCCTCAGTCCTCTCTAATGAAAAGCACTCACATCCAGTAAATCTTTCTTTGCCCTTATTAAAGCACTTGATGTTGGTTATTGAGGTCTGTTCCAAGCTAGGTGAGAATCAATAAGGCGATCCACTTAATCACTTCAGCAATCAACAAGCTATTTTCTTAGCTTGCACTCTGGCCAGTGCCTACAGAAATCCAGGGGCTTATCAGGCCCTTTAACCCAGGGAGCTGCCTGGAGACTTTCCCTTTCTTTTCCCTCCTCCCTGTCAACCTCATGAAGTCCCAAGTGTTCTGAAACAGCCCTGCCCTCTGCTTGGTCTCAGGGCTGTGTTGGGTAAGATAATGACAAGCCTGTGCTTCTACTTGTACTCTTGCCATTAAGGGCTCCAACTGTCTCTGGGCTGTGGGCAGTCAATACCTGATTACAGATGGTCTCGTTTTGGCCATTGTGGCTTTGCACACTTGGGCAGGGCAACTGCTTAGAATGAGGGCGACCCTATTCCTACTGGGCCAAGCCTTTCTCCCACTTCAGTATTCAAATTTCGCTATAGCTGGGAAATCTTTTTGGAACTCCCAGGAAAAGGATCAGTCGTTTCCTCCTTGTAATGTTTTGAACATAGGTTTACTCTAAGGTATGCTGTACCATATTTGGGCTCTGTCCTGTTTTCCAGACAGCCTGTGATCTCCTTAAAGACTGGAGCTGTGTCTTAGTCATGTCTGCATTATCGAGACCACCCCAATGCCTGACCTGCAGGAGCTCAGTTGCACTTATTGAAAAGAAAGAAGGAAGGAAGGACAATAAGAAAGAAAGAATGAATTTTTTTTATAGTCCTGGAAAACAGCATGGTTTCAAGTCCTGGCATTGCCAATAATTGCAGGGTGACCTTAGGCAAGATATAGAATTTGTTTCAGCCTCAATTTCCTTATCTGTCAGTGAATTAGATAATCCCCCAAATTCTTTCCAGCTCAAACATTTTGTAATCTTATGCCTATAAACCTATGGTTCTCAACTCTTTCATACCCAAAGCCACTTTATATAACAAGTATTTTGAAATCTCCTTTTGCCAACATGAAATGAAATGACTGAATATTACAACCTACCTTCATCCAATTAGGAAAAAAAATGCTCTAACTATAATTTAAAGGGGAAATAAAAGGAAAACAATTTATGATAAAATAATACATATTCCTTTATGTAAAAGTATGGCTAATACCAGAAGATATGATGAAGGAGTCAGAGCCTTGTACTACTATGTTGAATCACTTTGAATGATGTGACAGCTACAAATGCAGAGTGATGCAGGTAGGTTACTTTGGTGCCTCATATGCCACGAGAAGTACTGATGTCATTAAAGTTCTAAACTAGCAGCACACAACATTTCCAGAATTGACATGGTAGTCACATTCCTGGAAAATTCAAGATATGTAAAGCAAAGGTAGATTTTAAGCTCAGATAATTAAAAACAGGCTTTTCAGCCATGTGAATATCTGTGGAACATTCAAAAGCTCTCTGGGAAGCAGGAAGATTCTTCATAGTTCAGAACTGTCCCTGCCATTGAAGATCTCTAGAATCCTTGGCTCCTGCCTACTATGAATCAGCAGGGCCTCCTTGTACCAACCAAGAACCTGCCCACCTACCAAATATTAAAAATGCTATCCACAAGGTGGTATCATTTCTTCCAGGAGCTAGTGCTCTAAGCTTTAAAATGTGCTGTGCAGAGCAGGCTTCAAGGATGAACAATCTGTGTAGTCATCAGGGTTCCCTGCTCTTTGAAGGACCCTGTGCCTGAATACTCTGTTGTTACTCTCCTGAATTTCTTAATGATTTTTGAATAAGGGACCTTATGTATTTGTTTTACGCCAGGCCCTGCGAATTATGTAGCCAGTCCTGGCTATGTATTATGATAGGATTGCTGTATTCCTAAGCATCTGAGAGTTGTTTAGTGTTGAAATGACTATTTTCCTTTGTCTAGTAGCTCTTTCTTTAAATTAGCTAGGATATCCTTAATTACTTTAATTAATTAATTTGTTCATTTATTAAACTAATACACATTGAACTTCTATTATACACCACGTAGACTCTGGAGTCAGAAGACCTGAACCACGATCCTGAAAGAGCTTATAGACTCTTGGATTCTCTGACTTTAACATGGAATTATTAATAATAACTCTCTTTACTTATTGTACAGAATAAGTGTGAATTTAAAAAGATATAGCATTTGGAAGTAAATTGTACACTGTGACATAAATGTCAGTTGCTAATTTTATTATTGTGCTACTCTTTATCTCTGGAGTAAAGTTTTCTCCTTTTTTTCAGTTAGATAGATCATGGAACATGATGCTCTTGGCAGAACACCAAATATGAACTTTCCTATAAAAATCAGAAAACAGAGTAATTGGGTTAAGCAAAATCTTTCAATTTGGGTGTTACTAGTTTAGACTTCATGATAACTCAAAATAATTTTATCAAATTTAAAAAAAGATACGTTAAATTGGGTTTGTCACATAATCATGGAAGCTTTTGGCTGATATAGATTTCAAAAAATTATCCAGTGCTTAAATCTTTTATAATATCCCTATTGAGTATTTACAGAGCCAGCTTTGCTTAATTCCTGTGATGTGTCCTTTGGAAGCATGTGTGCCCTATGCTAGGAACATTTAAAAAAGCAATTCAGCAACCTTTGTATGTGAATTACAAATTATTCTCATTCACTCATTAAAGCAGGGCAGGGCAGCATGCTTTCCACTAGGCAAGACTTACTTAATTTTGTTGTATTTTATAGTAACAAAATTTCTCTGAAAAGATATACTTTATAATTCACACTTTTCACAAATTCATTCAGTTCACCCCTAAGCACCTAATTTTTTAATAGTGAGGTATTACCATGTTATGAAGAAATTAAAAATGTAAGGAGTGACTTTCACAAGTATTAGAATCTACTGGGATATAGTTAGTTGGTTCAGAGATTATTAAGCAGCAACAATTTGTGCTTGGGAGTGAGATGAAAACTGGTCTTGCCTTAATTTGTTGGAGTCATGGGCTGAGTCACAGTAAGGTCCAGGCACGGGGTCATGTCAAGGCATGGTCCTAACTCTGTTATCTACAGGAAGAGAAAGGGCCGTTATACTTTGAGACTGGGGTTCTTTCCTTTGTGGTAGATTTATGAAAATAGAATTGAGAAGAGTCACATTTTCATATGGACTGCTGGCAGTATATGGTTTGTTCGTGACAATTTGAAAATGGATATCTTTTGATAACATTAATAAAATGACAGATTTTATTTAGATAGTTTTATATGCAAACCTACTTATATGCATATGGATGTGTGAGCGAACACGTGTGTTTGTAACAGGAGGCATGAAGAGGTGAAAGTTATGCCCTTTGATAACCCAGGTGG
This sequence comes from Homo sapiens, assembly GCF_000001405.40. Lineage (NCBI taxonomy): Eukaryota > Metazoa > Chordata > Mammalia > Primates > Hominidae > Homo > Homo sapiens. The sequence goes on along the minus strand of NC_000001.11, from coordinate 60,957,880 downwards.
GATGGACTGTTGAATGGTTTCCTGTTGGAAGGACTTAAGCACCTTGCAAGCAGAAAGTGACTCTCCCTGTCCAAAGGGGTGCGAAAATTCTCCCATTGCTGAATCTCACAGGATAGAGAAACGATACAGCTCTCTGAAAAAGTGGAGTGGCAGGGGGTTCAGGTTAGGGAACAGGAAGCTGCAGGAAAATGCTGAAGGTGTTTTCAGAGTATGTTGGTGGGAATCAGAGTTTTCCCTAGAAATAAATTATTTAATGCTTGGGACCTAGTGTTTAAAGACTGAGTTCTAAGAAAGTGTGCAGGCAAAGACTAAGGGCTGCAAAGCAAGAAATGAGCATTCCTGTGTGGAAAGCTTGGGACAGGAGACTCGGGAGCCACAGGAAACGCAGAAAGACTGTTCTGTAGCCTCATTAGTTACACGATTCTTCAACCAACCTGCACCAGACTCACCGTGGAACTCATTAAAAATGCTAATTCCTCAGCCCCACTTCAGGTCTGGTGATTTTGGAATATGTAGTTTTAAGCAAGCTTCCTGGATGACTTTTAGTCACACTGAAGGCTGAGAATGAGGAGGAATGGAGTAATTATTGGTGTAATGCCTGTCTGCTCTCTATGTCTTCTATGCGAACAAGGACCAGGTCTTGTTCTGCAATGTTTCTCCGGCACCTCGCTCAGCCCATCGACCATCAAAATCATTCAATAAATAGTTTCTGAATAATTAGACGAATGAATGAATAAAAGGAACTATAAACTGATATGATAGCCCACTCTATACCTTTTATAATTCTTTGTATTTTGATAGTAAAGGCCACAGGTTCCAGTTCGTATTTAAGGACGGGGTTAGACATTTTCAATGAAATCCATTCAATGTTTTAAAAAATCCTGCCTCTAAGAGCTTTAAAGTATTGTTATATATAGGTATCTTGATTAGGTGGATTCTTGCTGATTATTACAGTACAGATGCTGACGCTCAAAGCGGGGAACTCTGGGTGTGTGCAATGTTAAGAATTCTTTGTTAATTAAATTTGTTTCTGTCTCTGCTGTCTATTGCACACCTACCTAGAGGGATTGCAGGGAAACATGGATGAACTTACAGTTAAAATCTGGAAGAAAGAGTTCAAAGACAAAGCACATCATATTGTGGTGTTCTGAACATCTTTCAACTCCCTCCCTGTTACGCAACTGAAGGATACAGTGGAGCTGCAACCTAACCCCAAGCCTTCTTCCCCAGACAGAGGTTTTTTTCATAAAATCCACTCAGGCCCTTCTTCTCAAGTTCTCCATACACTTCTCACCAGAAAAAAGAAATCATTCATATCTAACAAAGGGTCTTGGATTCTTTAGATAGTTTCCATTATAAGTTTTTGGCACCATTATTACCCTCAGCTCAAGTTACCTTTCTGATCCCTCTTCTTTCATCTGCTGAAAATGGATTATTTCCTTATTAGCTCAAGACCGTTACTGTTCACTGGAAGCAGGCCTGTGTATGAACAGTGCTACCCCTGGCGTATTCCTGAAGATCCCCGTTTGTTCAGAAACCTGCCCTTAAAGCAAGCTTTCCTGAGAGTGGAATGGCAGTGTCTTTTCAGGAAAGGCTTGTTATCGCCAGAAAACTTTCCAGACCCTTGCCTTGAGAAAGCTGAGCACAGCCAACAAGTGCTGGGAAACCATAACAAAGTATTTTCTGTGAAGGAGATGTCTCATGGGTTGGCTCTACTGGGGGTTCGTGGGTCTAAGAGGCACAATGAGGAGACTTGGGAGTCCTTCCTACACAGCTTCAGCCAGAGTTTTTCTGCTTTGAACTATTTCATCATGGAAATTCTACTTCTTGGTTCATTTGGGAAAAAAAAAGATCTAATTTCTAAATATTTTAGAAATCACCTTATAGACTATCTCAAATTTGAAATATTTCCTGAGGTTCTTAGCCAGGGTTCATGGATATTATTCAGGGATATTTGAATTTGGATGAGAAAATAAATTACACCTTTATGTTCACTAATCTCTAAAAGAAATTTATCATGTCTACTAATTAGGATGGTGAGCAAGTCGCAGTAATATTAGCAAAAGCCAGGACTTTGTCCTCTCTAGAAATCACAGATATCTTCATATCACATTGCAATTGTTGAAGATGTCTTGAAACATTACTTACATTTACCACTATCTTGAAATTCTGGTAGATATTAATCCCTCTAATAGAGCTTGCTTTGTGATGCATGAATACAGAAGCACTATTCTTGCCATAGCACAATATTTGAAATATTTTGATACATGGATTTGATAGTTATATATTTGATAATGTGTGTATGTTTGATCACAACATACTTAGTAACTTTAGTTGCTCAATGCACTTTCTTTTATGTGTTTAAAAAGCTACTCTGAGAAGAGGTCCACGATTCACCAGATGTTAAATGGGTCCATAGCATAAAGAAGTTCAGAACCCCTGAAAGCAACTCAGGGTCTGCATTTTGTGATTGTAGTAGCTAATGAGTTGTGAGAAGTAAAAAGAGCCCTTGACTTGAAATCAAGAGGTCTGTGTTTGAGTCTCAGCGCTGCCACTTAACAGCTAAAGATCAAGTCATGGGCTGCTTTGAGCTCCAGTTTCCTTACTGTTAAAGGGAAATAGAAACAATAGCCACCTCGTGGGGGTAATTGGCAGGGTGAGATCAAGAGCATAGGATCTCTCTGTCTCTGGTCTCCCTAACTCAATTTTTAAACATCATACACATGCATGCATTCTTCTTCTAAAATAGAGTTCTGATGATATTATTCCACCTCTGCCTACAGGATAGGGTCCAGCATCTCAGCCCAGCACAAAGTTCTGGAACCTTCTCCAACAGTGCTCCCCACTCAACCACTTCAGCCATGAGGAGCTTTTTGTCATTTCCTTGTCACATCATCCTTTTCCTTCCCTTAAGAACTTTGTCCATTCAGTTGCCTGTCCTTGGAGTAACTGTTCCAGCTTTTCGATTCAGAAAATGTATACTCAAATCGTGCCCTTCTCTCTGCAGCTCTTCCCCTGCTTCTCTCAGCAGACTCCCTCTTCCTCAATGCTCCCAGGGACGTGCTCTGCTCCTCTATTATAACGTTTGACACCCGCTTACATTAATTCATTTTTACCATGTTTGATTTTCTCATTCTCATTTATATTATGATTTTTTTCAAGCTTGGGATACGAAGCTGTATTAGGGAGAAAGGTTGCACAGTTTAAAAAACACGTTGATATTATCATCACATTGACTGGATGTTGGGCATTGTATTTCTTTTATTTTGGAATTCCAGATACCATGAAAGGATTTGAGCGTTTTTTTATGTGAATCCAAAGATGACATTTACAAAAGGTGGAGAAGCAGTTCCCTACTGAGGGACGTGGATACAAAAAGCAGATGACACAACACATGTGAGCATTCCCCACGTGCGTTCTGGGGAGGCACAAGCAGTGGGGCCTTGACCGGGGGTGGGCATCTTCCTTTGGAAGTTTCAAAAAGCCTTTCTCTCTCTCCTTCTTTTTCAGCCCATAGAGTTCCCAGGGAAGAATGAACCCAGATTCTTGACCTGCAGAGGTGGCGTACTGGCTGGAGAAATCTCTGGCTGGCGACCGTGCTATTCTGTCTGTCCACCTAACTGTGGGCTCCCAGATCACCACTGCCATGGGCAGGGGGCCGTGGGGTGGGCCTGCTTGGGGTGACAGGCTAGCTGTGCTCCCATAGCAGAGGTGGGAGAAGGGAATCACATCTGGTGAGCAGCTATGTCGTGCCAGGCACTGTGCTGTGTATTGCACACATCTCAAACCTTGTGACAAATGTGTAAGATATTTTTTATGTATTACAAATGAAGGAACTGGGCTCAGAAAAGCTCCATTATTTGCCCAAATTGCAGCAGTAATGCAGGAATTTGAATCCACATTAATCTGACTCCACAACCCATGTTCTTTCACTGAATTCCCATATCCTTGTTCCCCCTACTGTCCTCACTGGTCAAGGTGAGCTTGGTCTTCCACAAACAGGCTAGAAAAGTATGCTTACTTATCTTTAGCTTTATGCTTTTAAACTAATTCTTAAAAATCTTCTCTGGATAAGTCAAAGACAATGGGAATGTGTATTTCTAATACATTAATTATAATACATTACCGGTTTACACAATGCCATCACCTTGTCATTTTCTTTGACACAACGTCCCCCTCCCCTCTAGTTTATAAATGAGGACATTGAGGCACAAAGTGGGTAAGTGACTTGCCCAAGGGGGAGATTTGTCCAATCATAAAGATGGGCCTGAACTTTTTCTACTTTGCATTCTTACTTGAAAGGCAGGAAACATATGCTCAAGAGGGAGATCTCACGAAATTTCATGTCATATAGTGCTCTCGCTAATTTAATCCTGTCATTCCTGGTTATATCCCTTTGGAAAAACCACCACCAGTGCCTTCTCTTTTGATATATTTACAGTAAAAATATTCCCTGTACAAACCATCTCACTCTTTCACAGGGAACTGGCTTGGCCCTCTCCCCTGAAGTGGGTTGCACATCCACCCAGCCCACCCCCAGCTCACTCTAGCTCCCTTCCTGTTAGAATTTATTCAGAACCTCCATTTCTAGGAGGAAGCAAGGAGGGGGCAGTTATCTTCGTGGACTTGGGTCCTCCTGGACCCTTTGTCCTCATGGTTATGTTTCAAACAGAGTTGAGGGCTCCCTAAAGGGGAAAGATTATTTAAGTTTTGTAAATGCTGCCCTCCAAAAACCACTCCACATAAATGTTTCATGGCTTAGCCTCTGTGAGGCCAGAGCTGGAACATTCAGCTGTGAGGGTGTTTATATTTGTGGAACTCTCTTGAACATTTGCTGTGGGTTTTAAACAGCTGCTATGCTGAAGCTCTGGGGATAGGAAGATCATGAATATTCAGGTGAAGCCACCAGAATGAACAGCCGTTAATAGAATAAATGCCTAAACAGTTGTGTAAGGCTTATTAAGACCTATTGGGGCTGAGATAATAAATTCCCACTCTGACATGTTGCAACTACTGTCGCTTAAACACTTTGGACCACCTCTTCTGAACTGAAGGAAAAAATGATGTTAGTTCTCTGCGCGAATACAAAGAAACACCTGGAAGCCTTGGCAAGGGGATGAGATTTGGCAGAGATCTTTCCGTGTACCGATGCATCCTCAGGAAAATGATGTGCCGCTCATTGTTCCTGTTGTCAAGGTTATCGCAGTCGACTTCAGGCTGGAACGGGCATTGCTCTTGCACTGAAGAAAGTCTGTCCTGACTCCCTCAGAGTGCCTCAACATCAACCAAGAGCCACCGTGAACCTCTGGGGCACTGAGCCTGGCCACCAGCACCCCCACCCCAGCCCATATGGCCTGGGCCTCTCCCTTGGTAAGCCTCTTCCAACAGGGTATCAGAGGAACCAAATACACACTTACACTGGACGCTTGCTTTTCATTCGCTTGCTCCATAATCCATAGCAGGGAACACAATGCAAAGATTGCAAATGTAAAAATGACCTTTCCAAGTGGTAACACCTGGTGTGTTAAAAAGTCCATTGCAGACTGGGTTTGCAGTGTGCACACTGTAAATATGGGGAATGTGGGAAACAGTAGAGAGGGACTGTTTTCTCCTTTGGGTGTTAGCTGTCACCTTGTGTTAGACTGAGCCAGACTCCTCGGTTCTGGCTCCCACAGTCACAAGGCATTAACCAAGGGTATACAGAGGAACTCACCCAGGTTCACACCTAGAGAAGACTCAGTAATATTTGATCAGCAACCTGCTGTCAATTTAGATAAATGGCATTTGACTTCAAATAAAGGTGACTAACTCAATGAAGGAAGCCTGTGCATAGAAGGCAATGTTTGCTTCTCCCAAGCTGTCAGGGAGAGCTTGCCCACCCTAGCAGTGGTCACTGATTTTCTCCACCTCTGAAGACATGGTGGGGTCCTGCCAAAGACTCTGAGCTGTCAGAATTCTGGAAGAGACAAACTCACAACAAAGAAATGCACATGTCTCAATGTGGCTTGGGAGGAGTAGCAGATTTTAGAGTGATGCTGACCTGAATTTGAATTGTGCTCTGCCACTCAAGGTCTGAGTGTCTGAAAGCAAGTTATTCCACTTCTGTGAGGTATAGCTGTCTTGCCTGTAACACAGGCATTATTCTACCTACTCACAAACTTGTTCTGAGAGTTAAAAAACAAATAAACCACCTGGTCGAGGAGTTGGCTTATGGTCGGCAAATCCATTAGTGTGTTTATTCATTTATTAACATAAATCATGAACAGTTATTCATTAGTTTGTTTACTTCTCTTCCTCCTCGTTATTTCTACCAGTAACTTGAATAGGGTAAGGTTTCAAAAATTCCCTTGCAATGCAGAGATTAGCTTTTTTCGTATGCAGTTTCAGATGTCTCCATGCCTTTAATGGACTGGATAAATCAGAGATTTGCCTAAAAGCCAGGCACATGTAAGGGGACAAAACTTATATGCCCCTTTCCTTCAGCCTTCCATACTCTACTCTCCATCCATTATCGGTGACCTGGTTATCAATATAAGAACCAAATCTGTTTCAGAACCTTTTGTGTCATGGTCAAAGTTCCAGAGGAAAGAACAGATGGAATAAATTAATTAGTCAAAGCATGCTTAACTGGAAGGGCACTTATTTCCAGGAGTGGCCAAAGGATAGTGGAACATGCAAGGGAAAAGGAAGCAGAAGTCCCTCAAAGAGTCCAAGGGCTAGTGCTGGGCATCATTCTTTATTTTGAATAAAGATGTATGGTTTTTGTTCCCATTAGCAAATAAGTCAGGAGGGGTCTGACAGTCTTTGTTTTTCCAGAGATGGGTCAGAAAGTGACCCTGAAAATCTGTCCAAACGGTAACACTCTTTCAGAAGGGGGGTGGGTAGGAGAGCCTTTAATGTGATCTCGATGGAGCTGATCAGACACTCATCTGTAATGATGCCTCCTGGCAGGAGCTTGCATGGGGTTGGCTGGACAGCTGCCTTCGGGAAGCTCCCGGCAAAGCCTGCTTGCTTGGCCAACAGCAGGGGCCCAGCTGATCAGAGCCCGGATCGTACTGCTTCTCTTTCTCTCCTTTTTTCCTCCTCTCTATCATGGGCTAATACTTATTTCATCACATCCCTGCTCCCCATCCTTGGCACCCTTCAATGTTGACTGTCACTCCCTGGGTTCTGATTTGAAGACTACCACTCCAGGATGGAGGACTCTAAGAATGCCATACTGTTATTTTTATCACACAACAGGTGTGTACTCTAGGCAAACCCACACAGAGTAGAAGTTCCCTCAAAGCCCCAGATTACGGATTTAATATGCTAAAAATACCTGTCCTCCCACCCCGATTCCATCCTAGGTCTCTTTGTCCCATGAAGTCACTCTCACCATTTCTCTTTCCCTCTGAACTTGAACAAACAGCAAACAACACATGCTTTTTATTGCTATTCTGGAAAAGAAGAGCTGTTTCCAATGAAAGCCCATGCCAAGCAGAGTCCCTCTTTTTCCAAGAGGTTTTGGGAATGAGTGAATTTATTTTCAGCCAACAAGCAGGAAAATAAATGCCAAATGGAGGTTGCTTCATAGAAAACCAATGCAGGAAGGGACCTGAGAGATGATCGCCTCTGACCAGCCAATGCAGGTGAGGAAATCTGGGGCCCAGAGGTTAAAAGATTGCCCCAATGTTAGGGAGGATAGGAGAGAGCCAACGCTCCCACTGGGAATAATAATGAGGATAAATTACATTTACTGAAGCCTTTGTTTTAGATGCAGGCTTTCTATCATTACTCCTTAACAACTCTCTCATATTCAGGCAAGGAAACACCACTGCAGGTGGGAAGTTAGGTAACTTACCCAGGGTTACACAGATAGTGAGTGGCAGAGCTAGGACACATGCTTGGGCCAGTTCAGTTTCAAGGCTGATTGCTTCACCGCAACTCACCCTCCACCACCTCCCATTGCTCCCCACTTGCAAGAAGTCACTGAGTCCAGAAGACAACCAAGGATTCTGCGCTTGCTCTCAACTGGAAACAATTGGATCAAACTTCCCATGTTAAGTTGCCCAGTTTTCCTGGTCAGAGCCAGAGTAGGGGAAGTAGGGACACAGATCTCCCATGCTGAACCTTAGCAAGCAAGCCTATGGCACTTGCTTAATCTCTGCGATCTTACTTTGCAGTTGTGGTTAGAGGTAATTTTAAATATGTCCCAGATGTGACTAGAGGGTATTAAGCAGGTCTCCGCATGGGAGAGCTGGGCCATGTGTGCACCAGCACCTTGGGCTGGCTCAGGAAGTGGGTCTATCAGCTGAAACGTGACAAACTTCCTTTTCCCTCTGGCCAGAGGAAACACAAGGTGGAATGGGGGAGGGGGCTGCAGCTGGCTTGAGTTGAATGGCTGGGAGGACAGGGCTCCCAAAGGAAAAACATCAAAACATGTTCTGATGTTCTGTCTCTGTGCGGTGTGCTGGGGAATGCATGGGGTTTAAAGTCAGGTAGATTTGGGCCTGCCACTTTACATCTGTAGCTGGTAAGTAGTTTTAATTCCTCTGAACCTCAGCATTCTCATCTGTAAAATGGAGATCTTTATTTGCCTTATAGGGCTGTTTTGAGCGTTAGAGAGAAAGTATGCAAAGAATCAGGAATAGAAAATGTTGGCTGTTATGTCAGTATTTTTGGGCAGGAACAATAATGAAATTAACAGTTTTTAGATTTGTATTTTTCTCCAGCTCTCTCTCTTTCTGTTCAACAGTTCCCAAACTTTAAAGAGAACAGATCCCAAGGAATAGTCTTAGGTTTCCTGAGTAGGGTTGATGGCTAGGGGTGCCAGTTGCTCTACCGAAAGAGAGATACTGGGCATGGTAGCAGTGGCTACAGGAGAGGAATGGGTGTAGAGAAGTTGCAGGAAGGAGGAGAGAGGGAGGAGCAGCTATACAGAAAGGTGCTTTGGGGAAACAGAGAGATTTCCAAGAATGAGTTAAAGGAGGTTTTGCTTTGTAATATAAAATGTGAACCTCCTCCTCTATCTCCATTAAGAAACTTTTGGTAAAACCTGCATTATGCTTCAATGCTTTCAGAGTATGCTTTGTGATACCTGTTGCTATCAGGCTCCACGATATGAGTAGCTCAAAGTAACTCAGTTATACTCAAGCTACTTTCAACAGTCTGTGCTGGGAAGGGTTACTCTGTGTTCTCTGGCTAGTGCCTGGAGTGATCAGCTGAGCTGACAACATAGGTGCCATTAGCAACTGGCACTGGGGACTGGCTTTGGCATTCAAAGAGCTTTTTTCCCCTTGGTAAACTCCATGAAAGGGATGATATTGGTGGTGGTATGTATAGGTATGTATTGATGAAATTCAATCTTGGGCACTTGAATCTGGAATCTTTGAAAAATTTCAAGGAATGGTCAGCATTTTTCTTTTTCTTTCTTTTCTTTTCTTTTTTCAGAGTCTCACTCTGTCACCCAGGCTGGAGTGCAGTGGCGTGATCTCAGCTTACTGCAACCTCTGCCTCCTGGGTTCAAGGGATTCTCCTGTGGTTTTAAAGATGTTTTCCTCAGCAGTATATATCGGGTTAGGGTGTGTGAAGAAGGAAGAACTCATGGGAGCTATTTTGGTCCTGTAGTGTGGAACAGATGAGAGTCCTGGTTGTCTGAGAGTAATGATAATCAGTGGATCCTACCCTCTGGGGTCTTAGAAGGAGGCCCACCCAGGGTGGGGAGTGGAGAGAGAGTGCCCAGGCTAGGAGTCTCAGCTCCCCCCTCTCATGTGACTATTGTCAAGTCATTCAGCTTCTCAAGTCCCTCTGCTGTAAAGAGTATCAACAGGGACTACCAAACTGGGTCCTTGGGAAAATTTAGCAGGTTATCATGAAAGTTCATTGTTAACTACAAACTGCTACACGAATATACAGTTTACAATGATAAGGCTCTGGACTCAACCTTGGCTCTGACGCTTTCTACTTAGGTGACCCTATGCACCACCTGTGACTTCTCTGAGCCTCAGTTTCTTTGAAGGAAAGGAAGGGCAGCAGCACAAACTCTGCTGAGTTGTTGTGAGGATCAGAAGAGCAATGTTGGCAAGTGTGTTTCATAAATGGTAGAGTACCATAAATGAAAAAGTCTCCTGCAACTGCTTTTACCGCTTACAAATTTTAGTATCAACCTCATGTAGACTAAAAGAAAAATGGAGCCCTTATATTAAATGCTACAGAGGGCATACAGCCTTTTAATGCCCTCTAACACTGATTTCCAGTAAGGGAATGACTGTAAGCCTTTCTGAAATGAAACACTCTTCCACAGCATTTTATTTGAACTTAATTTTACTACGCACCTAGTGTGGACAGAGTTCCTCTATGGGTAATACATGACTCACCCCTCAAGCTTTTCCAACAACAGTGAAAAGTTATAACTATTTGATTTCCCCAATAAAGAATTATTAGCAGTAATAATCAGAGAATATTAGGTTAGGCGCTGTGATCCCAATTCTCAGGGGAGGCCCAGACTTGAGTACAGTAAATATTTTATAATAATTCCCTGGCTAAACAAAACAGATGCAGAGCCCTGAGACTCAAGGTCTGGATTGTAGCTCCCTCAGTGAATCAAGCCACTCGCCTCTGGCTTGGTCATTCTGGCTTGGGTGCTACGGATCTGAACTTCTAAAGGCTGCAGGACAGAAGGCTCTGCAAACCCCCAAATTCAACATATCCCAAATCAAACAAAGGATCTATTCCGTAGATGTGACACAACCAGCTTTCTAGTTTCTAAAATTCAAGATTTCAGTGTCACAACTGACACAAGCTTCTCACTTATTAAGGCCCATCAGGACTGGACTGTGTCTAGCCAGGCAGATCACCTAGTCAGCATTTGCCATTTGTCATGTCCTTCCATTTTTGCACCCACTGTCCCATGTCAAGCCCTCATTATTCTCAGGTGAACCATGGACATTTTGCTTGCTTTTAAAAATCTCATCTGGATCTCATTGTTCTAGCTAACTTTAGTGTATCCTTTGTACAAACACTCTCCACTCATGTGCCATGCTGGGTTTCTAAAGCACAGGTATGAGCATCCCATTACCCTGCTCATAAGCTATCCATGGCTCCCTAGTGCCTATAGGGTAAGGTTTACACTCCTTGGCCTGGCATTCTAGGACCTTCATAATCTGATCCCTATCATACCTTGTTCTTTAGCTATACTCAACTCCTTGCTGTTTCCTAGACACACTTTGCTTTTCTTCCTCTCTTCCTTTGTTCATGCAGTTTTCTTCACATATGAAATCTCTGTCCATTTTCAGGGAAACTGTGAAGAAAGACACTTCCCTCAAAAAACTGTCTTTTCCATAAGAATCGCTTAGCTGGAGCTAAATGCCTTTTTAACCTATATGCCCACAGAACTTCCTGCATCTTATACCAGCCCTTATTACTCACACTATAACATGAAATATAAGGATCACAGGTAGGAGGCAGCATAAAGGATACTTTCTTGTAAATGTCACATCTGAACCCTACCTTTAAAGAACATTATCCCCTATTATTCTCTTTCATAGAATTTCGTTGTTTCTCTCATTTAACTTTGTTCATAATTTATATTTGTTCGTATACCCATTATTTAATATTTGCCTTACCTATAGCACTACAAACTCACTTTAGGAATGGACCGTGCCTGTATGTATATGTCTATCACCAGGGCTTAGCAAAAGTGCCTGGCTCATAGCATATGTTAAATAAATACTAGTTAAGTAAATAAGCAAAGAATGAAATGCCTGCAACTCTACCTAGATTGACAACTTGTGGATATCTTTGCACTTCACTGCTCCATCTATCCCGGTCCTTTTGCTAGCAGATGCCCAACCAACAGTAACTGAATTGGATTTTAACATTAAGTATTCATTTCTTTCTGTTGAGTGAGGAAACTATTGTGATCAACTTGTGGCCCTTTCGGTTTGTTCGTGAAAGAAAAGTCATCAAAAAGTAGGCAATAAGCTAGTCTTTGCTTGCATTCTGAGAGATTTATGCACCAGAGATTCCCAACATGCTTCCCAATAAAAGCCTTTTCATGGTAACGCAGATCTACAAAGTGGATGTTAGTTGCAAAAAGATAATTAACAAATCTCTGACCTAAGTCTGTTTATACTGCTACTGTTAAGGGTAAACATGTTAGTTTAAGAAAGACATTTTGCCTTAATTCTAAGTGTTCACACATGAAAATGTTGTCAGGTATGGATTCTGGCTATGAAATTAACACCTGCAGAAATTTATATTTGTGTTCATATTGTGGATGACCCATAACTTTAATGAGGGCAGAACATAATTCATGTGTGAAAAAATTGACCAGACAAATTGTTCAACCGTTCATCTATTTGTTACTATTTTGTACTTTAATCTTTCATTCATTCATCTGCTGACTTGACAAGTACCAGAGTGGTAATTGTGGGCTTAGTAGAGTGAAAGCTATAAGCTCACACAAAAGGTATCAGTACCAGCCCTCAGTGAGAGCTTAGTGTGCATAAAATGATCACAGAAGGCTTTATGGAGAAGTCAATACATTAAAAAAAAAAAAAAGCTTCTTCCCTTTAACAAACCAACAGAAAAATGGGATCTTTGTTCAGTAATTTTATTTTATTTTATTTTATTTTGGAGAAGGAGTCTCACTCTGTTGCCCAGGCTGGAGTACAGTGGTGCTATCTCAGCTCACTGCAACCTCTGCTTCCCGGGTTCAAGTGATTCTCCTGCCTCAGCCTCCTGAGTAGCTGGGATTACAGGCTCTCACCGCCATGCCTGGCTAATTTTTGTATTTTTAGTAGAGATGGGGTTTTGCCATTTTGCCCAGGCTGGTCTCGAACTCCTGACCTCAAGTAATCCACCTGCCTCGGCCTCCCAAAGTGCTAAGATTACAGGCATGTGCCACCATGCCCAGCCTTTTGTTCAGTAATTTTATATTGCTCTTTTCTGTTGGGCCCATTTGGTCATTAACCATACTGTGAGTGTGTGTTTGTATGTATACATTACGCATATGTGTTTGCATGTATATAGTAAACTAGCTATGCCTAAATTCTGGCTGTGAAGGAAAAATGGAGGAAATTAAAATTTCTAATTTTCAAAATCCATTGTTTATGAAATGTCTTTAAACTATAGAACTCATCATTAATAATAATCTACTGTGTGGTGAGCCAGTACAATATATAGTCAGGTGGAAACACTGGTGGGAAACCAGGGTAGGAGGCACAGCATGGGTCACTCAACTGTCTGTCTCTAGAGAGTGTCTAGGGCTTTGAGTTATGTGATATAAAAGTCACTGGCTTAAATTTATCTCTGTTGTCTTTCTTTCAATGTTTTCCTTTGATTTTCAAAGTTTTGTTTACTAGGTTCATGTGTTTAGTCTATCAAGAAGCAATCAGAATACAACTAGCAACAGACATTACTCTCCATGCATAAGATCCCTTCAGATATAGAAGAATCTACCAGTACCCAGGTGAAGAAGAAACAGTTGTCACTTGCTAAAGGGTCTCCTGGAACCTTTTCTCCAGATCACAGTGAGCAGAGCCCTAAAGGGATCTCAGTTATGTCTGAATCGTTTCAGGTCCATCACACAGTGTATAAAATGATGAACATTTGGCAAGGCGCAGTGGCTCACGCCTGTAATCCTAGCACTTTGGGGGCTGAGGCAGGTGGATCACCTGAGGTTGGGAGTTCGAAACCAGCCTGACCAACATGGAGAAACCCCGTCTCTACTAACAATACAAAATTAGCTGGGTGTGGTGGTGCATGCCTGTAATCCCAGCTGCTCTGGAGGCTGAGGCAGGAGAATTACTTGAACCTGGGAGGCGGAGGTTGTGATGAGCCGAGATTGTGTCATTGCACTCCAGCCTGGGCAACGAAAGCAAAACTCTGCCTCAAAAAAAAAAAAAAAAAGAAAAAAAAAAAGGTCAACGTTTACATTACACCACCAGCAAAAGAATAAAACCCCATAATTATAATGGAAGATCTCTACCTTTTCTTTAATTGTATTTCCTCTGCCCTCATTGCCCCCAGCCCCCTTGAGGTAACCACTCTTCTGGATTTGCAGGTCTGCCCTTATTTTCTGAATACCGTAGAGGGCAATTTGGTTTGTATGAACTCCAGATTCAGTTACTCAGCAAGGAGAATTTCCAATTCTTTGGGATTTTCTGCCTTAGATGATCACTAAATTCTTTTTTTTATTAGTTGATTTGACCCCCTGAAGATAATTTAAATTTGACTGGGGTATTTAAGCATGTGGATTCAACTTGAGTAAGTTGTTCCACAGAGACCATGGCCAAACTCTCCATTAATTCGGTTCACTTATGGTGAGCAGCAGTAAGACTGGGAGGAACCAGGAGGATGTAAAAATAGAAAACTAAGGGAATCCTAAGGGAAAGGCTAATGAGAAATTTTGGGAACATAATTGTCATCCAACTATTTTAGGGACTGTCATTCTTCATACTCCTGACACCTAACGAGTCATCGAGTATTCTCAGTTCCGCTTCTTAAATATCTCTCAGCTCTGTCCCTTCCTCTTCATCTGCATACACAGTGCCTTAGTGTATTCAGGCCCCTGTCACTGTGGCCCGTTCTATTGTAATAAGTCCTTCTCATTTCCTGACTCTACTCGCTGCCCTCTTAATTCATTCCTTTCACTGAACTCAGAAATATCTTTCCAAAACACACATCAGAGTAAGTTACTCCATTTTGCTTGACACCTTTCAGTGGCTCCCCATGGAGGTCAGGATACAATCCTGTCTTCATAGTCAAGCTGCCTCTGCAGCTTCCTGGATCGGTTTTCTCTGCTGCTCACCCTTGCTCCAATCATGCTGAGCTCCATGCAGTGTCTTCCTCTCATGTAGATGTGCCTGTGGCTGCTGTTACCTCCTGCTTGTCCTTCAAGGCTTAGTTAGGTATACTGTCACTTTTTCTGGGAGGCTTTCCTTGATTGGCTCTTTTCGAGTTCTCATGACACCTCCAGACTCTTCTATCTTTGCACTTGATAAACTGTCCTGTAAGGTTTTACTAGTTCATCTCTCACCCTTTACTGTAGGTTCCTTAGAAGGTAGGGACTGTGGTGTTTATTTCTGAACTATGGCACTCCCCTACAATGCCTGATCTAATCCATGCTTGTGAAACAGATGAATGTATGCATGCATGAGTGAAACTAATGGAGCACAATTGAGGGCTATTCCCCCACTTGCACGTAAGCTCCAAGAAGGATGAGGTTTTTGACTGTTTCATTCTTTGCTTAGCCTCTGTACCAAGAACAGTGTATGTCACATAACTGGTACTCAATAAGCAGTTCATGAGAGAGTGATCTATGACTTTTTCTGTGTGGCTGCAAAACTGTGACTTTTTCTTGGTAATTCCAGGGAGACTGTCTGAGGTACCCATTCCTGCCCTCTGACTCACTACCAGGAGGCTCAGCCCTGTGCATGCCTCAAGCTCACCGATCAGGTCTAACAGCATGATTGACACTTTCTCTCTCCACCGGACAAGTAGTTTTCAAAATATTGGTGTGTGAACCACCTGGGAAACAATTGCACCAGAGTCACCCAAGGTGCATGTTAATATGACAGGTTCCTGGGTCCCACAGCACACTAGCTAAATCAGAATTTCTGGAGTGGCTCCAGGAATCTGCATTTTCGCCAACTTTCTACTTGTTTCCTATGGACACTAGGAAGATTCAACAGTGGCATGGGCTGCTCTAGAAGGGTAGTGAATACCCATCACTATAGAAGGTCTAGAAGAGGTTGGGCAGCCTAGGACTGATAACACTGGGCGTGTGTTTCACTCTCCCACTGCACCTCCTAAATAGGAAAAGAGTAGCATCGTCCCTGGCCCAACAGGCACTCAGTAAAACTTGCTGAAAAGAATGGATAGATTCCGAGATTTGTTCATACAAAATTATGTAAACACATGTAAATGTTTATTCATTATCTACATGCTCAGTGATTTACATGAACCAATAATTAGTCCGTTTTGTTTTTGGACTTGAAATTCTCTTTATGTTCTCAAATAACACAGCTGATTTTAAGCCATTAAATTTCTTCTCTAACACTTTCATTAAAGTCACAATTTTCTGAGTATTACAAAATTCCCATAAAGAGGAATCCCTTAAAGTTAGTGTGTGTGAAGTTGACCTGGAAAAGGGAAAATGGGTCTTGAAATTGAGGAACCACAGTTATAACTACCTTAACTAATTTACAAAACACTGTCCATGAAAGAGGATGTAAAAAAATGTAAACGTGGTGTGCACAACACAAACGGTTTCTTTCATTTGACAAAAGATACCTCTTGTTCCTCTCTATAGTCGGCATGTTTTATCTTTAGCATTTACAAAGCATTGGCATTTTCAAGAATATTATTCAGATCACCTTGATGCTTTCCCTCCTGGGATCTTCCTTCCCAATCAATAGAAGTGCCAGCAGCAGGAAGAATCAAGAAATCCTTGTTGAGCTGAGAATGCCTGTTCAGAACAAACTGGGAGGATTTCCTGACTTGTTTATCTTTGGGATTTTCAGCCGGTGACCATGAATTCCTCCAAAGATGTACTTTTTGATCTTTTGATATAGTACACAGGCAATCATTTTTACCCCTCTGGGTTTCACGAATTTCAATATCTGCGTTTTCTGTTGTTTTAGATGTTTAAAGGAGATGATAAAAATGCTGCAACCCAGATAATGATCACCTTACTCTTCAAAAATACTGCCCAAGGTACTGCTGATTATCATTACCTCTCTGTATCTGGTCTCTTTCACTACATGGTAGGAAATTATGTATGGTGGGTTGAATGGCTGCCCCTGTCCCGACCCCCTGCACTCCCTCCATCCCCCATCTTCCTACCCCCAACAAAATACGTGTCCATTTGGACCCTGAGAATGTGTTCACCTTGAATCTGTGAATGTGAGGCAGGAGAATAGGGTCTGGAGGCTGGGAATATAAGGCCAATTCATGCTGACTTCCTAGAACTAAATCAAATGGAAACACTTCAGCTATGACAAGAAAAATCCTCTCTATTTACATAGGGATTACACTGAGTAAATGACTTTGTAACTTTACTTCATCCTCTTCATTTACATAGGGCATACACCAAGTAACCAGTGGAAACCTCTAGATGGTATTTAAACCCCAGAAAATTCTGTAAACGGGGGTTTGAGCCCCTATGCTTGGGCCTGCTCCCACCCTGTGGACTGTATTTTCATTTTCAATAGATCTCTGCTTTTTTTGCATCATTCTTTCCTTGCTTTGTGTGTTTTGTCCAGTTCTTTGTTCAAGATGCCAAGAACCTGGATACCCTCCACTGGTAACAAATATGACTTTGTTTTTAGCAAGCAACTTTGCAGTGTAATTAAGTTAAGGATCTTGAGATGAGATCATCTTGGAATATCTGGGTGGGCCCTAAATCCAATGACAAGTGTCCTCATAGGAAGGGAAGATACACACAGAGGAGAAGGTGGTGTGAAGATGGAAGCCAAGACTGTTGATACCAGTTGGAGAGCACCAAGAACTACCCGCAGCCACTGAAAGCTAGGAGAGAGGCATAGGACTGTCTCCTTCAGACCCTCCAGAAAGACCAAACCTGCCCGTGCCTTGATTTCAGACTTTTGGCCTCCCACATTGTGAGAGAATAAAATTTTGTTTTTGAAGCCATCTAGTTTGTGGTAATTTGTTATGGCATTCCTGGGAAATGAATACACTGTACTTTGGATCCAGTATCTCCCAGTTATTACCATATCAGTCTCATCAGGCTAGAATTATCCTGAGGTTTACGCCTCCTGCTATAGTAAGAGGAGTTTTACTCCAGAGTCTATGCTGGGCATCAGGGCCTTTAGGGACAACCATGGTCATCTTCTGGTGGAGAAAACGGAAAACTAGCTAATATTTGTTGGTCATTTGTTATTCGTCAGGTGTGCTAAGAGATTTACATGCATTACCTTAATCTTCACAGTAGATCTACGTATGAAATCAGGTCTGTTATTTTCTTCCATTTTCTAAATGAGGAAACAGAGCCTCAGGGGATTTCTCATGTATGAATTTAGGGAATCATACTGTCGAGGGTAGGGCTGAACTCCTAACCTGGATCAGCCTCATACCAAAGTCTTTTCTCTGTATCACAGGAATTATGGGGAAAACAAAGAGAGCCCCTTGAGGGCCAGGGCCATACTAAGCAGATCTTTCACATTCATGAATGCATTCTTAGAGATCTGTGTGACTTCTTAGGTTCTAGAAATCTCTCTACTTGAGAAGGGGACAGTGGGCTAACTCATGAAAGAACTCTCAGGATGAGTGACTTAAATCTGATTCTTATTTAATCCCCCAAACAGGATTATGTGATCATCATTATTAACACTATGCCAAGGTATACAAGTCATGAGATACGGAGGTTGCTCATGAATAGAAGAAACCACCAACATCACATTTCAGAATCTATTTATTTTGTGAATCACTTTACATTTTAAAATGTATCTTTATCCTAGAAAAAAATGTTGATAAATATCTCTCTAATCTCTGTGTAGAAAGGAATTTTTTAAATCCTTAAAATTAATGGAAGGAATCACAAAGTAAAATTTAGATAGGTTCGACTTCATAAAAATTAACTGCATGTCAGAAAGTATGTTAAGCAAAATTAAAGGGCAGACAAACATCTGGGGAAACACTTAGAGCAAATATAAACAAAGATTTAGTAATACTATAGGATGACTTTATACATATTGATAGGACAAACAACACTATTCTCCAATAGATAAATGAAGCAAGACGTTAACTATCTCAATGATTTTTACAAAGTGTATTCAGCAGCAGAAAGAAGCATCATAAAATGCCAAATCCACAAGGTAAGCTATAAAATCATGTTCAATATACTAATGAAAGGTAACATTTATTCAGGGCTCATCACATGCCAAGCACTGTATTGAGTGCTTCCCATGCCTTATCTCCTTGAGTCCCCAAGATAACCTAATGGGGTATGCACTGTTAGCATTTTCATTTTATATATGAGGAACCTGAGGCTCAGAGTGGTGGAGTGACTTACTTGATGTCATGCAACAAATCCCTAGCACAGCTGGGACTCAAACTCAGGTCTTTCTCTGAAGTCGTAATTCCTTGTTTCCAATGGCTTACTATGTTAAGTGACCTGGGCCCCTGCCTTTTGCTCTTTATACCTCTCATAGTACCTTGCAAATAATTCAGCCTTCTGAATTATGGGAGGCAGAGTAATTTATTGCTTAAGATAACAGTTTTAGGATCAGAATGCTCTAGGTGGCCCCGGACAATGTAACTGCTCCCATCTTCAGTTTCTTTACCACAGTAAATTGTGGCAAGGATTAAGTGAATTTGCATGCTTGGAGGGCCTGGGACATTTCCTAGGACATAGAAGATGATCAGAAAATGGCAGGGAATACTAAATAGAATGGCATCATATCCCTTTGTGTGTAATAAGGCAGAATTATTTGTTATTTTAACAGTTGGCACCAACAATATTTTGTGTGTGTGTGTGTGTGTGTGTGTGTGTGTGTGTGTAAGGGGAGGAAATTGTCTTTGTTTGAGGGAAAAAACCCTTGATGACTCATTAAAGGTATCTGAGATCTGAGGGTATGAGTGTTTTAAACCCAGCCTTCAGAAATCATTATCACTCCTCTCCCTCCTCCCTTCCAAAAAAGAGAATGGTTTAAACAGTTGCATCTGAGAATATGAGATTTCTTTTTTCTCTTGAGAGGGAAGAGAAGAGAAGAGTACAAAGGGGTAGAGAATTATGTGGGGTGAGGCTGAGCTGGTGGGAAGGAAAGACGTGAGCTAAGGGAGGTCTGAGTGAAGTTTCACTTGCAATCTTCTGCTTTTAAGATGGTGCCATATTTTACATTTCGTGCTTA
The DNA here is from genome assembly GCF_000001405.40 of Homo sapiens. Taxonomy (NCBI): domain Eukaryota; kingdom Metazoa; phylum Chordata; class Mammalia; order Primates; family Hominidae; genus Homo; species Homo sapiens. Next base: position 60,938,024 of record NC_000001.11, on the reverse strand, counting down.
ACATGATGTTGTGTTACTGTGTCATTACTCCCTCCTCGTCTCTCCATATCGCAGTGACATCTGCCAAAAATCTCCTGAACTCACAAATGCTTTGCAAGAGCTTTTATATAAATAGAAATGACCTCTCTCATGGACAGGTGGACATGGGCCAAGGCAGAGATGGCACTGAGAAAGGACCTTGTAGACCTGGATGACCGTAAGAACACAAGCCCCTCCAAGAATCCTCAGAAATCTTAAAATGTCAGTGGAATAAGTGGGGATTCACACTGATTAGGAAGAGCTGGGGGACCTCTACTGATATTTGGTTCACCTTTGTTGCCTTCCTGTTCTTTGCATGTAATAAATGCTCAGCAAGAATTTCTTGAATAACTGAGGAGAACAATAGAAAGCATATCTATGTGGCTCAGACTCTAATTACATTGGAGTTCGCAGACAGGAGAGACCCATGTGCTAGCGGAAGCAGGGAAGACTTTGTTCAGGTGTCACTCCTGACACCATGCAGAGCTGACCCAACAGCAAGTTTTTCTGTTGTCTCTGTGTTGATAGGAGCAGATGAATGGAGATTATTGGTGAAGCCAGCCAGCTCTGTCCCTGGTTAGAATCTGGTATTGGCTATTTTGGACATCTCTGGAGGATACTTCGATATAGTGAGTGTGGTCAGAAGTGGACGGTGCTGTTGTAATCACAAAGGAAAGAGGACCAATGAATTCATTTTGGATGGGAGCAGACAACTCCAGGATCCAGTGTAGGTGGTGTGGGCACAATGGAAGATGAAGAGGATTGCCCTTGCACATAGACAGGACAGGATTTAGCCACAGAATGGTCACTTTGCCTGTTGCCTAGGAAAGGGCACTTAGGATGCCTCTCAGTTGGAAGATATTATCTCCAGATGGAGTCCTCTGCCTGTTGGCAAAGTCAACAGCATTATTTGGTAATATTTTGATGTGCTATTTATGTGGAAAGGGGGCTTATTGACATATCTCTCACTTCATGCGCAAACAGCTCTAACTTTTCTTTCTGAAAGTGACTGTTGCAATGAAGATGACAAATCTCAGAAGGGCACTGGAGGCGGGGGGCAAAAATGGGCAGGGCATGGGCTTGTGCCTAACACCATGTGTCCTGGCTAGAGTGTCCAGGCCTGGGTTTGATTTGCATTCAGGCTGCATCTTTGGTTGGTGAAGCTGGACTCGCCTGTCATTCTGATGAATCTGGCAAAAGCTCCAGACAAGGGGTTTCAATGAAGGCAAAACACTTTGGAGGGCTGGAATGGGAGGGGAGGGCTTGGGAGAATTACCGGGGTGGTGGGGGGTTCATGTCATGTATTTGCATATTCATTGTCTCCAATTGGGAAACAACAACTTCAGAAAAGCAAGCAAAGAGGTTCACATTATTTTAGTGACCCTGAAAAACTTGCACATTTCTGCTAGGAAATGTGTGCCTTCCCTCTATGCAGCATTTGTTTTAAGTATTTAGCTTCCCTACACAGTTGTAAGTTCACTTGCCTGTTCTCTCTCCCTCCCTCCCTCTCTCTCTTTCTCTCTCCCTCTCTGTCTTTCTCTCAATTACTTTAGTCAGCACAAATTTGGAGGCAGAAGCAAACCTAGTAATAGCATATCTCATGTTGCTATCAATTTTCTGCCAGAAGACCATTTCAGGACACAAAGTCCTTTGTCTATTTCCAGAAGCTCGATTCAATGACATTACATAAATGACTACAATACTATAGCATGTTCTGCACCGTTTCAAATTGTAACCTAAAAAAGGGAAGAACCTGGATCGCAGCCAGGGTGTAATGATTTCAGTTCTTAAGAAAATCCAGCAACCATTACACTACATTCAATATTTTCTTGCTGTGGAAATTTAAGATTCGACTCTAATCAAATAGAAAACCCCACCTCCTCATCCTCCATTTTGCTATGGTTTCTGTTACTAACTGGCCTCCCACGTCTGTTTTGGCTTAAAAAAATAAATAAGTTTACAATATGTTTTTAAAAATTGGGCTGAATCAGACAATTGTATATTTTAGAAAATGAAGGCAAAATGTAAAACAGGCTAATCATGATTCCAAATTCAATCTTCAGGGCCCTAATTGATCCCATCCCAAAGGTAACATTCTATCTTAATTGACATGCTGAGATGGTTACAATTATGTAAAATAAAACTTGGCTGGTTGGAAACCCCATGTCTTCTTGTAGAACAGGAGATGGCCAGCTTTTATAATAGTTGATTGCAAAAGGATGCAACCACTTTGCTCATATTTCCTATTTTGGTTTGGCCCTTGTACATGTGCATTGAGGTTCCCCCATCCACCCTTTAAATAAAGTATGGACTGCAAGGGGAATTTGATGCCATTATATTTTCCTTGGGGTTGGGGGAGGACATCTTAGAAAGGGTCAATATTTTAAATGCCTATTTTTTAAGTCAGGGGTGTGTGTGTGTGTGTGTGTGTGTGTGTGTGTGAGAGAGAGAGAGAGAGACAGAGAAAGAGAAAGAGAGAGAGAAAGAGAGAGAGAATGAAGCTGACATTTCCATATTTGTTGGCCGAGTGATTTTTCTGTGCAATTGTGACCACACGCACGAGCTTGTGTTCAGCCTTGATAGGAAACAGATGGCAGTGAGTGTGGAGATCACGCGATGCTGGGCCCACAGAATGGACTCACAGCCCTTCCAGGATGCCCATGAAGGGGCTTCACCCTTTTTCAGATCCCGCCAGACATTGTGCCTCCCTGCTGAGAGCACCCTGAATGGGAGGCCAGGGCTCCCTGGGGTGATGCTGGATGCTAAGGAGGCAGGAAGGCGGGAGGCCTGTTTATGCAATCAAGAGAGGCAGAGGCCTCCTTCGATGGCAGGGAACACCTGTGCCTCTTGGCATCTTGCCTCCCTGGATGGGTGAACGAAGCAAGCCTAGTGCATGGTGATTAGTATTATACACCCCCTCCTGCCAGCAACGCCAGCCATAGGAGTGTCGTGAACATTACATATCCATCTAGCTCACTCCTCTATCTCTCAAGAATGTGGTCTGTGAGCATCCCCACTGACCCTGGCTTAATTCAGAGCCTCAACACGTCTCTCCCAGATTGTTGCAATGGATTTTCTCATGGCCTCCTATCTCAGCATCTCTAATTCATGTAGGAGCCAGAGTTGTACAAATCTGACAATGTGACTTCCCTGCCTAAGCCTTCCCACAGCTCCCCAAGTGACCCCAAATAAAACACAACCGTTGTTACTTATTTGTGTAATTATTTGTTTAATGCCTATGTTGGCTGCTGGTTTACTCCTATATCGATGGCATGGAGCACTGTGTTGGGGGGCCTCAGTAAATGTTTGTTGACTGAATAAAAAATTCTTCCTTGAGAACCAAGGAAGACTGCACCTCTAGGGCATTGTACAAGTGTGCTAATACATTTTTCCCTTAGCACCATATCAATGCCTTAATCAATATTTATCACCTCCTCCAGGCCCAGATAGACAAACAACACAGTGACAGAAGCACCCTTTGGGCAACACGTCCACTCTGGACATGCTTAGCTCTTCAGGAAGGAACTTGGACAGTAATTAATAAGTGGAAAATATTCTATTTTGTGCTTACTTTTTCTAGATTTTAAGGACCTCATGGCTGCATGGGTCTTAGACCACCTTGTTCAAAAAACTAATTTTCTAGGAGAGGAATTTTCTGAGCCCTGGAAAGGTTATGACTTCCTAGGTGACCTGTACTCAGTTATCGGCAGGGCTGCGCTGAGAACCAGGGATTTCTTGTACCATATTGGGCAGGGGCCCAGGCTAACTTGGGAATAAGCAAAATCTCTTCATGGTACCTCTGTTGATTCCATTTCACTTCTACACTCCTCCTCCATTCATTTCCTATTTTTATGTTACTTACGCTCAAGGCCCCCGTGGGGCCTGTTCAGAAGTAGGCTGGGACAAAGGAAGGAGAGTGGACCCCTGCAGTCAGAAAGACCTGGGTTCAAATCCAAGCTCTACTACTTCCTTGCTTTATGAACTTACACAATTTACTGAGTTCTCTGAGCCTCAGTTTTCTCATGATAATAATCTCATGGAGTTGTATGAGGATTGAATGAGGAAACATATGAAAAGCCTCTGACAAATCATAGCAGCTTAATGAATATTCAATGCCTTTTCCTTCCCACAATTCTTTACCCCATCAGCACTCAGCCATTTTGAGTTTCTGTGCCATACTCTCTGCCAAGTTACTTATACTACTGCATTTCCTCCCTTCTTTGCTTCCTCTTTGCATGTATCCCAAGATAATATGTGCATTTCAACAGGATCTTTCTGGAATAATTTATAATAATTTCAATTTTATAATAGATATAGTTATATAATATGTTATATATTATATAGCAAATTTGCATATATTTACATATTTTAATTCTGTAATAATAATTTTTTTTGTCAAAAAGATAAATAGAATCCTATGGTCAATAGGTGATTAGAAAGGATGTGGCCTTTGGAATCAGACATTGAATATCATGTCTCAGACTAATAGTGACATATCCTTGGGAGGGCTACTCTAACTTCTGAAAACTAGAACTTTCTCTCCTGTAAAGTGGGGTTGATAGTTTCTACCTTCCAAGACTGAAGAGAGGATTAAATGGAATGGTGGCCCCATGCCTGGTACGGAGGAAGTCCGCAGGAAATATAGGGTCCTTTCTACCTCCTGGTGCAGTCTGGGCCCATAGGAATAATTCCAACAACTGATTGTTGAATTACATTGAATTTCTAAACCCTAAAGGATTGATTTTAATGTAGGGGGCGGTGGAGGAGAAGAGGAGAGTTTCCCAACAAACATGTCCTAAGTTACATAATATGCTAGGAAGTGGAGATAATGAATGCACACAGTGGGTCACTGTGGTCCCTAGAGGAGTCACAGCCACCCACTGAATACATCCAGCATCTGTTATGGGATTTTCAGCCTACATGTCAACAGAACATATGTATTTTATAGTAAACAACATGACAAGGTGGCCCAGGCAAATAGCCACAAGAGTGCTCACAATTGACACATACTCAAGGTGGAGTAAAAGGAGTTTTTCTTTCCTTTTTTTTGTTTTTTTTTTTGAGATGGGGTCTCGCTCTGTCACCCACGCTGGAGTGCAGTGGTGCAATCTCGGCTCACTGTGAGCTCCATCTCCCGGGTTCACGCCATTCTCCTGCCTCAGCCTCCCAAGTAAGTGGGACTACAGGCGCCCGCCACCACACCCGGCTAATTTTTTTTTTTTTGTATTTTTACTAGAGACGGGGTTTCACTGTGTTAGCCAGGATGGTCTCGATCTCCTGACCTTGTGATCTGCCCGCCTCAGCCTCCCAAAGTGCTAGGATTACAGGAGTGAGCCACCATGCCCGGCCAAGGAGTTTTTCTTTTAGGCAGGGCTCGTAGGACATTCTTTCCAGGTGACACTAGTGTGTGAGGCAGGCTTTGAAGAGAAGGCAACTGATCAGAGTTTGGAGAAGACTCTATTGGTGGGAATGCAGAAAGGATGAGCTCTCTTATGGCCTCCTGAAACATGTCTTACAGTTTATCCGGAAGCAGAATTGTTAGTGGGGTCAGAAACTGGTGGAGTACAGCTAACTGGAAATTGTCCATAACTGACATGCACTGACGCTGTTATTCCTGATCCCTAATGTCTTGGATGTCACTTTTCTAATTCCACCATGTTGGTTATAATACTACAGGAGGAGGGGGTTGCTGAATAGCATCAAACTAGAAAAGCTGTTTGTGAGTGGACACACCAGCTCTGACACTTGCTTCATTCATTCAGTCATTCTTTCATCCATATTTTATGCTGATTATATGCCAGATATCTTCTTTGGACAGTAGCATAGCAAGGGTAAATGGTATCCATTGCTAAGGTATTGTATCTGTTCTGTCTCTCTCTCCACCCACTTGGCCCATGTTGCCCTAGAATTTTTCTATTTTTGTTTTGAAATGGGGTCTTGCTTTGTTGCCCAGGCTGGTCTTGAACTCCTAGGCTCAAGCAATCCTCCTGCCCTAGCCTCCCAAATAGCTGGGACTACAGGCACATGCCATAGTGCCTGGCTTAGGTTCTGAAATTGTCAAGAGTAGCATCTTTGTGGTGGCTTTATATGCTGGTTCCAGAGATGAGTGTCCCCCTACTACTCTCACCCCATGTGCCTGTATTTGGTACTGTGAATATTACAATGATGTACAAGACATAGTCATGCTCTCATGTTTTCTGACTAAGGCGTCAGGTGAGTTGAGAGAAAATAGAGTCTTATCAATGCTATGATAGATGTAAGCATGATATGATCTAAGGGACCAGAAAAAGAGAATTAAAACCTGATTGTGATGTCAGGAGGACTTCTGGGAGGAAGTGACATCTGAGATGCGGCCTGGAGGAAAAGTCTGCGAGAGTAATTTAGGTGACATGAGGAAATACTGTGTGCTGGGCAGTATTCTAGCTGTGAAGTTTACAGCGGTGATGAGCAAAATAAAGTCGCTACACTTAAGGAGCTTTCTTTCTAGTGGAGAGAGAATGAGAGGCAGAGAGAACACCATGTACAGAGAACTGGAGGCGTGATTAGGGAACAATATATAATTCAGCAAGCCTAGAACCTAGAGTCCACAGAGGAGGAAGCAAGGAGCGGGTGGTTCAAAGAAAGATAGGCCTGAGAGGTAAACATGTGTGTGCATGTGTGTGTGTGTGTGTAAGTGATTATGAATGACCTTGCTGTATGTGTAAATGATCATGAATGGCCTTGCGTACCAGGCTAAGAAGTATAAACTTTGCCCTGAGGACAGCAGGGAGCCATTGAAGAATTTAAGCAATGAAGCGGCATGATCACATGTCTCTCTTAGAAAAAGAAGTGGCCACAGAAACAAAAAATCACTCTAGTTTCAAGAATGAAAATAAATTGGAGGGAGAAAATTGTGCAACCTTGAAATAATTATTTAATCTCTCTGAGCCTCAGTTTCTTCATCTGTCCATCTAACAGGGTTGCTGTGACATTAACTAAAGTCATAGCTCTGGCATCACTTGGTCCTGTGTACTCTTTATGTTTCAAGATAATTCCTTTTTTTTAAAAAATTAAAAATTTTAAATTTTTGTGGGTACACAGTATATTTATGGGGTACATGAGATATTTTGATACAGGCATACAATACATAACAATCACATCGGGGTAAATGGATGTATCCATCACCTCAAACATTTATCCTTTGTGTTGCAAACAATCCAATTATATACTTTTAGTGATTTTAAAATGTAGAGTTAAGTTATTATTGACTATAGGTGCCCTTTTGTGCTATCAAATACTAGGCCTTATTCATTATATCTATTTTTTTTTTTGTATCCATTAACCATCCCCACTTCCCCTGCGCATCCCCCATTACCCTTTCCAGCCTCTGGTAACAATCGTTTTACTCCAAGATGATTCCTTTTTAAGAAACCCCAAATGCTGAATGGATTTTAGTCAACAACTTTGAGAAAGAAGCCAGGATGAAGCTGGACTGGGTCAGGGTTTCAGATTGACATCAGGAGCACAGACATTCAGCCCTGAATTCAGAAGAGAGTTAATGAAGGCTGCGGTGTGTCTAAGGATTAGTGATGGAATAGGAGGTGGAGTGGTGGGGGGAGGGAGAGAAAAATTGCTACTCTGAGGCAAAAGGCAGAATCCCTGTCAAAGAGAAAAACCTTTGTCTCCAAACACACCTGCAAGGGTGTGTCTGATCATAAAGAGGCTCTGTAGCTGCTGGGCATGGTGGCTCAAGCCTATAATCCCAGCACTTTGGGAAGCCGTGGCTGGTGGATCACCTCAGGAGTTCAAGACCAGCCTGGCCAGCATGGCAAAACCCCATCTCTACTAAAAGTACAAAGATTAACTGGGCGCCTGTAATCTTAGCTACTCAGGAGGCTGAAGCAGGAGAATCACTTGAACTTGGGAGATGGAGGTTGCAGTGAGCCAAGATCTCGCCACTGCACTCCAGCCTGGGCGACAAGAGCAAGACTCTGTCTTAAAAAAAAAAAAAAAAAAAAAAAAAAAAAAAAGAGGCTCTGTGGCACAGCCAGGAATAGCTGCGGGGAAGGGATGAAGAGAGATCCAAACAGATACAAAGTAGCTGGGAATTTGGGGAGTTGAGAGCAAGACGGAAAAAACTAGAGGTAGGAGGAAGAGGGAGAGAGGGGGAGAGAGAGAGAGAGTGACAAAGAGCAGCAGAACACCAGGGATTCTGAGGAGAAGGTAAGCAAGTGAGAAGTTCCAAGTGGTAGGTATGGTGCAGAGATTTTAAGAAGAGGAATGTCTAATTGCTTAACAGTGACTCAGGTTGTATGCTGTGCTATTCCGTTTTGTAGTCCCCCTTCCCTATTCTCCTATAGTCTCAGTAAACTTTTCAGTAGTGATATTTGGGGTAAATCCAGGGGAAAAGTGGAATTTTGTGTTGGAATCCGCATGGAATAGAAAGAAGAGGACAGGGCCGGGCCCAGTGGCTCACACCTGTAATCCCAGCACTTTGGGAGGCCAAGGCAGGTGGATCACGAGGTCAGGAGATCGAGACTATCCTGGCTAACACAGTGAAACCCCATCTCTACTAAAAATACAAAAAAATTAGCCGGGAGTGGTGGCGGGTGCCTGTAGTCCCAGCTACTCGGGAGGCTGAGGCAGGAGAATGGTGTGAACCTGGGAAGCGGAGCTTGCAGTGAGCTGAAATCACACCACTGCACTCCAGCCTGGGTAAAAGAGCGAGACTCTGACTCAAAAAAAAAAAAAAAAAAAAAAAAAAAGAAAGAAAGAAAGAAAGAAGAGGACAGATACCAGAAGGAAAAGCAATAATGTTAACTAGATTTAGTAGGAACAAAAAATCTGAGTATTAAGAGATCAAGAATGTATAAATCCTGTAATCCACAGAAATCTTGGGGAAGAATATTAGATTTAATGTGGAGTGGGAGTGGGGGCAGCATCTCAGCAATTTTGTCAGAACTTTAAAGAACAGAAGCGATGCCAACTGACATTTGAGTTGCATATGGAATTTGCAGTGACCATTTGCAGAAGCACTAGGAAAAGTAGATGTGGCCTTCTGGGGAAAGCACCAAGCAAGCACCTGAGTTAGAGCCTTATCCACTTTATCTACATTTTAAAAATGTTATCCATCCACCCATTCAACCATCTCTCTGTTCACCCATCCATTCATCCACCTACCCACCCACCCTTTCATCACTTCTATCTCTTTCTCTCATTGTTCTTTAGAGCCCAAACTGATAAAGTGAAAAAGTACAGGAAATCCTCTCCTATTCCTTAGACTTTCCACTGAAAAATGTGAAACTTTAGACCTTTTTGGACTCTTCTTATTTTATTGGAGTTTCTTGCTAGTTACCTGCACTGCCAACAGGATCATCCTAACCAAATGTGTATAGCTTCTTACTTCACAGTTTGTGACCTAGATATGGGTTGAGGACTTCAGGATTTAATTAGAATTCATTTCTCCCCGTTTTGGTGGTGATTGAATAATATAACCTATGTTTCAAATCCTCTTAACTTGACCTGAATCTGTTATGTTTTCCCCTTAACTATTCAGATTAGTTTCGTTTTTATTTATTTATTTATTTATTTTTTAAATAGAGATGGGGTCCGGCTATGTTGCCCATGCTGGTCTCAAACCCCTGGCCTCAAGCAATCTTCCTGCCTCAGCCTCCCAAAGTGCTGGGATTACAGGCATGAAATACCTTGCCTAGGCCAGATTGGTTTAGAAGAGATGTTTGGGAGGTTGTGTCTTCAGGCATTGAAAGAAAATGAACATTTTTTTTCTTGAAAGACTCCCATTCATATTTACTATCCACCTTTATTTTATCCAAAACCATTTGGATGGATGACCTTTATTTTACGAGCAAATTATTGAGGCTCCCAACATGGGTTTAAACATGTTGTGGTGAACAGGTCTTTGCATTACAACTCCATGAATCTAATCCTGAATTTTAAACTCTAGGGCACAAATGATTTTCGAACTAGGTTGAAGCCAAGTTTCCAGACTGGGGTTCTGAATGTAGAAATGCATAGTGTGGGGGAGTCTGAGGTTATATAATAAAGGCAGAGGCAAACCTTAGCAAGGCCATGTGGAGAGAAGCACCTGGAAGCTGTAATGATTGCTTGGCTTCCTGTCCTGCAGTCCTTTAATTCTCCAGGTGCAGCCACTTACTCCGCACCTGTGGGCTCAGCCTTGCCCTAGAACATGGAGTCAGTCCTGCCTCTATTTAATGATTAGTACCCAGTGACTCAGATTTGCATCCTGGTTTGCTTAATTTGCCTGGAGTTTATTCTATTCTGACCTCCTGTTGTATCTGAAGTCCAGTTTCCTGGGAACTGGTTCTTTGCACCCCCTTCCCCCATCCCAGACCACCTGCATGTCTGGATATTGCCAATGCTGTTGAAATCAGGATGTCACTTACAACTAATGCTTCGAAATGCCAGCTGCTTCTCTGCCTACATTTTCCCTATTTCAAGCATTTTCTTCATGTGTTCCCTTTAATTGGGGTTTGTTTAATCTCTGGATCCTGGTTCATTTTCATCTCTTTCTTTGAAAACTTCTGTGCATCACTCAATGTACTACCCAATACAAAATGCCAGGGAAGAGCAAGGAGGGGTATCCTACTCCTGGGGGTGATTTGGGGGTGGCTCCACAGAGGAGAAAACTTGAGCCTTAGAAGATGAGTAGGAGTTGGCTGCATAGATAAGTTAGATGAACATTTCAGTGAAACAGCAAGACAAGGCACACATTGAGTTTGGGGGCATTTCAAGCAGTTTGGGAAGGTTCAGGTACTGGATGGGTAGGAGGTGAGGCTAATGAACTCGGCAGGGGCCAGACCAGTGATGACCTTGTGTGAAATAATTATGACTTTGGCAGTGGTAAGAGTAGAGAAGGATGTTGTTAATAACACCGAAGCCAATGTTTCTCTTTATAATATTAACATAACATGAGTATGAATAACTTATACAATAAGAACAACTAATTTATTTTCCCAAATGACTTTCCTAGGATGTTCCTGAGCGTTTCTAACATCAATGGTCAGACATTTGGGAATTGCTGTGTTAAACTGTGCTAACCAGGTTTCTTGGATCCTTTGATGTGTTGATGTGCTTTGTGACTGGATGTGTCTAGAGGCACTTTCCAAACATATTTGACTACTACCTTCCCTCTCTTGCAGTATTGCAAGGGACTAGAGTTTTGAGCAGCACACGTTGGCGATAGAACTAGGATGTTCTGCATAGTGTTGTCCAGTTGAGAGCATTTATGAACAGCGAATCCTGGCCTATAGGGAGGCACCAGCTGCAGGGGCCTTGCAAAAGTGTGATGCAGCTCATCTTCTACCTGGCTTTGTTCTATCATCCGTATCTGCTAAGATGTTACTGCTAATCACTTAGGCATTGCACAAGGCTGCTCAGTGTTCACCATTTCTGAAAGTAAAGCACTGGAGAAAGAATCAAGTGGAAAGGGGGTGAACGGTAGTAACAGAGAAATTCTAATAGTGGGAAGAAAAAAATGAGGAAGAAACTTTAGAATGGATAAAACATTCTCACTGAAATTGGACATGGAGCCAATTCTCAAGTTATATTTCTGGTTTAGAGACATTAGGCCAGGGTTGAAGACATCTGGGTAAAAATGACCAATAATTCAGTGTTTCCCAAGCCCTGGAAAGGCAAGATCTTACTAACTTTTGTAACTCCAAGGGAGTCCTTCATGTGAGGTAGGTACTCAATAATTGTGTCAAATAATTAAATTTCTTTTCTCTTGGGGGCTTAGCCTTCTGTTAGTAGGCTTGTTGGTTTCCATTGCTGTAAAAAGTAATGTGTCTTTGAAAACAGTGGTTATCTTTGGGAGGTAGGATTGTGACTGATTTATATTTTGTGCTTTCTTTTGATGTGCATTAAACATTTATTATAATAAATGAATGACTTTTATAATCAGGAAACAACAATAATTCTTTAAAAGGTGCGTCACTAGTTCTCCCTTAAGCAATTTTCATAGGTAGAAAAAGTAGAAGGCTGAGGGAGTTTGCTTTCATGGTAACAAAAATGAATTCCACCCTCCTTCTGGCAGGGAAGGGTGGAGGGAAAGACTGGGGTTTCTAGACCCAAAATTTCTAAGAATCGAGGCTAGCATAGTAACTGGCATGCAGTGAGTGTTCTACACGTATCTGTTGAATGAATGAATATCAGGGTGGTTGGTGAAGTTTATTATGCCATTCATTCATTTCCCCTCCTAAAGATCTTTCCAGTTACAGAATTCCTCCTACAGCCTATAGGAGAGGAACGGGTGAGACAGAAACAGGACACAGACAGCTTGAGTGACCTGCCCAGGTCACTCTGTAGGTTAGGAGGTCAATTTAGCCTCAGGGCTAAATCCAGAGACCTGGGCTCCACCTCCCGGCCAGGCGCAGCAGGTCTGGCAGGGTCTTCAGCCATCAGGGTGCTGCACAGCAGTGGATTGCATGCACAGTGCTGCATTCATTCCACCAACGGTGGTGGTGTTTTCAGCACGCAGCTGCCTCCTAACAGCTCTCCACTCCATGGAACATGGAATGAAAGTAACTTTGAAAAAAAAAAAAAAGATCCTCACACACTAGCACCCTTCCTGCCGGCCCTGTTGTGATTCTGCACCGAGGGTGTATTTTAATTGATGAAATGTGCTACACAGCCCAACCAAATTGAAAAGTAACAACCTTCACTTACCATTTGGAGATGTGACGGAAGTGCCAGGAGTTAAACTCCGAGGACTAAATGAGATAACAGAAGCTCCCTATCCTCTCTTGAAGAAGCTCATTAGTTTTTGCTTTCTCACATTCTGTTTGCTGTGGCCCGCAGCCAAAAAAATGGCGATGCAGAGATAATAAGTGAGAGTTAAAAATATGAGGAGAGTGATTGGGAGGTGCAGGACCTCAGGCAGCTGGGTGAGGCGGGGTGGGGGGGCGGTGGCTCAGGTAGGGCGAGTCTGGGAGGGGGCAGGAGGGAAGGATGCAGAGACCAACTGAGGGAGGCTGAGGAACAGAGAGAGACAGCCACATGCAGGGACACAGGTAGATGGAGAGAGGGGCAAGGGAACAGAGAGAGAGGGAAGGGCAGAGAGAGAGAGGACGGGACACAGAGGGTGAGAGGCAGCACACACACAGAGACAGACATCCATAGGAGGTACAGAAAGGGTGGAGAGTGGGAGAGGCTGAGAGAAAGATGTGGGAGATTGAGTGTGCTCTTGGCAAAGGTCTACAATAATTGGAGTGGGTTCAACGGTCAAGGCCATGCTGTGGGGAAGAACAGGAACAGGGTCAATTACATCCTGCGGATCCCTCAACACACCACCCCATGGCAGCAATTAGACACGAGGGAAACTGGATTTAATGTGAATTTTGAAGGCAGCCATGGGAATGACAAGTAGAACACATTGTCTTCAATGTGGCCAGTGGCCCGCCAGGCAACCCAACCTGGCGCCTTCGTCTATGATGAAGGCTACAAAGCGTGATTCCTTGGTCCCAGCCCCTGCTTGCCAGGTAAGCTAAGAGGCCCTTGAGGCTCACCTCCTCTTGTCACTAACTTCCTAGACTTCCAGGCCTAACACAACATAGACAAGCCAGGAGCTTGCTGGGTGCTGGTTGGCAGAGCACACAGGTGCACCACCTCCTCCCTTCCTGCTACTTCTTGATGATGTCATACAGATCACTCCAGTATTTAGGAAATGCCTAAGCATCTACTGTGTGTGCCAGGCAGTGGTGAACTGGCTCAGCCTCTTTCCCCCAAGACTGTCCATTTCACTGGGAAAGACAGACTAAAACATCAGCGCTTCTCCCTAAGGTAGAGCACAGGGGTCCCAGTGAACTGCGACTTGGGCCAAGCTTTGCAGGAGTGTTGCATGTATACGTCTTCCACAAATGCCACAGTGTTCAGGCAGACTTGGGTCTGAAAGGAAATGTCAGGGAACAAAAAAGGAAAAGGAAAAGAAAGGAAAATGCTAGCATTTACTCTTGTGCCAGGCACTGCCACATATGTTATTTCATTGAATCCACACAGTAACCCTGGCACGTGGCTATTTTTATCCTGCTGTTTTTTTTTTTTTAAGTAGATAAGGAAATAGAAGTTCCGGGAGGTGAAGAAACCAGTGCAAGGTCCCTCAGCTAGTCAGTGGCAGAGTTGCTAGCCTGGGTCTGTCTTTCTATTGCCCCAGATTCCTACCAAGGCCTCATGAAATTCATCATCCACTGGGCAGGCCCAGAACACAGCCAGGCTCCGGCTGCCATCCCCCCACACCCCCATAAATGTATTTTTCAACAATGAGGTTTTCTCTGCAAGTTAGTGATTTTATGGCTCTCAGCAAAAATCTGTGACACCAGATGTTAAATGCAGCAGGAGAAAGTTATTTTCATCATTGGTGAAATCTTGCACAGTGCACCGATTCTGGTCATATCTGACTTCAGGCAACATGTGATCTGATTTCTGTTTACAGAAAGAGGCCCTACATGGGACGACAGAGAGACATGCATGGCTATTTGGGCTTCTGGGTGTTGGGAAAAGGGACAGCTCAGCATAAGACTGCCTGAGACTTGTGACCTGACTGGGAAACAACACCTGGCTTTGTCTGTGGGCTCAGATCTCCTAGCCAGAAACCCCACAGTTTCTTGCAGGGGCTTGACAATAGTGCTCCTGGGACCTGTCCACCCTGCGGCCATCACTCCTGCAAGTCTAGCTAGTGTGACAGATTGACCCCTCCTCTATTTCACTTCTGTCTTCTCTGTTCCCTCCCACCAGCATATTTAATTCTATCTGTGTTCCTGGCCAGCTCTCATGGAGACAGGAACTATGGGGTTGAATCACATGAAATTGTCATTTTTGTGTGTGTAGGTAAGCAACACCCACATGTTGGTAATTGCATTTCATTCATGCTAATATATTGACAATTTCAGTATCGTATCCAGGGTGGTTTCCTTACTGTAAATTGGAAGGCTGTGGTAGTTGGATCATAGGGTTGTTGAAAGGTTAAATTAGATAATGTTATAAAGACACTAAGGTCATTGCTTAGAACAGAGTCAGTGCTCTGTAAATGGAAGACAGTATTAGGATATGATAACTATTGTCCCAAGTTCCTTACCCTATCCAGAGTTTCTTGCCCCCAAAAGGAGCCTTGCTCAGACTCCTGCTTAAGGCTTACTTGTCCCCCTCTACAACTTGAGCCTTCTGGTACTCTGGCTTAGGTGCCAGGTTCCTACCACCAAAGACAGTGGCTCCAGGCCCTGTTGAACACCCCTGAATTTCTGCCTGCGTGACCATTGACTGAATCAAGGTCGTTCTTTCATTGTCTGATTGCCCCAGCATTGCCAACATCTGAGGCAGTGGGTTTTCTCAGCCCCTGTGTTCATTGAGTTATGCAAGTCTTTGGTTTGCTTCCCATTGTATCTAGAAGAAATGAGTATCTTCCGGGGGGTGGGGGACCGTGATTGCTCAAGCTGGGCCTTACAAGGCAATGTACTTTGCTGAGTCCAAAGGCCTGGTTCTCAGTTCTGTAAATTTAGAAACATGATATTTGTTCTTAAAGTCAGAATAGAGCAGGGTTTCAGGACAGATTCCTACTAGCCTGGTGCGTGAGCTGGGCCAATTTATTCACTTTGAATGAGAAACAGAGCTGCCGAAGGGTTAGGAATGCTTGGGTCAGCACATGGTCTCCCTGTAGGAAAATCTGCAGGGGAAGTTTATGGGATGCTTGGTGAGCAGTGAATCTGAGAAAAGGAGGCCAGCATTTTGAAGGAGGCATGAGGCCTGATGAATGTCCCCTGCCTGCAGCAGGGCACCTGTTTCCAGTGGCCAGCTAGTGTCACTGACAGATTCACTGGCTTTCCCTTCTGCAGGGCCAAGCAAAAACAGTCATTTCTTCCCTTTAGAATTTTTTTTTTTTTTTTGGCCTGTTCTATGATGACCCATTTTCTTTGGTGAACACCATCTTCTATACTATTTACCAGTGATTAGTTTCCTTAAATACAATTAAACCTCAGGTTTGCATTCCTGAGATTATCCAAGTTATAATTCAATTCAATTCCAAATGACAAATATTTCTTGTGCACCTACTATATGCCAGGCTTGCCTAAGATTTTCTACATCATATTAAATTCACTCTCTTCAATGACTTTTAAATTGAAAAGTATTTATTGAGCTAGGCCCTGCCTGAGACCCTGGGGAAACAATGGTGGACAGTTTATATGTGGTCCTCATCCAGTGGTCTGGTTAGGGGAATGAGACAGGCAAACAAGCAATTACAAAGCACGGTAGAAGGGTTAAGAGGAGCGGTACAAAGTGCTATGGGAGCTCACGAGAAAGGCATCTAATCTAAGTTTAAGGTTTCTGGGAGGGCTTCCTGGAAGAAGTGACATCTGATCTGGGGCCTGAAAGATCAGTAGGGGTAGGGGAAAAGTGTGTTCGTGTGTTTGCGTGTGTACATGTGCTTGCATGTGTGTGAGTTTGTATATGTGTGTGAGCTTGTATATGTGTGTGTGAGTGAGTGGGTGTACATGGCACAGTGAATTGGAATCAGAGAATTAGCTGAGGTGAGGCTAGGAAAGTAGGCAGGCACCAGAGACAGCAAGGTCTTGTCGCCTCTGTTACGGAGTTAGGACTTTGTCCTGACAACAGTGGGAAGCTATGCAGAAGCTTGAAGCGGGTCAGGAAGTAATCCTATTAGTGGTTTAAGACGATCACTCTGGCTATGGTGGGCTTTGGGGGATTTGTAGTATCCTCTACTGATACTTTTACAGATATGCCTTGCATTCTGCTACATGTGATTCAAATTTCCCCATGATTGATGGATTGTTTATTTTATGCATTATTTTCAAGTTTTTGATGAGGAGGGGATGGGGGGATGGGAAACACTCTTTGTTCACCTCATGAATGAAGGATGTCCTTACCCCCTCTCCCTTCCTGCCTGGTCTTGCTAGAAATGCATCACACCTGAGACTAGTAATAAATGATAGCAACGATGCTCACACAAAAAAACAGGTCTTCCCATTAGCATTCAAACACTTTTTTTTTTTTTTTGGTGGAAGCAAAATGGCCATAAAAATGACTTTAAAAGTAAAAATTACTAACTCTGCATTTGGTTGTTTAGGTTACTACATGATTTCTGAGTTAAGGAGGAGTCCAGCATGTGAGTGACAGAGACATCTCCGAATGATAGGTCATTGATTACTTCCTTAATGGAACAGGCTCTGGGGAAGGACAAAGATAATCCTGTTAGAGAAATCAGCATGTTCTAATTGACTTATGCATAGTGAAAGCAGAGGGCTCCATTCCTTCTCCTTCATTTGCTACCAGCAGGTTGAGAGGGAGCAAAGCTTGGCAACTCCTGCCTGGAACTAGGTTTTCCTTCCCCAGGCAGAGGAAGAGGGACCTGACCCTGCCCTGTCATGCGCCATTACCTGACTATTTAGGGCTTCCACAGTGAGGCAGGGTAAGGGAACAAAAGGAAACTTCTTGACATGTACAGAGTTACTCCTCACTGTGGTCCTGGCTTTAACACTTGGGGGAGTGATTTGCTAAACTGCCCTTCTTTTACCACTTTGTTAGCTGTTGAAAAGTGTATGTGTGTTGGCCGGGCGCGGTGGCTCACGCCTGTAATCCCAGCACTTCAGGATGCTGAGGCGGGCGGATTACCTGAGGTCAGGAGTTCGAGACCACTCTGGCCAAGATGGTGAAACCTCCATCTCTACTAAAAATACAAAAATTAGCTGGGCATGGTGGTGAGTATCTGTAATCCCAGCTACTCGGGAGGCTGAGGCAGAGAATTGTTTGAACCCAGGAGGCGGAGGTTGCAGTGAGCTGAGATGGCACTGCTGCACTCCAGCCTGGGCGACAGAGCAAGACTCCAGCTCAAAAAAAAAAAAAAAAAAAAAAAAAAAAAAAAAAAAAAAAAAAAAAAAAAAGAAAGTGTATGTGTGTTCGTGCGCTTGATGTATGCAGCAGATAACAAGGGAATACAACTCTTGATGGAACCAGTTCTGGACAACTCTGGAAAACAGGAACTTGCCCTTGTGATTTCTCAACCTCCTTGGCTGTGTGGGTCTCCAGCTGTTGGCTTCTCTTCCTCCCACCCATTGCATTCATGGGGTTTCCTTTCTTTTTTCCTTCTTCCTTTCTTTTCTTTATCTCTTTCTCCCCTCCCTCCCTCCCTCTCTTCCTTCCTTCCTTCTTTCCTTCCTTCCCTCTTTCCTTCCACCTCCTTTCAAGAAGGATTAACTTGCACCTTACACTATTCCATAAGCATTTATAGAGAGCCAACTATGAGTTATTCCTATGCGCGCAACAAAAATGAGTAGGACATAGGCCATACCTTCAAAGTCAAGACACAAGTAATTATTCTATAAGGCAGAATGCTTTGAGGGTCATAAGAGGATAGGAGAAGGCACCAACATTTATTAATAATAAGCACTTACTATTGGTCAGCTACTTTCCACACATTATTTCTTTTAATCCATATGAAAACCAAATGAGGTAGGCATTTCAATACCTATTGAGAAGATGACATTCAGGGAAGGTAAATAGCTTGTCCGAAGTCACAAAGCTGGCATACGAGCACAGGTCCATTTGACTCCAAAACACACGTCCATTTTCCTCAAGTTTTAAAGTCTAAAGAGAATAAATACAACTTTTGTGGGAGAAAGGGGCTATCAGTGAAGGTTTCATAAAGGAATAATACTGGAGATGGGCATTGAGTAGGATACTGTGTTAATATTTAAACATTGGGGCTATAGTGGGATGATATTTTTAATCAGAGAGTGAGGAAACATACAAGAAAACTTTCAGATGGGTAGTAAATGACAGAAGGTACCAAACAGAATTTTGACATGCAAATTGAGTTCCTGAGCTGCAGGAGAGGGGCTTTGGGTTTAAGCCCCAGCTCCACCATTCATTAGCTTGCTTATGTGATCTTTGGCAAAAATAACCTCTCTGAGGCTCAGTTTCTGCATATGTAAAATGGGAACAGTACTATCTACAGTAATATCTGTGAAGATTAAATGAGCAAATGTTTACAGCATGCGTGGCACATGGGAGGCCCTCAGTCAGTGTTAGCCATTCTTAATATATAAAGCTATGCATTGGGGTCCAAGCCCCCATACTTGCTCAGGAGAAAGAAGTGAGCAAATTCTTATTGTCACAGTGGGTGTGGGTGATGACTCTCACAGGCAAACATTGTTTCCTCTAATGACATATCACTGGGTCATGTCTGGGAATGTAACTGTTTCCACCTTTTTACTGTACAGTTAGTAAATGCCTTTACAGGTTTCTGTTTCCTAAGAAGGCAATTTTAGAAGCATTTATTATCTTTGGTGCTTGCTAAAGGCTTTCTTCCCTCCTTTGTTGCGTTAGTGGTAGGATACAGAAATGAGCGGCCAAGAAGAGCCTGGTGTTGGGGAGCGTTAAAATGCTTTGGTCTATTGTGGCCAGTTTGGTTTGTGCCGCAGAAGACCTGTGATGTTCACGGCCCAAGAAGTCTGAGGAAATAGGTCTGCAGAACACAGAAAGATGCAGCCTCATAAAAATCCTGCTTAGAGCACCAGGATACAGGGTCTTGGGCCAGAGTCCATGCAGTGAAAGATGGTCAGGCACTGTGCGTGCTGCAGAAAGGGAACGTAATACCTCAAAGGCCCATCTATTAACCCCAAGGCCAAAATTTACAGGAGAAAAATTTTTTACACTTCAGTAACCAGATCACGTCCCTCTCAAAACCCTCCAGCCACTTTGGTTCATACCGTGGCTGAAGTACAAGACTTGGCTCCTCTCTGCTCACCTGTCTGACCTCAGCTCCTACTACTCTCCCCTTTGCCCATCCTACTACAGCCACTTTAGTCTCCCTGCTTTCCTAGAAAGTTCCAGGCCTGCTTTCAACTTAGGGCCTTTCCTTCCATCTGGATGCTCTTTCCTGACCACACTGTTTAGTAGCATGCCCTCGTGTCCTGGTACTCCTGTCTCTCTTACTGTGTCATTTTTCCCATAGCACTCTTACCTTCTAACATTGTGATGGGTGGAACTGTGTCCCTTCCCAAATTCCTGTGTTGAATTCCTAACTCCCGGGTCCTCAGAATGTGACCTAATTTGGAAATAGGGTCTTTACAGAGGTAATCAAGTTAAAATGAAATCATTAGGGTGGGCCCCAATCCAATCTGACTGGTGTCCTTATAAAAAGGGGAAATGTGGACACAAATCCACATAGAGGGAAGGCAGCGTGAAGAGACACAGGGAAAAGACAGCCATCTGCAAGCCAAGGAGAGAGCCCTGGGGCAGATCCTTCCCTCACAGCCCTGAGAAGGAACCAACCCTGCTCACACCTTGATTTCAGACTTTTAGCTTTCGGGTGAGACAAAATATTTCTGTTGTCTAAGCCACGCAATTTACGGTACAATTTAATGGCAGCCCCAGCCAACGGATTCCCAGTCCCTGTAATTGACTTTCTCAAAATTAAATTTATTCTCTGCCTCCCTCAGGAGAGCATAAGCTGCTCTAGACAGAGATTGTTTTTCTGTGCTGTTCACTACTGTAACCCCAGTACAACAATGATGCCGGGCATATCATTTCTGTTCAATAGATATTTTTAAAGTGAATTTATCAGAAGACAGAGAATTCATAAGTCTATTAGCAAAGTGCCCCTCTCAAGAACAAGACCAGGGGGAATAGGTCTCTGCCACTGTTTGCTAGGTTTGTCTACATAAGAGTGAGGAGCCTCAGATGGTGGATGCTGTCTTCGCTTTGAGCAGGTTTGGGAAACTTGAGCCATTCTTTAGAAGACTTTTAAGGATGAGGAGGGTGCAGCCCTCCTCCGTGTTCAGAGAGAGTAGCTCCAGATGGAGCATTTAGCACAGGGCTCCAGATCCAGTTACACTCGACCGCGCTGCCACAAGCACTAATAAGGCCCGACGGCCTAATAGGCTGTCCTGTGGTGAGGCTTTGTTGGGAAGAGGTTACCAATAATAAGATTATTCTCTCGACGGTTAGCTTGGCAGGGGTGGGTAGTGTTAGAAGTAGACTTGGGTCAAGGTGTGCTAGGCATGTGGAAATTCTGGGCTCCCAAGCCTGTTTCTAAAGCAGCACCACCTTCCCTTTTTGCTGGCTGCAGCATCAGACAGTTTTTCAGAGACACATAGAATCTTCTTTCTTTTCTTTGGCTCTTCTCTCATACTAGCCCAAATGAGGAGCTGAAGGTTATTATTGTCATGGTATAACATGACATACAATTATCATGGTATAATAGCTTTTACTGAGCACCTACCATGTGCCAGGAGGCTATTCTAGATCCATAAAGTGTGGGGAGAGACAGGGGTTAGGCACATACATTAGAGAGGTGTCATGGGGATGGAGTGAAGTGCAGTGAAATGAAATGACGAGGAATGAAAGTGCCCAGCATCTCCTGTGTCTTAGCGTGAGTGTTGAGGAATATGTTGCCTTTCTTTTTTCTCTTTCTTTGGCTTTCAATGTGGGTAACAGCTTGGGGCAGAAGGCAGGGCATGTAAAAAAAAAAAAAAAAGGCAAAGCAGTGTTCTCTCCTTATCTTTTCACTCTTAGTGCCAAACTGTGGTGTTTGTAAAGAGGCCAAGAGATTATGGTCTGAGTGTTTATGTCCCTCCCAAAATTCATATGTGGAAACCTAATCACCAGTGTGATGGTGTTAGGGGGTGGGGTCATTGGGAGGTGATTGGGTCCTGAGGGCAGAGTATGAATGGGATTAGTGTCCTTATAAAAGAGATCCCAGAGAGCTGCTTCACCCCTCCTGCCATGTGAAGACACAGCAAGGAGGTGCCATTTGTGAAGCAGAAAGTGGGCTCAAATCTGCTGGTGCCTTGACCTTGGACTTTGCAGCCTCCAGAACTATGAAAAATAAATTCCTGTTGTTTATAAGCCAAAAAAAAAAAAAAAAAAAAAGAAAAGAAAAGAAAAAAAAAGAAAGAAAAGAAAAAAAAGGCAAGCTGGTCTTATGGTGGGAAAGGCAATTTTGTGTTATAGGGTTTCAGAGTGGGGACACCACGAGGGCTGGAATGGTCAAGGGGACAGGAGTAGGTGCTGGAGGATGAGAGGAATTCTGGTAAGGGGAGGTGGATGAAGGCATTTCCGCTGAGACTGAAGCTTGCATATGTTGTAGAGAGCTGTGGGTTTGGGAGGCCCCAGAGGCAAAGCTTGGGTCCTGGTAGGTTGGGGGCCAGGCTCTGTGCTATGGGCTTTGTGTATCATAGTTCTTTTAAAAGTTACTTGCCTCTATAAGGTAAGTTCAGTTACTATCTCCACTTTATAGCTGAAAATATGATGGCCCAGAGAGGGAAATAACTCAACCCAGTTCACACAGGTGGTAGGAGGCAGAGCAGGGTTTAGTTTTGGCCTGTTTGATTCTAAAGCTTATACCTTCACCCGTGAACTTGATAAGTGCAATCAGGAGCTAGTGAGCTGTAAAACAGTTCCTTGTAAAACAGTTTCCTTGGCTCGAAGCCGCCTTACTCCAGTCTCTGCCTCTGTCGTCACAAGGTGGTCTCTCTGCGTGTCTGCCTTCACGTGGTGTTTTCTTCTTATAAGGACACCAGTCATATTGGATTAAGGCCAGCCCTAAGAACATCATCTTGTAACTCGATTACATGAAACTGTTTCTTCCGTTCTTTCTCACTGTCAGTTGCTACCTCCTTTATTCCCACTATTCACTCAGGTTGTGGGTACAATTCCTTTATCTGGCAATGTAATTCCTTCTGGGGAGTGTAAAGCACTTTTCTAGGTGTTATTTTACTCCCCCTCACCGTCTCTGTGATGGATAATTGCACCTCCACTGAGGCTAAATGAATGCCTGTGAGTATGTATGGGGTTCCTAGGGCTGCTGTAACAAGTACTGCAAACTGGGTGGCTTAAAGCAACAGAAATTTATCGTCTCACAGCTCTGGAGGCTAGAAGTCCAAAATCAAGGTATTGGCAAGGTCATGCTCCCTCTGAAACCTGTAGGGGAGAATCCTTCCTTGACTCTTGCCAGCTCTGGTGCTTTCCTGGCAATGCTTGGCTTTCCTTGGCTCGCAGTTGCATTACTCCAATCTCTGCCTCTGTCTTCCCCAGGTGGTCTCTCTGCGTGTCTCTGTCTTCATGTGGTGCTTTCTTCTTCTTACAAGGACATCAGCCATGCTGGATTAGTTCCCACTACTACTCTCTGGGACCCCCAAATCAGGTAAACATTTGAGTTTGTAAACTTCCAGCACTTTTTAGTAGTGGTTCCTTGCATTCCTCTAAATTCTCTACACTCTGTCTTACCTCCTCGCTTTCATTAATTTAACTAAAAATTGGGATTATCCTCTTTCTTCCTTGGTGCTGGAGTGTCTTGTTCTTTAAGGCCTTTCACCTCTGCAAATTGTCCTCTTCAACCCCAGCCTGCACTGGCTACTTGTTTCTCTAAACCCTGTAACAATTAGGGTCATCTTGTAGGTGGGTTGACTGTTTTACAGTTCACCAGTTTCTGATTGCCACTTTAAAACATTTGCCTTATTTTTGACAAAGGTGCCAAGAACATACACTGGGGAAAAGGCAGTCTCTTCAATAAATGGTGCCGGGAAAACTTGATATCCATATTCAGGAGAATGAAACTAGACCCCAATTTCTTCTCATATACAAAAATCAAATCAAAATGGATTAAAGATTTAGGCTGGGTGCAGTGGCTTACTCCTGTAATCCGAACACTTTGGGAGGATGAAGAGGGAGAATCACTTGAGTCCCGGAGCTCAGGACCAGCCTGGGCAACATAATGAGACCTTGTCTCTACAAAAAGTAAACAAAATTAGCTGGGCATGATGGTCACATGCCTGTAGTCCCAGCTACTCAGAAGGTTGAGATGGGAGGATTGCTTGAGGCCAGGAGATCAAGGCTGCAGTGAGCTGAGATCAAGCCACTGCACTCCACCCTGGACAACAGAGTGAGACCTTATCCCCCCCTCCACCCCATCCCACAAAAAAAAGGATTACAGAATTAAATCTAAGACCTCAGACTATGAAACTACTACAAGAAAACATTGGGGAAAATCTCCAGGACGTTGGTCTGGGCAAAAATTTTTTGAGCAATACCCCCAAGCACAGGCAACCAAAGGAAAAATGAACAAATGGGATGACGTCATGTTAAAAAACTTCTGCACAGCAAAGGAAATAATCAACAATGTGAAGAGACAACCCACAGAATGGGAGAAAATATTTGCAAACTACTCATCTGACAAGGGATTAGTAACCAGAATATATAAGGAGTTCAAACAACTCTATAGGAAAAAATCTAATAATCTGATAGAAAAACAGGCAAAATATTCAAATAGACATTTCTCAAAAGAAGACATCCAAAGAGTAAATAGGCATATGAAAAAGTGCCCAACATCACTGATCATCAGAGAAATGCAAATCAAAACTACAATGAGATATCTTACCCCAGTTAAAATGGCTTATACCCAAAAGACAGGCAATAACAAATTCTAGCAAGGATGTGGAGAAAAAGGAACCCTCATACACTGTTGATGGGAATGAAAATCAGTACATGTACTATGGAGAACAGTTTGAAGGTTCCTCAAAAAACTAAAAATAGAGCCTACTTTACCATCTGGCAATCCCATTGCTGGGTATATAGTCGAAAGAAAGGAAATCAGTATATTAAGGAGATAGCTACACTCCTATATTTGTTGTAGCACTGTGTACAATAGCCAAGACTTGGAAGCAACCTAAGTGTCCATCAACAGATAAACGGTTAAAGAATGTGTTACATATGCACAATGGAGTACTATTCAGCCATGAAAACGAATGAGATCCTGTCATTTGCCACCACCTGGATGGAACTGGAGATGATTATGTTACATGAAATATGCCAGGCACAGAAAGACAAACATTGCCTGTTCTCACTTCTTTGTGGGATTGAAAAATCAAAACAATTGAACTCATGGACATAGAGAGTAGAAGGATGGTTATCAGAGGCTGGGAAGAATAGTGGGGGTGAGTGGGGAAAAGGTGGGGATGGTTAATGGGTACAAAAAAATAGTTAGAAATGATGAATAAGACCTACTATTTGATAGCACACCAGGGTGACTATAGTCAATAATAACTTAATTGTACATTTAAAAATAATGACAAGAGTATAATTGGATCATTTGTAACACAAAGGATAAATACTTGAGATGGAAATCCCATTCTCCACAATGTGATTATTATGTATTGCATGCCTGTATCAAAACATCTCATGTATCCCATAAATATATACATCTATTATATACCCACAAAAATTAAAAATTAAAAAGAAAGAACATTTGCCTAACCAGGTATGAGCTCCTGATTCTCAGAGATAGAGACTAATCATGTCTTTGTTTGCTGCTTTAGGGTTTAGCATAGGCTTAGCACGTTGTAACTCTCATTAAAGCTTTGCTGGATGAATGATATTTGTTTGCTTCTGATTCTAACTGCATGGCAGAGTCCTCTGGAATAATGTGACCACCCAGCCTATGACGTGGAGAGCTGAGCAGTGAGCTAGTAAGGCTAATGCTTGCAGGAAGCCAAACTGTGCATTCAAGCCCTGCACTCAGTATACTTAACTTTTTTCGTAAATTTGATTCATCTGGTTAATTACCTTAACTTTCCACCAGACTTAGCCTGTACCAACACAGCCAAAATTGCAAGAGGTTTGGCCAATCTAAGGACTAGTGGGTCGGAAGCTAAACTGATCAGAGAACAGAGCAGGCCCAAGAGGATAATCTAAGGGTTGCTTTGTTCCAGGTGTCCTCAGAGAGGCTCCGCCCCAGGGGATCACATTGCACCTCCACTCCTGGGGAGCAGAACGCTTCTCTTCCCTCTCCAAAAGCTGGCAGGGGCCCTGAATACTGTCATTCTGTCCTCGCCAGCTGTTTCCCTTGCTGACAGCACATCCTTTGTGAGGCCCTGGCGTTTCCTCCTCCTTCCTAAGCACTTCCCCTGAGACTTTCCACGGATGGCAGTGGGGCAGCAATGAGCAGAGCAGATGCTCAGCCCTTCTCTTTGTTAGTGGAGGTGACTGTCCCAGTGTTTATGACACCCATGGAAGTTGGCAAGAATATGAAATTTGGAATGTAAGAATTTTAGGCTGGATGATGTCTTTGGGATAGTTTTACCCAAATGAACCTTGTTTTGCCAGAGGCAAACTTGGAAGTCAAACAATAAAGCTACCAGCTAAAGAGGCACTTTATGAGGATAAGATGGTAAATCTGAGATTAGGACACAGATCTTCCACCATTTAGACCAGCATTGTCTGCTCTTCTAGGTCATTTTGGGAGTCAGCAAGACAGGAGCAGGCAGGGATTCTGCCCCATAAAGGAAGTATGGGGAAAGGCTTCCCCCTGCATGTAGGATTAAATCCATGTGAGCTGGTCTCTGCTCACCTGTCCAGTCTCATTTTGCACCTCTCTTCCCCTTGTTAACAAAACTCTAGCCATCTTGACGTTCATTTCCAAGCTCCTTCAAACTTCTGAGCTCTCACACATCCTGTTCCCACAATCTGAAGTACTCTTTTGCCCACATTTCACCTGGATAATGCCAACTCATCCTCTAAGCCTTAGCTTAAATATCACTTCCTTAGAGCAGCCTTCCTTGAGCACTGTCATCTAAATAACACACACCATTCATCACATTCACAGGACTATGCATTTTCCTTCACAGAATTGTCTATTTATTTGAAGTCTGCTGCTATGCTAGCTCACTTTGACTGCAAGGCTCCTGACAGCAGGGATTACTGTGTAATCTGGGCCAGGCACATAGTAGGCCCTCAATACATACTTGCTAAATAAATGAATGAATGAATGAAACAAGAGACTGACTTTTTGGATAAGGTAGGACCAACCTATTCATCTATTGTAGTTTTGTTATTGCTGCCATATTATAGAGAACTCATTATTCGAGCAGGTCTGGGATACAGGTATTATAATACCTGAGTTTTCATACACATCAGTTGAGGGTCAGAGAGGAGGAGTACTTGCCCAAAGTCATCCAGATTATAAGTGACTCTATTAGTCCGTTCTCATGCTGCTAATAAAGACATACCCTAGACTGGGTGATTTATAAAGGAAAGAGGTTTAATTGACTCACAGTTCCACATGGCTGGGGAGGCCTCACAATCATGGTGGAAAGTAAGGAGGAGCAAAGTCATGTCTTACATGGCAGAAGGCGAAGGGGTAGGTACAGGGCAACTCCCCTTTATAAGACCATCAAATCTCATAAGACTTATTCACTATCACAAGAAAAGCATGGAAAAGACCTGCCCTTATGATTCAGCTACATCCTACTGGGTCCCTCTGATGACACGTGGGAATTGTGGGAGCTATAATTCAAGATGAAATTTGGGTGGTGACACAGCCAAACAATATTAGTAAAAGCCTGGGCTGGAATGCAGGTCTGCCTGGCTCCAAAACTGAAATTTTAAAACTATTTTATGATGCCTCCATTGTATGTCAGGTACCTTTTCGGTGTGTCAGAGTATCATGATGTGCCCTTTGTGCATCAGATATTTCAGGGTCTGGTTTCCCCAAGATTGTACACCTAATTAGGGGAAGAGCCAAGTTTCAACAAAACCTTGCTGTCTCTCAAATTAGAGTATTGTATGCTGGCTCCATCCTCAGGGCACACCTTGGGTATACACTCTTTGTGGTCTAAGGTTCTCCAGGGCACACACTAGCAGAGCCCTGGGTAGCATGGGTTAAAAAAGAAGCCATTACCACATCCATTCACCATGAATCCTGTTTTTTTTGTTTTTTTTTTTTTTTTACCCTGAGTAACTGAGAACAAAGCTCACTTCACCAAAATGTTCTGATGCCAGGGGTCCCAATGAAACTCCTGTTTTCAACCACTTGCACATAGTTAAGTGGAGACAGTTAAAACCCTAATTACTGAGCTGGTGGGTCCCACTGACACCTGTAAGACATTTGGTACAGTGCAGGAAGTAATGCTTCCTTTCCAGTTTACATCACTATTTAATCTAATTATTCCTTCCAGTTTGGCTTTCACATATTCCATCAAAGAAGAGATTGCTCATTTCCTTGCGAAACTGTATACGTCCACCGTAATGCTATTTTTCACCTCTCGTAAGTAATCTGAGATTTCCTAACCTTCTCCCCCTACTGTATTCTCTGGCTAATGTATAAACCTGGAAGAAGTTTCTTGACAGAGAAGTCAAGAGGGACTCACTTGTGGGAGAAGCATTTCCATTTCAGAGAATTGGAGAGCTCAAAGGGGCCTTTTACTTCATCTGCATCAAAAGTCCATCCTTTTCTAATTGAGGACACTGAGGCCTAGACAGCAAACTCTTCCTGAGCTCCTGCCATGTGCAGGCTCTAGGAAAAAGGAGTGGATGAGGCCAAACAAAGCCCCTGCCCTCAAGGAGCTTGTGTCCGGAGAAGCAGAGAGAAATGAATGTAATTGAAAATAATCAATGAATTCCAAATGCTCAAATCAACGTGTAAAAGAAGTATAGGTTTTTAATGAGAGGTTCCCTGAGTAAGTCATGCTTAAAATAAATCATAAAAAATGAAAAAAGATTGCACCAGGTGAAGAGTGAAGAAAGAACACTGCAGGTGGAGGGAACAGGCATGCAACTGGGGTGACGGAGAGATGTCTGGAACAGTGGGAGTGGGCAGAGTAAGAGAGAACACAGTCAAAGAAGCAGCCGAAGTGGTGGGCAGGGGCCAGTCTGTGAAGCTTTGGAACACCTGTTAAGTTCTCTCCTTGAGGTCAGGAATGGATACTCCATTTTCCCCAGTAAATCTCTCTCCACCCTTTTGCACTCTGTGCCCTAGGAGACTGACCTCTGGGGGTCACCTTGAGACAACTCGGTTGCCCTCTGCTTTCTGTTTGGGTTTGGCCACTAAGAGACACCAGGGAGATTGGAGAGCTGGAGGAGTGACCTCAGTGTATTCATTCCCTGGGCTGTTCCCCTGCTGGGTTGCGGGTTGGCGAGACACTGAGCTAGGGAAGGCCCCGGCTTCTGTTAGTTGATCATCTCCTATGGGCTTCCCTTTGCTTGTTCCCTTAGGCTTAAGGGTGGTGATAACTCTCTGCCTGGCCAGTGTGTGGTCATGTCACCTCTCTTGTTGGTGTCACTGTACCCTGCCCACTCCACCTGTAACCAGTCCTTCGTGAAACTCCCTTCAGTTGCTCTGAGTCTTCCATCTTTCTCCTGCAGGGTCCTTTACAAAAGGGCTCTGGCATCAAAGGGCAGCTGGCGGTGGAGACGGCCCTCAGAGCAAGGACATCAGTGATGTGGATCAGCGGCTGCAGCTGAGGAGAGCGGACTCAGTCCCAGTCCGCTGAAGGAGGGACATGAAGTCAAGGGAGAGGCAGCTGGCAGACCTAGCAGGGGACCCTCTAAAGTCCCATGAAAGTACACATGACCAAAAAAGGGCAGCTCTCAACTCCTGCCAGGCCCAGAGATCTCAAAGCCATCTAATGAAAATGCCTATTAAGTAAGAACTTTCCTACATCCCTTTCTAGCCCCTATCCCTGACCCTGTGCCCCAACCATGAAGGGGCCAGACATCAGGATAAGCAAGCTGGAGGAAGAGACGGAAAGGAGAGGGAGATTGTGAGAGGCAGAGCAAGTGAGCTCTAGGCACTCCCAATGCGTGAAGGCATGTCTTCTGCCCACAGCAGCCAGCTCAGGAGATAGGAAACATCCACGGATAGATTCTAATCTCTATGTTGAGTCACTGGCTAAGAGATGTCAGAAAAGTCATAAGATTGCCAAAATTTTCATCCAGGTGCAAGGGAATGACTACTACTCCCACCAAACAGATTTGGAGAAATCAGGAGAAACAAAACGCCCACACTTGCCTTCAGGATTACCCTTCATGAGACCCTTTCTTCTTGTTCAATTGACCAGTGATTTTAGGGAATGCTGCAAACTAAAATTGTGTTGTGTTTACAAGTTGCCTATTTCACTGTTGAACTTATTTGACCATGCAACACTTTTTGGGCTAAAACCCCAGTGTAATTCTTTTCTTGCCATGTACTTTGTAAAATGTTGCTTTTGATACCAAATGCACAAGTAAACAAATAAATAAAACAAATAAACATTTTCTTCCTAGGGAGGACATTATAATAATGGCTGGTTAGGGCTGGTATGATCTAGTAGGCAATGGAACTATTGTTTTCGGTATTAATCTGCCCCAAAGCACAGTTTTAATCAAACAATATAGTTGTATAATAAATAAAATGTCCATGCTCAAGACCAGGAAGTTATAAAAAATCATCAGAGAATACTTTGCGTATGTCACATGTTATATAAATGGTAACTCATGCTAATAACGTGAACACTTTGTATTCCTTTAATGATCTCTGGGACCCCACAGCTCATACAGAGTCAGGGGAGGGGCCTATTGGGCATTAAAGAGAGAGTGTTAATAGAATCATGAGTATTTGTTTATCATCTGTTGGCCATCAAAATGAAATGTGGTGGACTTTTCCTGTATAAAGTGATGCTATAATTTTATAACAAATTTAAAAGACTTGCTAGAATTACAGAAATAAAATAATAAATGAAAGCTAGTGGCCAGGCGCTGTGGCTTACGCCTGTAATCCCAGTACTTTGGGAGGCTGAGGTGGGCAGATCACTTGAGGTCAGGAGTTCGAGACCAGGCTGGACAACATGGTGAAACCCCGTCTCTACTAAAAAATACAAAAATCAGCAGGGAGTGGTGGCGCATGCGTGTAGTCCCAGCCACTTGGGAGGCTGAGGTATGAGAATTGCTTGAACTCGGGAGGGGGAAGATGTAGTGAGCCAAGATCATGCCACTGCACTCCAGCCTGGGTGACAAAGCAAGACACCATCTCAAAAATAAATAAATAAATAAAAGCTAGGAAGAGAAAAACAACAGATGGAAACTTGCCCTAGAGAGGCTTTGGAATTCACCTTTGTCCCAGTGAGAGAGAATAGACCCAGTAGGCAGTCTTAAAGCCACGGTGTATCTCAGGCACCCATCCTTTACATTTTCCCCACGAGGAAACAAATATTGAGGCTTGTGGGTGCTAGTGTAACAACTGTCACTTGGAAGGTGTTCACAATATATGTGCTGAATGAATGACTCTGCCAACTCTGTTGTTTCCTAGGTGAGAAGGACACAGGTCCTACTGTGTCACTGTCTCCTTTCCTCTCTCCTTTGCTGCCAGTTTTTTTTTTTTTTTCTAGATTGTGTCTAATGTCACTAAATGTCTAAATGTCACAATATCACTACTAGGTAAGAACTGTGATTCTTATTTAATGGATGAGAAGACTGAAGCCCAGCAAGATCACACAGCTGGTGAATGATAGATAAGGTCTTATTGCCCCAATGTGAAAGTAAAACTCAGTAAAATGTGCCTCTTCTTGGACCTATTGGACTGTTGCACTGTTGCACACTAAGCCTATTAGACAATAATAATAAAGCACAGAGGAGACCCTCGGTATCTTTCTAAAAAGCTTTAAGTGTGAGAGTTTGGGGCCCTGTAGCTCTGAACATTTTATGAAACCAAGTATAATAATACTCGATAGGCATTTCCATGGGTATGAATTTATGAGACATTAGAAAGGAGGCCTAAGAATTTTGAGAACAGAGTTAAGAGGATGATGCACATTCTGATTTTTGACAGCATCTTGAAATAGGTGCAGTTTGTGTTTGGTGCCCTCTCGCCTCCATTTAGTGCCTTCAGAACCTAAAGGGCTGGGTATTTAAAGGTGGAATTCCAGGCACTACAGTAGGCAATGGAACTATTGTTTTGGGTGTTAAATCATAAAGGAGGCTCCTTCTTTCTCCTTGTGAGCATCTCCTTTAGCATTCCTGTGAAGTTGCCACATCTTCCTGCTCAGTAGAAAGCCTTGATTCCTATGGCTAGTCTTACTTTACAAAAGGAAATCCTGAGGCGTGGAGAGCCAAACCAAGTCAAGGAAGGGGCAGACTGCATTCTCCTTTGACCTCCAGACTTGTTAGTTCCTTGACTTTTGGATAATTTTGTTCCTTCACCCGAGTACACTAGGAATAGCTCATTAAACTACCCTTATTTAAACAGATCACGATTACAGTCTCTGCTACCTCCATTAGCACTCTGAGCTCATCTCTCACTGTTCTTCCCCACTCACTCTGTTTTCAGCACATCAGCCTCCCTGATGTTCCTTGAGTAGATCAGGTGTGCTTCACCTTTGCAATTTGCTTTTGCATTTGACCTTTGCACTTTGCCTTTGCACTTCACCTTGGCACTTGCTGTTCTTTTTCTTCCTCTGGGTACCCTCATGGCTCCTCACTTACCTCCCTCAGCATCTTATTCAAATGCCAACTTTTCAGACTCAAACTCATCTGACCACCCCATTCAAAACTGAGAACCTTCCCTTACCTGGAACTCCTTATACCTTTTCTGTATTGCTGTATTTGTAGCATGCAGAACCAGAACAATGTCCAATACAGAGAAGTTACCCAATAAATATATTGAATGAATTAATACATTTAAGTAGCCTCTGCTTTAACTGGATTTCCTGCAGCCACTAAAAATTCTGAAATGCCTGTGCCCAGGTGGGGCTTCCTGTTCAAATACCTCTCATTTTTATTAAGCTCCTTCCTGGTCACCAGTCTGAGGTCAAACTTGCTGCCTAACAGGGGCAAAGAAGGAACACTGGCTTCAGTAAGCACAGTGAAAATACCAGGAATGGCTACATACTTGGAATCAATCCCATATTCTACCTTTAACACCCTTCTTAAATCCCCTTTCATTTCAAATTAAGGATGACAAATAAGAACCAACAACTCAGAGTTGCCTGGTTTTCAATGTTGAATTAAAACTTAAGTCAGCCTTCATTTTTATCAATCTTTATTTTAGGGTCAAGAAGATGGGTTCTGGGGGTGGAGCATTTGGTTTGAGATCCTTGTTCCATGCCATAGTAGCTAGGTGACCTTGGGTAAGTTACTGCCTCTCTCAGTGCTCCGGTTTCCTCATCAGTAAAGAGAATATGATTATAGCAACTTCATGGGGTTGTGGTGAGAATTAGCTGGGGAAATACGTATAATGCACTTAGAACAGTATAGAGGAAGTGTTAGAAATTTCCCTTATCATATGGCGGGAATACTGCTATCTTTCATTGACCTTAAGTGGAAGAAATGCACCCCAGTTACCTATGTCAGCTCCAGACTCCTGCTCTGTGGGTGGGGGTGAGGGTTAGTGATTCTTTGGGTCTTATATCAGTGTGGCTTAATGGGACAAGGAGTGCCCAGTGATGCTGGTTACTTAAAAACACCACCCTCTAGCCAGCCTGGCTGGGCCCTGGTGATTACTCCTGCCCACTGGCATCCTCTGGTAGCCACTGCCTGTGCCTGTTGGCTGGAGAAAAGACCACATTCGGCACTCTTGCCAAGTCATGAGTGAGAGGCAGGCTGGTGCCTTGCCCAGCCCCATGACACAGGAGCCTGTTGCCCCAACTGAGATAATTTTCTTGTCACTAGGCCTGAAATCCTCACTAGAAGTCATCTTCAAACTGGTGTTCTGAAACAGGGCCAAGTCCCCAGGCCTGAGTTTGCAGGCTGGGAGCTGGTCTTCCCTAAAATGCACCTTTCTAAGAGAAGGAAAAAACTTAATACAGCTTGCCAGGGGGAATTAAGTGTCAGTGTCTGTTTTTTTGAATGGCTATTTGCATGTAGACAGGAAGCTTCACAGTCTTTTGCAAAAGCAGCGGGGAAAAATGAAAAAAGAAATCCCTCACCTCCCCAGGGAGACATTTGAGGAATAGTCAAGCCTGAGGGAAGTTTGGATGCCAAGAAAGCCGTGTTCTGCACTAGTCAGAATGTGGACATGGTGGGCGAGATTTGGGCAGCTGCACAGCTACTGGGCAGTTTTCTATTCAAACCCACTCTGGCAGAGGGGAAATGCTCTTTCTTTCATTCTTTCATCACTTGTTTTTTCTTTTTTTTTTTTAAAGGAAAGTTAAAAAAAAATATTACAAAAGATCCAGAGACACACTGATGTCACTGAGAGGGGAGACCCAGGTCATCATCAAAAGTTGGTTTTAGGGGACCCCCCCCTCCACCCCACAAAAAAAGCTGAGCTCTAAAAGGCAGCCTAGACAATGGATCAGATGCCAAACCATGTGAAGTGCCCAAAGGCAACTCCAAAACACCCGGCCCACCAGTGGGTGGAGGCTGCCAAGGAGACAGATGCTGTAGCTTTAAAAATATCTTCCGCTGCTTGGCATCTGCAATTGCAGGCTGCTGTCTCCAAGAAGGAGCGGGCGAGGGCTGGGACAGCTGGCCAGGCCGCAGCAACCGGCGTATATGTAACGAGAGCGCCTCTAACCACGGGGCTGCCCATTTGGCCTTGTTAAATCACCCTCAGCATATGGTGAGAGACATCTGCCCAGGATCTGGACCTCACAGCCTGGAAGAGGAGGGCCCAAAACAAGCATTCTGAGGCCTGGGAGGGCTAGAGGCAGCTGGGAAGGCATTCCCAGGGCCGAGGGCCTCCTTTGACAGAGACCTGGTTCTGAGAAAGAAGGGACTGACTCAAGGTCATGCAACAGTGTGCTGTCAGTGTGCTGGGGAACAAGTCATTGAGATTCCTTCAGCCTCTGTTTACTTATCTGTGAAATGGGGTAAAGTATATACCTCATGGGCTTGATGCGAGGGTTAGATAAAATAATTTAAGCGAATGCACCTTGCTTAATACATTTCAGTTGACTATGATTCGCAGTCTTCCAATTATAAACGTTGAAAGCAGCCACTGACATGTTACGTTTTCAAGAGGCTTTGGGAAAGATCCAAAACTCTCCCCAATCCGTCTCTACCTGCTTACTGCTGGATGAAATTCACTTACCCAGGAATTGCACCCATTTTTGGCTGCTATTAAAATGCAGCCTTACTTCCGAGGGCAAAACTTTGAACTGTGAAGAGTTTGCCCTCAAGGCAGGTTTTTGAGGGCTAGCAGGGAGTCCTAAAAAAAAAAAGGCAAACTAGGATGGGAGCCAACACCTTCATTAGAAAACAGCTCTTTGCCTCTTAGAGCCATTTAACTTTCCTCTACCTTAAATCTCGACTCCAAATAGCAAAACTATGGTTTTATTTATTTACTTATTTTTTGGCTTCCAGATAACATTCTATTGGATTATTTTTATACCACTACCCTCTCATTTTAAAAAGCCACTAGTAAGTAAATTCTTAAGTAGGGCAATGACCCAGCCTCGAAGGTAGTGGGGATATATACTCCCAAAGTGGTATTAAATAAGAAGAAATTCATACAGATATCCTGGTGGACATTGGCCATGCATATCTATGGTAGCTAGAGACACACCACTTTTTTCTCTTTATATAAGAGTACTTCATAAATATCTCTGAAGACTATGACCAATCCTTGGAAGTATCCAATATCTTTCCAAGATCAAATCTGAGACTTTTCATTACAGTGACATTACTATTCTTTCCTCATATTTGTGGTTGCATTGCCAGCCTTTATTCTCACCTGTTTCCAATCCCAACAACCTCTAATTGCCTTTTAGAGCTTATGGGTTCCAGGTTCCACTCCAGGTGTGGACACATGACTGTGTTAATTCAAGCATTGTCTCCTACCCTCTGGCCACAGTTTCGGTTTGAGAATGGGTCATAGGATGGACATGGATTCAAACAGACTGACTTTGTTTTTTTATTTTTATTTTTATTTTTTTCTGGGAATGCTGAGACTGTTTCTTGTTAGATATAAACGGGGAAGAGACTAGGGAGATTCTTGCCTTAAAACTCCAAGGAAGGCAGAATGGAGAATCTGGGTGACTGAGTTGCTAGATCAAGCCATGACTGAAGGCCATGCTATATTTGGACTTTTCAGTGACAGGAACCAATATAGTCTTTTATATTTTAAGCCTGTTTGTGTATCCTGTTTTCCATATTGAGCAACTGAAAATATCCAGATATGCTCAGGGAAGCCCAAGGAAGTTGTGCTTACAGATATTTGGTCTTGGCTTAGTTTTAGATTGTCAGTTGAGACTTAAAAGTCTTTTTTGGTTTGGTACATATGTTACATGACACCATTAGAGCTTGGGGCTGAGCATGCTTGACCTCTTGTAGCATGAAAAAGATACCACCCCTAGATTAGGAATGAGGATAAATGGGGGCAAGTCCTCATTTACCACCAAAGAATACCATTTTTGTCCTCCAGTTCCCCACTTGAATTGACAAGTGGGACATATTAAATTAAGGTTTACTAAACTTCAGCCATTTATCTATTACCCTCATATTTTTTTTCTGTATTCACCTGTGCTATTAGTTGCTTTAAATTAATTCACTTCAGCATGCTTATACATTGTTGGTGGAAATGTAAATTAGTTTAGCCACTGTGGAAAGCAGCTTGGAAATTTCTCAAAGAACTTAAAACGGAGCTAACATTCCATCCGGTAATTCCATTACTGGATGTACATACAAAAGGAAATAGATCATTATACCAAAAAGGACACATGCACTTTGTATGTTCATCGCTGTGTTGTTCATAATAGCAAAGACATGGAATCAACCTAGGTGCCCATCAATGGTGGATTGGATAAAGAAAACGTGGCACATATACACCATGGAATACAATGCATTCATAAAAAAGAATGAAGTCATATTCTTTGCAGCAACATGGATGGAGCTGGGGGCCATAATCCTAAGTGAATTAATGTAGAAACAGAAACCAAAATACTGTATGTTTTCACTTATAAGTGGGAGCTAAACATGGAGCACACACGAACATAAACACGGAAACAATAGACCCTAGAGGGGAGAGGGAGGGATGGGGACAAAGGTCAAAACACTACCTATTGGGTACTGGGTTCATTATCTGAGGCAATATACCCATGTAACAAACCTGTACGTGTACCCCCTGTATCTAAAAATAAAAGTTCCAAAAAATTAACTCACCTTTCTTAATTTTATAAGTCATTTAATAGTAAAAGAAAATGTATATCATGATAGCAAATGTGAAAGTCAATATTTAATGCACATTTAAAAAATATACCATTATTAACAAAAAAGAATGTATACCACCTAAAATTACCTTGCATATGATCCATTGGGGAAGTCTAGGAGTCGGCCATTGGTTTTCAAGCTGTGTTTTTATGGAACTAAATTGTTTTGTTGTGGCAGTGTTAGATGCAAATTTCATTTCGTAACATATTTTAACTACAGTCATCCATTGCTTAACGACAGGGATACGTTCTGAGAAAGGCGTCCTTAGGCACCTTTGTTGTGCCAACATCATAGAGTGTATTTACACAAACCTAGATGGTATAGCCTACTACACACCTAGGCCATATGACATAGCCTATTGTTCCTAGGCTACAGATCTGTACGGCATATTACTCTACAGAATTCTGTAGTCAGTTGTTACACAATGGTAAGTATTCATGTATCTGAGCATATCCAAACATAGAAAAGGTACAGTAAAAATACCGTATTATAATTTTATGGGACTACTGTCATATATGTGGTATGTCATTGACCAAAATGTCATTAAAGAGCACATGATTGCATTTTGAAAGTTGAAATAAAAATCTATGTTTAGTGTTAGTGTCAGTTTTGGGTTCCTTGTGTCTGTTTTTCATATTTATGTAAAAGAATATACTTGTCTCTCTCTCTGTCTCTATATGTATACACACAGAGACTTAAGTATATTCTTTAACATAAATATAAAATATTTATTAATATTTATAATAAATATTTTCTTACAAATAATATTTATATTGGAGACCGACAACGTAATTATTTGAGCTGCTAGGCAACTAATTTTTATATGCACTCAGAAGAAAACATCAACAATCTCTGTGGAAATATTTTAAAAATAATTTTCATCAAATTTTTATTACAGAAAAATACTAATACCACAAATGACCAATAATTCCACTGCCCACGGAATCCCTTGGGTGTTTAAAAAATAATAATGCTTATCTGCATGTACATTCTAATTTCTTATAAGTATGTCGTTGATTAGGAAGATTGTAGCTCTGCAATGGTCTTTCTGGAA
The DNA here is from genome assembly GCF_000001405.40 of Homo sapiens. NCBI lineage: Eukaryota > Metazoa > Chordata > Mammalia > Primates > Hominidae > Homo > Homo sapiens. The sequence goes on along the minus strand of NC_000001.11, from coordinate 60,900,031 downwards.
TTCAGACTTTTAATCTAAAATTGCACAAGTGAGTCACAGGTACTCCAAATAAGTGGCAGGCAAATATCTCATTTACTTGGCCAGTCCTGTTGTCAAGCTGTAACAATCTAATTCAGTTGTGTGTGAACTTGTGACATGCTGATCCCCGTGAATCACATGTTATAGACAAATTTAATGTTGGTGCAAGTTTTGGGCTCCTTGTGTCTGATTGTCATATATATGTCAAAGAATATCGAGGACTATCATCGGTATTGTTACTGGTTCAACTTTGAAACAGAAGTGTCTCACTATCTTGCCTTCAAGCTTCTGGCTCAGATTAAATGAAGAGTATCTTGAGATTGTGAGTCAAGCTGTTAACAAAAAACAAACAAACAAGAAGCCCACAGATGTTACCACTTTCACTACTTATCAGTGCCATCAGAATTTCCGTGAGGCCAGGCATTCAAATCAAAATGCCAAAATAAAGACAATAACTGAGGCTGATGTGTTTGCAAATATCATCCATAATTCCAATATCAAATGTTAGCATTCATCAGAATAACTTCATTGCTCTTTGTGGCTGAACTTGAAGAAGTAAATATTATTAATTTTAAATTATGAAATAACATTTTATTAATAAAGTAGCAATACACACACACACACACACACACACACACACACATTCACCTGCAATATCTGAAAACCAGTGGACCGACCGTATGATTTTTAAGGTATTCTTCCACCTCTAAAAATAAAGTCAACCTCTTAGGCTGACTCAACTTCAAAGTTGTGGTTGTGAAAAATAATAGGAAAATGACAGGTAACATTCATACAGTGCTTTGCAGATTCATAAAGTGCTTTGAAGAGTATGACTTTCAATCCCTAACTCTAACCTCAATTTTTCGGTGCTGCTTTCTCTCATTGCCCCAGGCCACGTTAAGCACATCACTGTCTAGGCCCCCAGGGTTCCTGCTTCATAATTTTGTACTGCCCTACCACAGCACTTTAGAATTATTTCTTTATCTGCTTGCCTCTGCCCCTGGATTGTAATCTCCTCAAAGGAACAGAGCATATCTTGTTCATCTTTGTATTTTCAGTGCCTAGTGTAGTGCAGAGCATTTACTTAATGAGTGTTTGGCTGCTTAAGTCAATGAATGGTTTCTTGGGAGTGAACAGAAAAACTGAGCACTGAGTGATTACGTTTTTTTTTTTTTTTTTCCATCAGCTCAGCACATGTCTTCCTCATCAGGAATATTTATTAAGTAACAGCATATGTTGTCCTCATCAAGGAATATTTATTAAGCAACAAATTTGCACATAAAATTTGGCAAGGTACCATTGTCCCGGACGCCCATTCTCTCCCCTCAGTCCTGACACTGTCCAAGTTCATGTCCTCATTAACTTGGGTCTGTTGCAAGAGCCCTGAACTCTTATCAGCACACACCTGACTCATTCCTATCTACGAGCCTCTGCTCATATGTTTCTCTCCACCTGGAACACCTCTCCTCATCATTTCTGCACATTCGTTATCACTCATACTTCAAACCCTTTCTGATAGTCTCTTCTGGGCCAGTCCTAGCTGGAGTAGAGAAACACCATCTCCTGAAATGCTCTAATGCATCCTGTTACCCTTCCACTGTCCTTATTCTTCTTAAGGGGAGAGTTTATGTTGAATCATTTGTGTGTCTAGCAGAGCATCAAAAAGCATATAGTACATGCTAAAAAATTGGTGAAAGAATACTTTTTATGGTCCCTATGGCTGAAACAAGCTAGCCACTGTCAGTATCAGAATAGAATCCTGGAATTTTGAATCAGGTTCATCTGTCCAACTAAGAACACAAAAAGAAATGATTCCTGTTCTTCATTGGTTCACACGTATCACAGCTGTGTATTCCCAGGACAGTTACTTAGTGTGTCCAGTTCCCCAGCTTTTCTTTTGCTAATCATGATTGGTAGCATATATCTGAAGAACAAAATAGGTAATAGATGCAGATGTATCATTATAGGGCCTGGCCCATGGGAAAGGTCAGGTCAGTGGTCGCTACTATTACAGTTGTTGTTTTTGTTATTGCCAAACAATGCTGTAAAAAATCTTATAAAAATTGGAAATTAAAAAGCATGTGAGTAGCGGAAGAAAGCTACAGAGATTTTTTAGTTGATGAATTTGTCTCTCAATGGAGAACTCCCTGAGGGCAGGTTCTGCATCTTATCTATCTGCATCCTTAGCATAACACGATACTTGGTACTGAAAAGGGATGCATTAAAAGGCTCTCTGATGTAACTGGATGCATTAGTCGATTATGTTAAGAACAATTGTAGTATTCTGAGTGCTCACTAGGTGACTGCTAGTGTCCTAGATCCTCTCCTGACTGTTTCATGCAGTCCATGCAACATTCCTGCTAGAAATAAGCTATTCTCCTATTTTGTGGCAGAGGCCACGATGAGGAGGTAGCCTAGTCATGATTAAGATGCAGGTCTATTGGATTCTAAAGCCCCTGCTCCTCACCACTGCTATACACACTACAGTATTGCCCTACAAAGTTAGAAGGTTAATGCAATATTCTAGTCCCTGAACTAAGGAAGGGGCATAGATGATGGTGAGGCAGAGAAGAAAGCAGCAGTCAATTGACTTTGGAGACCGATTCCTTGGGGAAGGGAATTAAGAGTTGGATGGAGGAAAAGAAGAAAACTAATGATCACAGAGAGAATTCACGAGAGAGGCAAGCTAGTGAGCCAGATTGCCCAGGATCTAGAGCGATACACTTCCCACCACCCCAGGCTCACGGTGGCTTTCCTCGTAGGTTTCCTAACAGGCCATGACCACAGTTGGCACTGGCCGGCTGCAAAGCAGGCCCGATCTGTAACAGCAGTGCTAATGGGAAGTTGGCCCTGCCCCAAGCGGGTATGGAAAGTGGCTGTTGGCTCTTGTAAAAATCCTTGGTCCCGGCCACTTTTCCACAAAGAGAAATTCACCATCCCAAAGAAACGCCATCGCCTGTTCCTGGTGCCAAACTCGAGGAAAATCAAGTCGTGAGACTCTCTCTCATTTGCCTGGGTGAAATGACAGATAGCAAAAGAGCTTTCAGTTTCCTCTACCCCCAAAAAGTCTGCCAGAGATATAAATATTTAAAAACAGGAGCTAGACTGAGAGGGTTAGCTTTCACTGTGTCTTCTTTGGCAAGCTTTCGATCCACCCACCAGATATCATTTTATTCTGTGTAATGGAATGGCAGTTCTGGGTCGCACATCCCAACTTCTGACACACTGAGTAGAAAAAAATGACTGTGACCCTTGTAAACTATTTTTGTAGTTTCAAACTGATACAGACTCAGGTTGTGAATGCCAGATTGAGTATAGCTATGAGAGGTTTAAATGCTTTTTTTTTTCCTGCTGTTTCCTTATTTTTATCTCCTGCTAAGAAGTCCTCTTTCTGATTTCTGTCCAGTCACTTAACTCCTTTTCCTTGGTACACAGGATGCAAAAAAACAAAAAAAAAACAAAAACAAAAAAAACAAAAAAAACTGCTTTCATTTCAAATTGGTTAAGCAAAGTACATAAAAGTGTACAGTCTGCATTTCTTTGTTTCTCTCCCATGACAGTCCCCAAAATTGTCGATAGAGAAGACAATTCAAAATTATTAATTCTCTTTTTCATATAGAGAAGTGGGTGCAAACCCCCATGAAATTAAACAGGGTTGAATCATCACAGATGACCTTCACAATCCAGGCCTTCATAATTTTAGGTGGATTAGAGAAAACTAATGAGGATTTTGAAACAGGCTTTGGACTAAAACTCTCATCATGCAAATCCACTGAAAGACCCCATAACTTTAAAGCACAATTAACCTGATCCCCAGTTCGCACCCTCCTGTATCGGACTCATTTTACTTCCTCTTATTCTACTGTCTTCACAAAACAATGATGACAACAATGCAGCAGATATTTTTCTCTATTTTTCATTAGATTCTGTTGTTCTTTTTCTTTCTTTTTCTTCTTTTCTTTTCTTTTTGTTCTCCATTGCTCTGTCCTCAGAGTCCTTTTTAATTTGGCTTAGGACTCACAAGAGTTAATAGGCGAAGGGGGTTGGTGGGGGAGGAACCCACTTGTTTTAAGCCTGGAGCCTGTCACCTTTTCTTGGCAATTACACTGCTAATGGCTGGGTCCCAAGCAAAGTGGCAAAGAATATCTCTTCTCACGTTCCCAACTCACAGTGCATTCCCAAATACCAGATGGTGTTTTTGGAATCCATTTCACTATGTTTGATATGACAATACTTTTGTATAATGTTAAATTATATATAACTATTGCAAATAGCTGAGATCAGAACAACCAAGAAGCGGAAAATTAGACACAAGAAGGAAAGATAGAAACTAAAGACTGTGGACTTTCATCTGCCCCCATTGTGCCCTGTTTCCCTTGGATTTCCTTTTAATCTGAAGAGGATTGGCAGGAGGGGTTGTGGTGTGGGGGCGGAGGGGGGGGTGTAGTGTGGAGAAGCATGGGGGGATGGGGAAGAGTGAAAAGTGGTGCTGCTGTGTTGTTGCAATGAAATTACATCAAATCGGGATCCTCTCCCTGTTAGAGTTTGGTACATATCATGAAAAACTTGCCAGACATTTCGAGAGCAGCGTCATCTCATTTCAATGGCCAAAAACCTCAAACTAAGCCAAAGAAGACTGATAAAGCCCCACGACCAACCCTTTTTGGAAGCTGTGTGTGTTTTTATTTTTTGTTGAGGGACAAGCCAGTGAATCACCAGACCTGAAAACCTCAGTCACCGCCTTAGGAGCCATGAGAGGGACAGGGAGAGAGAAAACAAATTCCGACCCAAAACAGTACAAAGGAATTCAACAGAAATAGTCCAGAGGTTTCTTCCTTGTTTGAGGGCATATGGATATATTGATTTGATTTCTAAAAAAGTGGATGAAACTGGACCCTTTCAATAAAAATATCTCCAAGAATCCACCCTTGAAAAATGCGAACAGCACCAATAAAGCTGTATTTCTACCCTGGATGGCCAAATGGAGTAAACACACCACTTTAATTTTAATTTTCTGGCTATTTGACAATAGGCAACCTCTGGTCCTCCTTCCCCAACCTTCAAACAGGCCTTATCTCCACATTGCAGGACTTATTGATTTCAGCCCAGAGCGAATGCATTACAGCCAAGTGATAAATTGCTTAAAATTATTCTTAAATGAAAATGCTGGAAAAATGCAGCTTTTTGAATGGAGGGAGGGCAGGACAATTTCCAAACTGCATATCTGAGAGATTCTTTCAGCTGATTGATTTCTTCTTCATCAGTCACATTACCAACCTTCAGAGGTGATCATCAGAACCAAGGCCCTACCCTATTCATGCCACTCGGATTGTACGTGGCGAATGAGTTTTTTCCCCTATCACCAGTCTTTGCTCCATGCTACCCCTTCTCTCAACAATTAACCCCTCCCCTACTTCCTTCTTCTCCCAGCATATAGCCGAACAGTTCTCCCTGGAAAGCTCCTACAGCTCCAGTGACTACTACATAATTAACAATAACTTGTAGTAATGCAATTTAAGAGTCCTTTTAATGGGCAGCAATGGTAGAATGTATAGCCCATCTTTCTTTGTCATCTGAGAAAAGTGGCCTCATGCAGAGCTGCTGGTTGCTGAGTGACGCTTTGTTGTTTGCACCAGACACAGTACCAGCTGCACTGGCAGGTAGCCGAAGTGCAAGGAGATAGCTGCCAAACTATGCTATACAAAGGGAGCGGTGCCAGAGAGAAAGGGACCTTTGCATGTGATGACCTTTGACCCCCAAGCCAGCATGGATCCCATATTCATCCCTTCCAGACAATTGCATCTTTCATTCCACCACAAACTATGATTAGAAAGGGAACATTTGTGATCAAGGTTGGTTAGCTTATAAGTTCCCACCAATAGAGTTATTGGATTTTTCTTCCGTTTTAACTGTGACAATATTTTCCTTAATCTGGGGTAGGAAGAGATAAGCAATTAAAAAAGGGAAAATTATAAAAGCAAAACAGTAATCCAGCCAATGGTGAGGGGTAGGGATTCAGGGAAAGTGAAAAGAGTTTAGATAATGGCCATATGGCATTTAAAAAGTCAAACGGAAATTGAACTCTACCTGATCATGGGGACCCTCCCATAAGGAGACTAATAGAATTGTGCATTTTTAAGGAAATTACTAACTTTCTCAATACTGCTATATAATACTTCCTTTATTCCACCAGCAAAGCTTTTGTTTGGGCAACTTAGATTAATGAGAAACTAACAGCTTGCATTTGAATATGTTCTAGCAAGTTCACTTTTGTTCTTCTTTGAAAAACACCAGTGATCTTTGGAAAACGGCTTTTATTTTGTGTTTTAAAGCCATTCTCCATCAGGACCTGTGAAAAGAAGCCTCAAGCTCAAGTAAAGACCACCTCAAAGTCACAGCAACCTTTTTGAACCTAACTCTTCACCATCTTGTCTAGTGGGCAGGGGAATCAGTTGTCAGCATTACATACCTACCACAGCTGCATACCAGAGTGAACCTAGGAAACGTTCCCACAGCGGCCAGAATATAATGATCCGAAGTATCAAATTCTACATCTTTCCAAAAAAAAAAAAAAAAAAAAAAGGTCTGTGGTGCACGTGGGGGTAGACTTTGAGAGCTTTTCCAGCAGCAGAGGCGTTTCTGGAACAGCCCTTCTTTGATCTGCCTCCCTATCAAAGGCACCGTTCCTTTGAGGCGGGAGAAAAAACTGATACCTGCAGGCCAGCCTGGGGGAGCCGCACCTGACTTCAGGCTCCCATGTGAAGCCGTCTGTTCTTTATTTTCACTCCGTATGAAGCTAATGGAATTTGCAGTTGATTAACCTCAAATCTGGAGAAGTGATCCAGTCTGGGATTGCAGCTGGCAGGGCTAGGGCTACTTGTACTTCTTAACTGAGTCAGACAGCAACAAGTGTTTTTCCTCAAAAAGTAAAGGCCCAGAGAAATGGGCATGAGAGGGAGAGTCCCACAGCTCCAAGGACAGCCAGCAGGCATGGAGGCAGACTGTCTAGCGTCTGAGCTGCAAAAATAAGATGATGGTGTCTAGCTGACAAATTAAACCAGGAACCTGAGATCCTCTAAAAAAAAATTCACAAATAAATACATGGAGGCTCTGCTCTGTGGAAAGTCAGCAGTGTTGTGGTTAAAGCACGGATGTTGGAGACAAGGACTCCCTGGCTTTGAAATCTGGCTCGCCTACCTATTGCTGTGTGACTCTGAACAAAATACGGAACTTCTCTGTGCTGCACTCTCCTCATCTGTCAATTGGAAGTAATCAAGGAATTTTAATGAGCACTAAATGAATTAATGATGGTAAAGTGCTTAAGAATAGTGCCCATCATAAGCTTATAGATATTTCCTTAAAAAATACATGGATTTGTTTTTAGGAAAATATGCGAATATACATTTTTCTTTTAAAGTCATTACTCTTACTCATAATGCATAAAGAAAAAGTAGAAAATTCTTCATCAGCTTCTAAAAGATAATAGTACAGGTATACTAATATTGTGTTTGGATACATTTTTTACGAAACTAACTCTCACATTAAAATTGATTGAATAAGCAAGTAAAAGACATTGGGTTGTTTCTTATTGTTCCGCATCAGACAGCAAAGGTTGCTGCTGAATTTTCTGAGGGGAAGCTTCCACATATGGTATATTTAGTGCATGAAATGTGGCATTTGGATTCCTGTGTTTTTTTTTAAATTGTCATATAAACAAATAATTCCAAACATATTTCTTCTTCATGGATTTGTTTCTATTTTGCAAATTGTTTCAGGCATCAATAAACAGGATTACACAAATGTGCATACAACTGCAAAACTCATTTAGTTTAGCAAGTGCTTCTCACATATTCATTTACTCAACAATGCTACTTTCAAGTCATGTCAACATTACTCCATTTCTGCCTCATGACTAATACAGTGTTACTTAAACCCATTTCACATCTTACATCCAAGGAATACCACCAACCTTTTTGGTTTGTACCACCTGGTTTCTAATTAAAATTAAATTGAGAAAGAAGCCTTCTGCAGAAGTGTAGATTCTTCCATAGCACACTTATGGGGCCGGCGTCCTCAGCAAGGATTTAAAATATAAGACCACTAATGTGAAAGCTCATTATAGGAAAAAAGCAAAAAGTGAAAAGCACATTAGACCAATTAAGAGGCTGTGAGTGAGAGGCATATGGGTATCCAAGAGTGTGATGCTTTCATTGTCCGTTCTTTCTATCAAGGAGAGTGAAAAGAATTTTTCACTTGTAACATAATACTGTGCCAATTTCAAAAATAGGTCCATAATATATGTGGATGATAGAACAGGGGGAAACACAAACTGAAGCCCCTCACCCTTAGCATAATAATAAGAGAATCTACTATTTTGTGTGTGGCGTCAGAGATTTCCAAACGCTCAACCACTCTAACCACCGTAAACAGGGAAACAATACCCGTTATTCACTCAATTTTCTTGAGCTAAAAAAGGCAAATGATAACAACATATGCTCCAAATGTGACCCATGCAGTTTAGCTTAAAGGCAAAATAAGATAAAAGTCAGCATTGCACACAGAGTTTAAACAGAAACATACGTATCTATACACTTTCTTTCCCTCTCCATATGTTACCCTGTGGTGGGAATTATAATACTGTGCATCACACCTTTCACTCAAGGATCTCAAGCCCCTCTCAGAAATGAACACAAACCCGTAAACCAGCTCTGAGAAGCAGGTGGTGAGTATTATTATTACCATTTTACAAATGGAGACAGTTAGTGTTCCCAACTTCTAGTTGATTGAACTCAAGGCACTGCCACTCTTTATTTGGGGAGGGGAGAGTGTTCCTTCTCTTCTCTCCCCCTCTCTCTCTCTCTCCCTCTGTCTTTAATTTCAGTGACAACACAAATGCATGGTAGCACTTAAAGGTGGCCTTATTCAATGATAGTGTGTAAAAGAGTTTGCTTCCCTTCCATTTACTTTCCTTCATCCCTGAAACTGCCAAATACAACTCTTGATTCTAAGAATGATCTCAAACCTTCTTCCATGTTTCTCTTTTGGATAGAGCTTGGAACACTAACAAGTGAAAGTCACAATCCAGGAAAGTGAGTTCCTGAATTTGATGTTTTCATTACCAAGAGTAAAATGTGGGCAGCTTAGAACTGAAACTGACAAGTAGCACCCTCTGTGATGCAAACTTTTGTGCTGCAGCTGGGGAAGTTGACTTAGACAGCTTTCCAAAGCAGCCTAAACTCTAAATCCAACAAAGAGGGGTATGTTTCATAGCAGTGTTACTCAGGACAGAGCTTCAGTTGAGGTTCTCAGTTACTAAATTTTAACCCAAGCACAACTGCTTAGGAACCTGAGGTCCAAGTGAGCACACAGAGGATGGTTTTGAGAGCAGGCTTCCCAGGGAAAACCAACCTCTGAAGTCAGCAAGTTGGAGCTTATGAATTATGAGCTTCCTACCAGTTTCATGTCCTCTGAAGTTGGGCTTCAATGTGCTATAAAACTGGTCTTGTGTAGATGACATGCTTTCTGAATTTGACACAATCGATTATTGGGAAAAAGAGTTTTTAAAAATTATGAAAGTCAGTTTGCTTTTCAGGTCCATGTATCTACTTGAGAAGAGCTCACTTTGCTGATACCACGTTCATAAAAATTTGTGTTTATGGGAAAGACTATTATACTCCTCATGAGATCCAGCACAGAGTGAAATACATAGAGATGCGGGCTTGAGAAGTCCTAGATTTTTTATTTTTAGGAGGATCATATATAGCCATAAGAGGGAAAAAAACATAAATCAGAGATCCCTCTTCCTCCATTCCCCTGCTTAAAACAAAAAAACATAAAACTACAAAGGAACAAAAAGGTGTATTTGTCTAATAATAATAATAATAATAATAATAATAATAATAATAATAACAGCTAACATTTTTGAGTGTTTATTTCACACCAGGCACTGTGCTAGATACTTTGTAAGCTCACACCCTTTAAAAATTATGAGAAAACTGAGGCTAAGAGGGTTTAAGTAACTTTCTCATGGTCACACAGGAGGTGCTTTTGGACTCTAGGTCTGTTTGCTTTCAGAGTTCATACTCTTAATCACTTCTTATATTGCCTAAGGTCAATTCTTACATTGCCTAAGTTGTTTATGTGAGTTACTATGGTGTAATTAAAATAGGAAGCGAGCGAGGTGGCAAATAGAAGTTACATGTAGAATAATTTCTTTATGAAGACCTGCCTTTCCTCCTCTGGATGGATCTCATCTGAATCAACTTTTACAAGCCTCCTAGAAGTCTAACTGGCTGTATCATAATTGTCTTTGCCTTCTGAGTAACTAAGCCAGTGCTAGTTGCAAGTATAGGCTCAACAGAAGTTTATTTAATAAATCAATAAATGAAATGGCTCTTGGTTCTTTGAAAACACTTTGACCCATCAATGGATTATTGGTGACAACTTTTAAAACAGTGGCTAGCTTTTCCAGGTGTTGAGCCAGCCTCCCCTTTCCTTTAGTCCGTGTGTGTCCATGGCATGTAAAAGGATGGAGCCATTGTGAAAGACAGCACGGTGGTTCTTCAAAAAGCTGAACATAGAATTACCATATGATACAGCAATTGTACTTCTAGTATGTACCCCAAAGAATTGAAAGCAGAGATTTGGACAGATCTCTGCATTCGCATGTTCATAGCGGCATTATGCACAATAGCCAAAAGGGGCAAACAACCCAAATATCCATCAATGGATGAATGAACTAAAAAAAGTGGTGTATATATACGATGGAATATTATTCCTCCTTAATCAGATAGGAAATTCTGACATATGCTACAACACAGATAAACTTTGAACATTATGCTAAGTGAAATAAGACACAAAAGGACAAATATTGTGTGATTCCACTTATATAAGATACCTAGAGTAGCCAAATTCATAGAGACAGAAAGTAGAATGGTGATTGTCATGGGGTGGTGCTGGGGGTGGGAAGGGGAATGCAGAGTTGTTGTTTAATGGGTGCAGAGTTTTAGATGAAACAGTTTTGGCGATGGATAGTGATAATTGTTGCAGAACAATTAAATGCACTTAATGCCACTGAATTGTACACTCAGAAAAGGTTACAATGGTAAATTTTATGTTATGTATATCTGACACAATTAAAACAAAAACCTATCCTCAAAGTCAGTGGGCAGTGGGCTGGATGTGTGAAATTGACGGGAAGCTTGGGACAGACCTAATCTCTCACAATACTACAATGCAGGGGTCCCCAACCCCTGGGCCATGGATTGGTATCCATCAGGTCTGTGGGCTGGTAGGAACTGGGCCGCACAGCAGGAGGTGAACAGTGGGCAAATGAGCATTACCACCTTAGCTCCACCTCCTGTCAAATCAGCGGTGGCACTAGATTCTCTTGCCAACACTATTGTGAACTGTGCATTGAGGGATCTAGGTTGCGAGCTCCTTGTGAGAATCTAACTAATGCCTGATGATCTGAGGTGGAACAGTTTCATCCTGAAACTGCTGCCCCCACCTCCACCGTCTGTGGAAATATTGTCTTCTGTGAAACTGGGTCCTGGTGCTGAAAAGGTTGGGGATTGTTGCTAATGGATTCCCAGTGCCCACCATCATAGGAAGAGTGTGTTTGGCGAGGGTGCTGATGGCCTCTTGGCAAGCTCTCAGGGATGGGGAAGTGGATGGCAGATGCACAGCCCCAAGGGCTTGGTGTTTCCTGAGCCTGTTGGTAGGGTCCACCATCTGGCACACAGGGCTGAGAGTTCCCAATCTCTGCTTTGAACACCTTTTGAATTTGAGTGGGTCTAGGGATACTGTGCATAAAATCTCTGGGCTAACGAGTTGGTTCCCATTTATCACTGCCCTTGGCTTTTAACATGATTTCTGTGCCACACAAAGCAATACCTTTTATCCAAGGTTGACTTACAGGACATCTCTCTTAGGCAAGGTCTCCCTAAGTACAATGAGGGCACTAATAAAGCCAACTGAATCAGATGCCTAATGATTTTTTGAAGATGCAGAATAGCTCCTTTCATGGGAAGTGGTATGATTGTTTAGGAATCTAGAAAACTTTTGTAAAGATGGAAGAGCAAAGTCACAAAACTGAATTCTGATCACTTCAGAAGTAAAGTGTTAGGACTTAAAGCTGCATAGGTAATGATATTCATCTCCTCCTATTTGTATTATTTTCAATATTTTACAGCTTTGCTTTCACATCTACCATTGCCACTAAGCCTTTGAAGGAGGCAAGGCAGAAATTTTTTCTAGTGTACACCTGAGGACACTGCTTAAAGTTCCTTCAGATCAGAGCCTATGCCTTGTTTCCCATTGTATCTTCAGTACTTGGCCTTTCTATCTCAGCTCTGAACATAACAGGTTTTCCAGAAGTTCTTGTTGAATGACTCTGAATATACAAAAAACTTTCAGTTGATTGGTTAAGGTAGTTTAGTAATGACAGCAAGGGCTGAAATTTCTTCAGCTTTCTTTTTCTGTAACATCTTGATATAAACAGTAGTTTTTCCTGCCAAAATCCTTCTGGAGACTCTGTCCACCTGTAAGGTTAAATACATCTTAGCTAACTGGCCACTAGCTTGGTGGGCTGAATGCCCTACTGGTTTCCCCATAAGGAAAAACTGTACATCTTGATCGAAAGCTGGCAAGGTAATGGTATTCCTCTAAGACCCCTCCATGCCACCCTGCACCTCACTGCCCTTCCTCTTGTGCTGAGCTCTCTGATTGGCCAGCTTCTGTCACCCCTTGCTGTCTGCGTCAGGTGATTCCCTGCCTGCCTCTAGACTAGCTGCTGCTGGCCAGACTTCCTTTATCTCTTGGTTTTCTATCGCTGTCTTATCAGGCAACCCCGCTCCTGTTGCATCCTTCCAGGCCTCCCTGCCGGGTGCTGGGCCTTTGGTAGCAAGGCACTCCTCCTCCCTCCCCTGCCCCCATTTGCAGTGAGCTGCTTCTCTCCTTCCCTTCTCTCTATCACAGTCTGCTCTGTTTCCTATTAGGGGAGAGTGCATTTTAAATGTCTCAGCAGCGTCTGTCTCCACAGTTCCTCTGCTCCTACCATCCCCCTCCCAGCCCCTTTCTCAAGTCAGACACTAGAGCGGGTAGCATCAATTTACAGTTTCTGGCCAGATACCAGATGTTCTGGATGGAAGCAAATTGTCATAGAAATGTTTGTAATTTCAGATAAAGATCAATGCTGAAACTGGTAAGGATGGAAAAAAACAAAGGGGAGTACAGTTTTTACTGTTGTTATCACAATTAATAATAGTCCCAAGCAGTCCTTCTTTCTCTCTTTCTTTTTTTCATCCGGTTGGAAATGATTATGAAGTTTCTTTCTGAAGTTTCCCCAGTAGACAGTCTTCATCCTGTCCTGATGTCCACAGTAACATAGCTGAGAAAGGGTTTTTGTTAGATAGTAGAGAAAAGTGATAGGTAGTATCTCCAGGAGAAACCTTTGTTTTAATGAAAAGTTGTCATAGACTCTTAGGGATGGTACATGGAAGGTAATGCTGAAACAATCCAGTCTAAACACTTAATTTTGAAGATGAGGAGACTGAAATTGAGGCTTATAAAAAATAAAGTAACTGGCCCAAAGTTACACAAGATTGAGAAATGTTGCTTATTATAAAATTGTTCTTGGAGAGTCACAAAATGTAATAGCATGCTAAAGACACTGATATTCAGCAGTCAATAAATAAGTTTAACTTTAGCACATTTAGCTGATTTAGCACATTCCTAATCTATTTCACCATGGAAACTTTATTTTCTCCAGGTGATTAGGAATTAGGGTTCTGCAGAATATACTTTTGGAAAATCTGGCTTAACGTAACAAAGATCAGCACTGTCTCTACTCATAGAGGTTTTTAAATGGTATATTTGCATCCAAACAAAGATGCTTCATAAATAACTGGAATTATTCTGGAAATGATTCGGGGGACTTATAGAAAATACCGTGCCATTCCTCTGTGTTCTTTGGAGATGGTTGCTGGAGGTAACAAAACTCTCACATTGGTTTGGGGACATGTGACTAATGTTGATGTTAACTCCAAAGGCAGAAAACAACTCTTACTGTGGCACATCCAATAAGTGCTGTCTTACGAAGTTACAGGGGGAAGCCCAGGAGGAAAAATTCAAGTGAAGATTAGGTGAAATAAAAGTAACCAGAGTTAGTATGCTCCAGATTTGAAAAATGATAGCTGCTTATCTGTGCACATTTACCAGGGACTGAAGACAAGAACAAATATTCTGTGATATTTCAAGTTTTTAGAGGTGAGATAGTAGAATCAATAGTGAGTTTTTGAAAGCAGAAGTGGATGATATTTGTCTTTAGACCTTTATGCCTCTGATTTCCAATTGCTTCTGCTTCTTTCTTTTGGCCTTCTCTCTCCTTCCTTGGTGGGTGCAGGGTGGGTGAACCAACCCAAACATTCACATTTGCTCAGGCTATCCTGACACTCCACTGGGATCTAAGAACTGATCTAGTAAACTGATTCACTCATAAGGGAAAGGACATGCTGTGCCCACAGGTGGCATTTTAGCCATGTGATAGCTTGTTATAGAAAGAATTGAGACTCTGCACCTATTTAGAGCATAGGTAACTACCTACCCCACCTATGTGGGATCATTGAGAAAATAATGTGATCAAGGCAAAATGGTGGACTAAAGGGAAAGAGCTAGGCAAGCAATAGGTCAAATAAGTCATTGCCCTCATTTTCAAGAGCAGAGGTTTGGGGCAACTTCAGTTCCTCAGAACCCTGATCCACAAGAGAAGTATGACACCATTCTTATGCTCTTGCAGATGATGGCAAAGGGAGAGAACAGACAGCATTCAAAAAAGACAGTGATGTGGCAGTAACCAGATCTGTAGCCCTCACTAATACCAAAGTCACAGGCACTCACACACTCACACATGAAGGATCACTCAGTCCACCACTGTAGTACAGCACAGAAGGTATAGCACAATGAGGGTGGAGAGGAGTTTGATCAACAATTTGAGTAGATGAGAGATTATGCATCTCTTAATGAGCTTTTATAGATATTGTTGTAAGCTTAAATTCATATTGGTGAATTTCATTTTAATTTGTCTCATGGCAGACCTCATTTAATCCACACAGCCTGTAGTAGTAAAAGAATTCATTCAAAAGCAAAATAAACAAAATTCCTTTATTATTCTGAACGAATTTTTTTGTTTTTCTATTTTACTTTTTTAGAGACAGGGTCTCACTCTGTCACTCAAGCTAGAATGCGGTGGCACAATCATAGCTCACTGTAACCTTAAACTCCTGGACTCAAGTGATCTTCCCACCTCAGCCTCCCAAGTAGCCAAGACTACAGACGCATGCCACCATGCTCAGCTAATTTTTGTTTTAGTTTGGAGAAAAGAGGTCTTGCTATGTTGCCCAGGCTGGTCTCGAACTCCTGGGCTCAAGTGATCCTCCTGCTTCAACTTCTCAAAGTGCTGAGATTACAGGCGTGAGCCCCCGTCCCTGGCCTCTGAATGAAATTAAGTAGAAATGTGTATATTTCCCTTGCTTTCTAATTACTGTAATAGGAAAATAGGCAACCATAAGTATAGAAAATGAAATCAGTTTTTCTCAAAAATGTTACTTGCTGTATCAAAATTAACTGGGAAGACACTTCAAAGCATATCTGCTTGCCACCCCACCCCATCTTGGATGGCGTATCAGAGTCTGTGGGCTATGGGCATGTGTGGAGGGGGATCTCCAACTCCTAGGTGTGCTTATAATGCCCTGTTCTAGAACCACTTTTAGGAGATTTGTCTCTAGCTTAGTTTTAAAGAAAGACCATGGGATTTGGGACCATCTTGGAGTAGTTTTATGATATGGGGAGATTTATTAACTCTTTGAATCTCAGTTCTTTTGTCTGGAAAATGGAGATAACAATACTTAACACTTGAAAGGGTGCAGATCAGTGTGTTTGACAACATCAAGCAAGTGCCTGACACACAGTATAGTGTTCAATAACTGTGAATTTCCTCCTATTTCTAAATTGAACATTATATATAGTCACAAATTGATGCTCAGAAACCTGACTCTGAACTCTGCAAATCCTTATGCATTAAATAAAGATTCAAACTTAATTCCTTGTTGAGGCAGAAAAGTATGCTGTTGTTTTTGGGTTAACTTTCAGTTAACTAGAAAATAAAATCAAGTAGAGTAGCTCTTGCCTAGAAATGCTAATTGGCTGAGATATTTTTGTAGCTATTGACAAGTGCCCAGAGGATAAATCTAAGGCAACAATTTGGCTCAGGAAAGGCAAAAGGTCTATACATAATATTAAAGTTATTCAGAATTAACTCTTTCCAAGCACAGAGTGTGCCCTCCTTTTGAGAATTTTAAGAGTTGTCTCTTACATTTATATATAATTTTGAACTTAAAATGTTTATTTTCTGCTATGTAAATTCCAGCAAGCTCCAGCAAAGCAACAAACAGACAAACCTAATACTTCAGGATTTTGACATGAATGTCATTGGAAGTATAAGTCAATTTGAGGGAAAATTGTTACATTTGAAACATTTAGGATATAGTATGTTATATCCCCACACTGGAGATATGTTTAATCAACTCTTCTTAGTAATGACTTATAGTTTATTCATTTAAGTTGCACATATTTCTTCTTGGGGTTACTTCTAGGTATTTTATAATTTTGTTTTTGTTACTACTGGGAGTGGAGTCATTTTTCCATATGTTTTTTAACTGCCATTGTTTTCTATAATTAGCTTGTGGCTATCATTTTAGTACTCTATCTTATTAATTTCAACTGGTGCTTTTGGATTTTCTAAGTATTTAATCAGGTCATCTGAAAATAATAATTCTTTAGTCTTCCTTAATAATTACACCTGTATTTCTGTTTCATATCATTGGAGATGGTCAGAATTTCTTCAACATTAAATAGTAATGGTGACTGTGGCCGGGTGTTGTGTCTCACGCATGTAATCCCAGTGCTTTGGGAGGCCAAGGCAGGCAGATCACTTGAGGTCAGGAGTTTGAGACCAGCATGGCTAATATGGCAAAACCCCACCTCTACAAAAAATACAAAAATTATCTGGGCATGGTGGTACATGGTTGTAGTCCCAGCTACTTGGGAGGCTGAGGCAGGAGAATTGCTTGAACCTGGGTGGCAGAGGTTGCTGTGAACTGAGATTGTGCCTCTGCAGTCCAGCCTGGGCAACAGAGTGAGACTCCATCTCAACGACAAAAAAAAAAAAAAAAAAAAAAAGGAAAAAAAAATGAGAAAGAAAAAGAAAAAATAGTAAGGGTGATTGTGGGCATCCTTACATTGTTATTGCTTTTAATGGCAATAATTCTTGTTTTGTCATTAAGTATGATGTTGACAATTCTCTGTTACTTCCTAGCTTTATTGCATATGACTAGACAAGAAAGCCTGTGCAATTTTCACTTTTGGAATATATTGGGGTGTGTGTGTGTGTGTGTGTGTGTGTGTGTGTATGTCCACACATCTGCATAACACAGTAAATTTTTGGTTAAGGTTTTAAAAATACTTTTCAAGGTGCCATATTCTCTGTTTATAGAGGCCAACATTTTCTAGGAGCCTTAATAGTATTAATTATATTTACTCAAATTGTCCATGTCATTATTTCTTGCCTAATGAAAACTATCAAAATTAAATAAATCTGTGTTAAAATTACATGCAAACCAGTTGTGGTCTTGTCAGTTTCTCTCTGCTTTTCTAATAGTTTTAAATTTATATCATTTGATATTAGGTTAGTTGGTGCATGAAGAGACTAATTACTACTGTAACTTCATTATCTCATTTTCCAATTTATCAACATAAGTAATATAAATAGTAGATGATATACACATAATCTATTTGCTCTTATTTAATTGCTTTTGCTTTGAAGCCTGCTTTGCCAGAAATTATCACTTCTATTTTTCATTTTATTGTTTTCAATACCTCTTTGCCATTCTTTTTATTTTTAATGTGAACACTTTTGTTTTAGATATGCCTACTGAACGCAGCAGATATTTGGATTTAATTTTTTACTCCAGTTTGAGAACTTTTGTTTCCTAATAAAGGGGATTTAAGCCATCTGTATTTACTGTCAGATGGGTTGCTTTGTTAACTTCTGTTGTTCTGTTCTACATGGTTTTCTTTTTTTCTTTCTTCCTTTCTTTCTTTCTTTTTCTTTCTTTCTTCCTTCCTTCCTTTCTTTCTTTCTTTCTTTCTTTCTTTCTTTCTTTCTTTCTTTCTTTCTTTCTTTCTTTCTTTCTTTTTCTTTCTTTCTTTTCTATTTTGCTTTAGGAGTTTGATATATGGAATGCCCTGTGTGTTTTTAACTTCCTTAGTAATTGGGAAGGTTTATATCCTCTTTTCAACTTCACTTTAGTTTTCCAGAAGTCAGTTTTTGATCTTAATTTTTCTAATTATCAGATTCAACAATTAAATATAATTTTAGAATCTCTTCTATGTGAGATAAGACAGTGAAATTTTACTCCCCTTCCTAGTCCATTTTGTAAGCAATTCTTTTTTCTGTTTCTGGAAAGCAGGCTGAGTTCAGGTGTGGATTGCTCATTTATTTTGGCCTGGAATAAAGTAAACTTGGCTAAGTCTATTAATGTTTTGCATGTGCATCCTTTTTTACCCTCTTCTAGTTCAGAAAGTTTTTTTTCCTTCTGTTATGTCTTTGATTGTTGTTTCCTATTCAATTGTTCTGGTTTTCTTTGGAAACACCCTTGTAATTCTTGAGTTGGATCTTCACTTTCTGGGATAGGTGTCATTCTCTTTCATGTGTGTTTTATGCTTTGGGTAATTTGTCTGTGTCTGGGAAAGTTATTGGAAGTATGACTTTCAAATTACTGATCAATTTTCACAGGGTTAATTCTGCTCCATAGCAGTCTTAATACTGCTAATGCATTATTAGTTTTCTTGCATTGCTAGTTTGTCACTCTCATTTAAAATTCTACCCCCTAGTTTTTATTTCTTATTTTCTTCTAATGGCTTTTGACTCTTGTTTTAAAGAACAGAAATTTTAAATCTGTTTCTTACAGTTTTTATACTTAACGATTTTCAGATATTTTCATTCTGAGTCACCCTTTGCTTTTCTTCAGCAGCATGTAACACTTTTCATTTTTGCAGTGGAAAAATACAAAATTTTTATCCATTTTCAGATGTGGAGAGAATTATCTGGACTTAGTATTTACTTACATTTGGGTATGTAGATTGTTCCTGGTAATCCATCCACTCTCCATTTGGGGTCTGGTGAATCCTCTTCCCAGATTTATAGCTGTACATAAGATTGATCTTCTGGTCTGATTTCCAGTGTAGTAGGACCTTTCTGCTATTCTGCTTGTCTGTGTTAAGAATTTTTTTGTAACCCAGTGCTTGACTCCCTAACAGTCAGAGCAGATGGAATATATACAATTATAATTCCCAGCATGCATGTATACTAGGACTTTCTCCATTTCTTGACTGTCTTTTGGGTTTTACTAGTGGGACCACACTTCAGATGATGCAGCGTGTCACTGCTGGCTTCCCTGCCACCCTTACTTAATTGTTTTGTGGTAGTTACGTTATCTGAATGAGTGCAGAAATGTTAGTGGCAAAACAGGAATGGCTATCTCTATGTGTTTTAGAATCTGTGTTTTTGAATTAGCAGACAGACAGTGTAGATACCACCAAAAATCTCCTATCTATTTCTGTGAGCACATGGGCCTTTTATTTTATTTTTGCAGCATAGCAGTCATGGGCCACTAATTGTATGTTTCTATTCAATATCACAGACATGTAGTTAGTGACAATTCCTACCAGAATTGTCAGTGAGTCCATTTTTGGTACCAGTTGTCAGCATTTTAAAGATGTCCTGTCTTCTTTCATGTCTTAAGTATTACAAGGTTGGAAAGGTTCCATTAGGGCCTCCTAGCTAGAAGCCCGTTCAAACCAGAGGTCTCCAATTCTTTTAACTGACTTAGCATTGAGAGGGGCTAAAGGGGCTTAATTATTACACTTTCCAGGTCTTTAGTTCTGCAACCTTAAGTCCTGGATCCCCATGACAACTTTGTGGTTATTATTCTCCATGTGCAAAACTATTAATGATATGATTAATAACTAATGTAAATTTTAAACAACAAACATTAATATAACAACATATTAAATTAGTTAGTATATCCAGGTGGTTCAGGCTATAAATTTTAGAGTATGAGTTTTGGGCCAAGGTTCAAGTCCTATACCTGTCACCTACTAGATTTTTGAATCAACCTTAGGTAGGGTTACTTAACATCTTGGCTGCTAATCTATAAAATGTGAATACTTCATAGGGCTATTGTGGGAGAAAAATGATGTAAGACAAGTGAAATAGTCAGTAGAGATCCTAGCCCATGGATGTGTTCAATATATGCAATCTATTACTATTATTTTTAATATTATTATTGAACACATTCTTAAAGTTTCCTAACATAGTTTTCTTGAATAATGAAATAAAATAAACTCAAGATTAATAGATGCATTTTGATTCTATCTCCCGAGGGAACAAAAGGTCGTGGATATTCCAAAAAAACTGTTGACTAAAGGTTGTTGAGCTGAACCTGTGACAATTCCAAGTAGCAAAAGCATGCTTGTAGCTCTGCATGAATTTAAGTGACACAGGAAGTTTTCTATAGGCCTCTCTCACTGAGTAATCATCTTGGGAAGTAGAATTGTACCTTGAGAAGGGACCACATCTGCTTGGATGAAGTTTTTATCATAAATGCAGAATTTCTACAGTGTGGGATAATTTATTGTTAGTTGGATGTTTTTCGTAAATTTTCTGTTACAGAGAAGATGTCTTAGACACATGGCACTTGTGTTAGGCAAATTCAGTTGTTGGGGCCGATTAATCTAACACAGTGGGAAAGTGATTTCTTTGCTTCAAAATCCAAATATACCATCTTGAGTAAAAATGTTTGTTAGATATTCTTTAACCACCTTGCTAACTTTTTTTTTTTTTTTTTTTTTGAGACAGTGTCTTGCTCTGTTGCCCAGGTTGGAGTGCAATGGCATGGTCTCGGCTCACTGCAACCTCTGCCTCTGGGGTTTAAGTGATTGTCCTGCCTCAGCCTCCCAAGTAGCTGGGATTACAGGCACCCACCACTACACCCGGCTAATTTTTTTTTGTATTTTCAGTGGAGACGGGTTTCACCATGTTAGTCAGGCTGGTCTCGAACTCCTGACCTCAGGTGATACGCCCGCCTTGGCCTCCCAAAGTGCTGGGATTACAGGTGTGAGCCACCATGCCCGGCCCCAGCTTGCTAACTTTCTAGGCCCCTGAATATTAATCTCTTAAAACACTATAGTTACCAAAATAATAATGATGATAATGATGAAAATGATTACAATCTTAATAGCTGATCTTTATTAAGAGTATGACATGTGTTAGGCAATATTCTCAGTGACTTATACGGATAATTTAATCCTTACAACAACCCATGAGGCAGGTACTAGCATTTGTCCAACTTACAGGTGAGTAGATTAAGCAATTTGCCTGAGGTCACATTGCCTGTGAGTTGTGGAGAAGGAATTCAAAATGTGCATTCTCATTCCAGAGTGTGTGCTCTTAAACTAAACTCTCTTTATTAATTTCTCACTCTTCTTCCCCTTACAAACACATGCACATCCCTTCAATGATCAATACTTGAAGTCATTGTTGACTAGGTGTGTTGAACTACTTCTCCTTTCCCCCATATGGCCCATGGTGAAGAGAAGATAAAGAAATGGCCATGAGGGCTGGGCACGGTGGCTCATGCCTATAATCCCAGCACTTTGGGAGGCCAAGGCGGGCAGATCACGAGGTCAGGAGATCGAGACCATCCTGACTAACATGGTGAAACCCCGTCTCTACTAAAAATACAATAAATTAGCTGGGCGTGGTGGCAGGTGCCTGTAGTTCCAGCTACTCAGGAAGCTGAGGCAGGAGAACGGTGTGAACTTGGGAGGTGGAGCTTGCAGTGAGCAGAGATCGCGCCACTACGCTCCAGTCAGGGAGATAGAGCTAGACTCTATCTAAAAAAAAAAAAAAAGAAAAAGAAAAGGCCATGAGGATTTTGGTAGAATGTGTCTATTTGCAGCCTGTGTTTTTAGGCTTAGCAATAGTAGCCTCTTCTATTTGGATCCCACTTTTTTAATTTTCAGAGAGGCTTTTTCTCCCTGTTGATTCATTTGATCTTTGAAACAGCCTCATGAACCATAGGAAAAATGACACTATTATTTTAAAGATGACAAAACTGACAACCAGAAAGCTTAAGGGGCTTTTTAAAGGCCATACAGATTACTGGAAGAAGATTTGGGACCATTTATAATATTGAAAGTAATAATAAAGCATTTATTAAATGTTTACCGTGTGCGAAATACCATGCTAATCACATCAGTGGCATTAACTCATATAACGCTCCACAGTCATAGACGTGAAATCACATGGCTGAAGTCCATTCCTAGCACATGACAGAGCCAGGTCCCAAACCCGGGGTGGGGCTCTCAGCTCTTTAGTCTCTAATTTCTGTTTTACTAGAGAGAAATGGATTTTCTTTAAAGACATAAAAGGGGACTTTATCCACATTAAAACACCTTTCTGTTTGTGGCAAATATTAATTATGACAACAATGGTTAATAATATCTCGGTGTTCACTATGGCAGCCACTCTACTGTCTATGTGCTTATTCAATCAATGAATATTTACTTACCACCCAGGTTCTGTCCTGGATGCAAGAAAACATGTATGAGTAAGACATTGTCTTTCGTGGAGCTTATATTATTTTGGGAGAAACATAAAGTAACCCAATAGTCACACATATTTATAAGCATAACAGCTCTATTTGTTTATATAAAGGAACATCTGGAATGTTCTGAGAGTTTATCAGTAGTGTCCTTTGATAAAGTCTGGGGATAGGGAAGTTTTCATGAAAAGGCCACATTCATATTGGGAATGGTGTAGAAGTGTTAACTACAAAGAGAGGAATGTTTCTAGGGAAAGCAGATTAATATGGGTAAGATTTGAGATTTTGGGGGTTTTGAGGAACTCACAGAAGATTAACTGGCTAGAGTATGTTTAGGGAGAAGAAGAATGACTCAAGACAGGCTTGGAAAGGCAAAACTACGCAGGTCTCATTAAGGATTTTGCTCTTTATCTAGGAGGAAGAGTAATCCATTGAAATGATGATTACGTGTGTCTGGAAAGATCTTTTAGCCTTAAGTGTAAAGAATAAATTGTGGAGGGCAAGGATGCCATGAGACCAGTTAGGAAGCTACTATGGTAATGTGGGCTAGACAGAGAGTAGCTTAGATGGGGGAAGAGTGGAGGAGATGGGGAGAGTGGATGGATTTAGGAATTACCTAAGAGGTAAATTTATCAGGATTTATTTGGGATTAGATGTTGGGTAAGCAAGAGGAAGGTGTGAGAATTCTTCCCAGATTTCTGGACTATGCAATATGCATTGTTTCATCTAATCCTCCTAATGCACTATGATTATTTTATTTCCAATTTGAAGACACAAACAGATTCAGAATGTCACTGTCCATCCCATGGTTATATACAGCACATCCACGGCAGAGCCAGGATTTGACCAGTGTGCTTAATCAGAAATTGGTGCTTCTGACAGCTGCTACACTGGGAAATGGGAAATAGGAAGAACTACCTGACCCACTATAGAAATAGGAGTCTTGGCCAGGAGTGGTGACTCACGCTTGTAGTGTCAGCACTTTGGGGGGCTCAAGGAGGGGGACTGCTGGAGCCCCGGAGTTCAAGATCAGCCTGGGCAACATGGCGAAACTCCATGTCTACAAAACATACAAAAAATTAGCTGGGGGTGGTGGTGCGTACCTGTAGTCCCAGCTACTCAGAGAGGCTGAGGTGGGAGGATCTCCTGAGCCCGGGAAGTAGAGGTTGCAGTGAGCTGTGATTGTGCCACTGCATTCCCGCCCCACCCTGGTGACGGAGTGAGACCCTGTCTCAAAATAAATAAATAAATAAATAAATAAATAAAGTCTTAAAAACAATAATTGAGCCATTGAGTATGGACTTTAATGAAAAAAATGGGCACCATTCTACTTTGAATATATGTACATCCTCAAAGACCAGTCTTATGACATCTGCTACTGCCATTCTTACGAGATCAGTGAGAAACGGACTAATATCTTTAGTGAGTATGATTTTGTTAAATGTTATTTTATAAGTAAAAAATACATGTTCATTGAAGAAAAATTAAAAGATACAGAAAAGCCAAAAGAAAAAAAAAATGAAAATCTCATGTTAACCTATAACTGAAGAGAAGGAGAAAATGCTTGCTTGGTTTTAGTTAAATAATAGCATACACTATGATTCTCTACCATGGGTATTTAGCAGGAAGCTCACTAGAGGCCTCAATTCCAGACCCAAAATTTTGTCAATACTTCGACTTTGGAAGAATTTTAGCCTTTAGGGCTCCAGTCTTCTCCTTTACAAAATGATGTGAAATGTTGCCCGCATTTAATTATCACAGTCTTTTTTTGAGCCTTAGAGCATGACAGTGCTGGACCTATTAGCATTATCACAGCATAGGAGAACTTAGCTTTGGGGGTTCTCAGACTATTTACTGGCTTCTTCAGCCCTATGACTCAGTTTCCTCATTGGTGGAGTGGAAACAATGATATTGACGTCAAAGGGATGTTTTGAGAAAAGCTCCCATGTGTGTAGAGCACTTGCTGGGCTCAGTGCCTACACAGAGCAAGCAGTCAACACACAGGCATCACAAATCTCCATCAACACATGGCAGGCAGCAGTTTGCTGGATAGTCTACCTCTTGTAGTCTTGAGGCTCCTGCTCTGGGGGAAGCAGAGTCCTGGAAGACCCACTAGCCCTTCTTGCCCTCACTTCCCCAACTTCACCTCCTACTGAACTACACTGTTTTGTTTTTGGGGGGTGGGGTGGGGTGGTGTGGGCGGGTAGGGAGGTGATACTTGCCAAAGGCTAGGCACTGGAGATATGACGTGTAGGACCCTAGTCTTTATTCTTAAGCAACAAGCAATGTAGTGGGGTTGGATAGTAAAGAGAAAAACTCCAACACAATTTAATCACTGTCATAGTACTATGAGCAAGCAGCTGTGAGGCCAGAGGGAGGGGGCGGGGAAGTGACTCATTTTGCCTGAAGGGACCTGAGAAGGCTTCAGGGAGAAGCCTTCATTTGTATGTAGCCTGGCAGGAAGGGTACAGTTTGTTGGGTGGAGAAAATGGGCATGAGCATCAGCCTGAGTGCTAGGGAAGAATCTTTTCCTGGAACTCATAGTCCATGAGACCCTACGGATTCCAAATCCATGGATGAAAAATCTGGGGCCAGAGTAGAGGGAAATGGAGTGGGCAGGTAAGGCTCTGCTGGTCTCTATCATCACCAGGCTTCTTTTTCTGCATCCCCTATGAATCCTCCAACATCTCCCAACATCTCTAGTCTGCCAAGTGTCTTTCCTGCGCCAGGGCCCCTTTTCCTATTTTAGATACTGACATGGTCCTCTGCCTCTCTTCTCCCACCCACAAAAGTCTGCCAGGAAGAAAAGATCAGACGTGAATGGTTTAACCTGTAGTGTAGTAATTTATGTGGGTTACATTGCTGTAATCCCTTTCCCATGTAACGTTTAAGTTTCTTTCCTCTTGTAGAATAAAACACTTTGATGCCAGAACCTCATTCTATCTTCTGATCCATGGTGTATGCACAATAGCTTTAGGCCCCAGGCAGCAGATGCATTCTGTTTGGTTAGTACAGTGTTGTATTCACTGTTGTTGTTTGTGGTAAATCACTTTCCAGTTTGTCACAGACCCCACCCCGCCCTACACACCCCTGTGTGTACTTATCACAGCCCCACTGCCTCTTCCACTTAGCTGACCTGCCTGGTCTGAAGACGTGTGCATTTGTGCTCCCCATTTTTAGCTTTGTTATTTCTTGACTTTTCATTGAGAAATTATATCAACCCCTCCTATAGTTATTCCCCCCTAGGTCAATTATTTATCTTTTTTTTTCTTATGCAGTTCTGCCAACAATACTGTATTGACTTGGACCTCAGTATTGGGCAATGTATTACAAGCATGCAAAGATTCCTTACTGTTTATTAGGACGGAGTTCAGGCTATGACACCTGATAACAGGGCGTTTCTCGCATACTTACAAAAACGAGAACTGAAGTTGCCATTTTTCTTTTTTTCTTTTTGAGATGGAGTTTCGCTCTTTCTCCCAGGCTGGGGTGCAGTGGCACTATCTCAGCTCACTGCAACCTCCGCCTTCTAGTTTCAAGCGATTCTCCTGCCTCAGCCTTCCGAGTAGCTGGGATTACAGGCGCCCGCCACCACGCTGGGCTAATTTTTGTGTTTTTAGTAGAGACGGGGTTTCACCATGTTTCTCAGGCTGGTGTGTAACTCCTGACCTCGTGATCCGCCCGCCTCGGCCTCCCCAAGTGCTGGGATTACAGGCGTGAGCCATCGCGCCCGGCCGCCATTTTTCTTAAAGTGAGACACAACGAAACAATATGTGATAATTTTACAGGAGTCCACCGTCAAATGTGGTTTCACTTTCTGCAGCTTCAGTTACCTGAGGTCAACCTCAGTCTGCAAATAGGTGAGTCCAGTCCAATAAGATATTCTGAGTGAGCAAGCGAGCATGTTCACATACCCTTTTTTTATAGTATAGTGTTATAATTGTTCTATTATTAGTTATTGTTAATCCCTTACTAGCCCCAATTTCTAAATTAAACTTTATCATAGGTATGTATGTGTAGAAAAAAATAGTATACATAGGATTCTGTACTATCTGTGATTTCAGGCATCCGCGAGGGGTCTTGGAATGTATCCTCCTTGGATAAGGTGGGATGACTGTAATTGATTCTTAAATGAATAGATGAAATCAATTATTTAGCCGACACTGTTTGTCTTTTCAACATTTGAAGAGGGCTTATCAAACCCAGCCGCTAAGGCATTTCCTCCGCAGGACTGAAAAGCACACATCTGTGAAGGAGAGGGGTTGAAGGATATTTGGGAGTTGGGGGAGGCAGATGGGATCATTCTCGGAACAAAAATGTTCTCATCTCCTAGATGAGTTTAGACTTTGTCTACACCAAGGTCACGTGGGGGAGATGGGATGTGTAATGTGATATTTATTTGGCAACGTATGTGGCCAGCCACATACATTGTGTGCTCAATTCAGCTTACAAGTGCCGGCTCCCGGCTCTGAGGGCCCCATGTGCTTTGACTTGGTGGAAGGCTGCTCTGCCAGGGTTTACGCATCCCTACCTCTGACCCGGTCATTATTCCCAATTATCATCCATTTAAAATAGTCAGCAGGGCAATAGCATGTGCACATCAAGGATCACAAAAGGAACTTGGGTTAGGAGGAATAAGAAATCTGTCCCACATGTGGCACTATTAAAAAGCTCTGGCTGAGACACACTGTTTATAGTCAGCAGTTGTCTGGAAAATAGATGTTTACTTGTAATGCGTGTATTAAGATCTTTGCCATTAGGCAATATATATCCTGGGTTGTGTCTTCTCCTACAGAAAACTCTACATTGGGACAAACCTTTAATTAGCAATTCTGTGGCAACAAAAAGTATTCAACACCAATACTGTTATATGTTGGCATTTCTGCTTATTATAAAAAAGGGAGACAGAGAGCCAAAACCTGGAACTTTTCTTTGGAAGGATGGCCTCTTTTTTTTTTTTTCTTTAATGGAATGCTCCATTTAAAACTGTAAGTGAAATATTTGCTAAATAAAGATTAAATTACTAACAGAAAAAAAAGTTCTCAATATTTGGCAAGAACTTAGACACACTGGGTTTCCCTGACCCGTGCATGCACCTTCTGATGAAAAGGTGCATTTTAATATGCCTAGGTGCATTCTTTGCATCAGACTCTCTCATCTGTCTAATGAATTTCTTTTGTTGGTGATGAGACTAGCTTTTCTGCTTCAGAACAGAAACATGGACAATGCTTCTGGAACAGGGACCAGGCACCACAAGACTTGTGTCCTATTCTTGCTTTTGACACAATATACATTTTTTCTGCCTCTATTATCTTAGCAAACAGACTTGTGCCCCTTGAATACCATCCTACGAAGGGATGATCCTACTTCTGTGAAGTTCTGAATAACATTACATTCTAGTGCTAAAATAATGAATTAACTTCAGACAAATTTGGTCTAAGATTAAGCAAGTGGACTCTATAGTCTGGGTGGCCTATCCTCGGCCTGGGCATATCCTTGGGCAGTGGGCAATGTTTTCTTAGTCTTGGTTCTTGTATATATAAAGCGGGACAATAATGCTTACTTCATAGGTTTGTGGTGAAGATTAAATGAAAAATAAAAAAAAATGTAAAGCCCCTAGCACAGATTCTCACAGATAGTTATCAATCAATGTTATTCATTAGGTGCGGAGGGATTCCCTAGTGTTTTTAAAACTTGAATGATGGCAGCTGGCAGAAGCAGCCACTGATTTTCACCCCCTCTGGCCCTTAGTAGGGGCCTAATACATATTTGGTGAATAGGTGAAGGAATAAAGGGCTACCAGAACAAGCCCCTAAATGTTAACTCCCAGCTCTACCAGTCTAAGCAACCAGCTCATTTTGCCAGATCACACACTCCTCTTCATCTTCTATATCTCTCAGTAGAACCCACCATTGCAATTAGAAGCAGGAAAAATGGTCACATATTCATCTAGAACTCTCTTAAGCCAAATCAACAAATACTTATTGAGGGCAACAGAGGTGAGCAGAGTGAGGTCAGGAATGATAATTCTCAGCATGGTTTCCAGAGCACGGCTCTGCAAAGATATACGACACAGTAAAAATCTAGAACAGTGTTTTGTTTTCGTAATTTATTTTTAATTTTAAATGATCTGATGGCATAAGATGAATCCTTACCCTCTTGTCCTGATCTGCTATTTCATTCCCTGCTAAGCACCCATTTCATCATATATGCTCACCTGGAACATTCAGACCTGCTGCCACAGTTAGAAAGATTCCTTTCTCAGTTGGTGCCAAAGGGATCTCAAAATGGTTTTGAATGCCTGTTAGATTAACACCCTCACTCCTTATGGGTACCCTTCTCTATTCATTCACTAATATGGGTGTTTGGAATTTGAGGAAAATGGACTGCATTAGGGCTACTGCAATCTATTTTTCATTTTCAAAATAGTGCGTCTTGCTTTCTCCCTTACAGTATTTCATTGTTTGCTTGGTTTCACAGAACTGTTTTGGTAAGAAAGTTTTGAGAGTATCCTGGGATTACAGTCTTTGAATGAACTTTCATACCCATAGTATAAGCCCCTTTGGTTTAAAACTATCCCACTTAAAAGCGTCTACTTATAACTACCAGCTGCTGGTTCTTTTCTGTTCCTACTCATGAATGCACATGCAGACACATACAGATACATGTGCATGCCTGGTTGCGCGTGTACACACACACACGCACACCCTCACATGCACTGTATATATGTAAACATCCAGAAGAAACAATGCATTGTAAAAATTGTCCTGTTGAGTTTGTAATCTAGAGTGAGTTACTGAGTGCTGATAAGTAAAGGAAGTGCAACCAGACAGTTTAATCCTCCAATTTCCTGTCTTCTAATCAGCCCCTGACTCTTTTGGTTTTAAATTAGAAACATTCCTGTCAATATTCAGTACAGGTGAAGGAAAATCAACTAGAAAATAAGTAAGGACAAAGCATTTATTTCACTGTCTAAAGTTCACAGGGGAAATATGAGTATAACAACAGGAAATCAAGATTTTTAAAAAGATAGTAGAAGTACATAGGCTTGCTTAAGTAACCAATCACAATTCTGAATGAAGTACATTTGGATCGTAATTTGATTTAAAGAAAAAAAAATAGGAACATAGTTCAATGTATCCCTAAAAATAGTAAATGGTACTTTAAAAGATGTTGTACAAGGCTAACCTAAAAGAAAATGATAAGGATAACTTCTTAATATATGTGAGAGGGAAAAAAAACCTATCCCATTCAGATTTTGCTTGCAGTCTGCTTATACTGTGAGAAAATAATGTTGGAGTGTACAGAAATCTTGTAAGTTAATGCATATTCTTAGAAATTAATATACTTACATATATTTATAATGGTCGATAAAAATTGTGCATTTAAAAATAAGCTCAGGTAGAGCCACTGCACTGCAAATATCTGCAAAATATCTGTGAAAATACTTAAAAATAGAGTTTGCAAATGCATTAAATAGAAAGTGTATAAATATGTTTACCATGGACTCTTTAAAAATATGCTGAGTGCTGAGAATATGATATGGTTTATAATTTATTGAATCTCCTCATTTTGAGTCTTTTTATTTATAGATATTTTAGCAATTTCCTAGTTTATCATAAAAGCATAAGTGCAAATTTATAGACAAATCTCCATTAGGCAATATCTTCAAATAATTATAACAAACAATCATTAAGAAGAGTTGTTCAGCTGAGAATTTTGAAAATTGAAATGGTAAATACAACGTAATATGTGAATCCAACACATCTTAACAACAACAAAGATTTCCGTGAAATATGTGTTCTTAATTTTGTGTCTGCAGTGGTTAAAGCTGCCAATCATTTGGGAAGTAGGCTGGAGTTGAGTTTTTTTTTTTTTTGAATTGTTGAACATAGTAAGGCAGTATTTCATAGAAGTATCTTGCTATTTTTTACATGTGTACTTTAAAAAGTAGGCATTTGTACCACAAGGCACAGCATATTCTTTTTGCCCAAGTGTTTTCCTGGTATGCAAAGTTTGAGTTGTACAAGTTTGAGTAAGTGACAGACAGTTCTTGATTTTAAAACTGTATGTCAAATTTTTGAAAGAGAATGCTCCCAAAATAAGTGCTTCAGGACCTAGCATGGGGTGAGGGGGCTGTAGGATAATTTAGTTGCCTTCATTTCACAGTCACTATGAGTTTTTAAATTGGAGGGCAGAAGCAAGACAAGTGCATTTTGTAATTCA
Organism: Homo sapiens; assembly: GCF_000001405.40. Lineage (NCBI taxonomy): Eukaryota > Metazoa > Chordata > Mammalia > Primates > Hominidae > Homo > Homo sapiens. Next base: position 60,869,063 of record NC_000001.11, on the reverse strand, counting down.
CATAAAAATAGTTCCATAACACATTGTTATCATTATGAAGAGGAGAATGTTCATTCTGCCTTCATTTCATGCCATATGGGTAGAATGGAGATAATTCTGCTGGACAGAATTATATTTTGAAGCAAATACATGCTTCTAGGGTGCCTCCATTTCATTTGGAGCTGAGGAAAATTTCATGAGGGTTTTCTTTAGTTTTCTATGGGAGAGTTTCTGCTAGCGATGTCACAACACAGCTAGATTAAGTTGATATGTAATATCTATTTCTTGATTTGCATGATTAAAGCATTAGAGAAGTGGCTCAGATATCAAAAGGTTTCTCATAAGTGGCAGCGCCAAAGGTAATTACTGTTAAAATGTACATGCTTGAACCCTGGTTGCTTGTTAACTTCTAAGTTGTTTACAACTCTGTGGGTTTGAATAAACTTTTTTATTTGACTTTTCAATATCAAGACCCCTTTCTTGCTTCATTTTGATATAAAACATGTATTTATCATTCTTATATCCATGTCCCTCAAGGCAACCTTAGCTTCAACCAAAAAAAGTAATGGAGGACAGAGATGGCCCTTCTCCATATTACATATTTTAAAATAACTGTTTCTTAAACAAAAGTAGTCTTTTAAAGACAAAGTTAAAATTTATACCTAAAAAAATTAAAAATTAATCGAGTCAACCGATTATTTCCAGTTAGTTATCAAAAAGTGTAGCTAAAGCCCTACTGTAAGCCTGAGTGAGTTATGAGAGGGGGTGGGGATAGAGAGGAAAAGAGGGGAGAGAGGGAAGGAGAAGAGAGGTTGTTATTCTCAGTCTTTTATTAACCAGTTTCTTTCATCCTAGTGTGTCTTTATTATTTAGAAAAATAAAAATGATCCAGAGCTCTACTCATTCTCACCTAAAATTCTGGAGTAGGTAATGACTGTCTACAACCTGGTACAACATATGCCCCCAAACTAAAACAAACAAACTCATTTGCCATACAAATTGTTTACGATTCATTAAAAAGCAAAATTGCATATCCCGTCGCTGGCAGCTGAGGCCGCGTCTCCACGGGCGGAGGGGGCATTCACTGAGTTGCCTTTGTATGCTGGGAGGACCAAGCCGGAGGTTCCCACTATGAGCCCGGAGTCTGTGCAGCCAGATGACGCATGAGGTAATTTTAAAGCTTTATTTGCCTTTAGTGTGAAACTCCGATCTTGTACTGTCCTTTGATTAAATAACTATATCAGCCAGAGGGAAGTTTAAATTTTTCTTTCAGCTGGGGAAATTGTTTGGGATAGCGAGGTGGGTGAATGGAGGGAGAGGGAGAGCATGTTATTCAAGGAAAGAGATCTAAGAGAAAATGTGAAATTTGTATTATTTTAATTAGTTCCCTCCTCCTTCATCAAAGTCCTCAATTTCCCATCAATAATGGGAAATTTACATTAGAATTATTGGTAACTGACAGATCTGAAATGCCATGGTATGTGGTCACCTTTGAGGGAAAGAAACAAATTGATTTATTCCCTATGATAACTTGTATAACTTCTTTAGAGAGCGCTCTGATTTCTCACTCCTTTTCAAAGCAAAGATCTAGAAGCACTGAAGTTGAGAGAAACTTCCCTGTAGTGTGCAGCCTAAACAGCAGCATGTGAGCTTTCAACATTGTTTATTTTTAGGCAACTGCATTGCTAAATGTTTCCACCACTTTTATATGTTATATTCCCGGCGGTAAAACATCTGTAAAATAATTTTAAATGAAAAGCAACTTCCAAGTAAACTTTACAAAAAAGAAATTACAGTTTTCCAAGTTAAAAAAAGAGAAGCATTTGGTGATCTTTGCAAGAAAAAAAAAAGAGAGAGATGACACAATTTGCCATAAAAAGTAACAGTCTATAAAATCTATGAGCTGTTGAAATACAAGGAAGTAAAATGTTTCACCCAGAATATGACATCAGCGTGCAGTTTTTTCAAAAAAAGCTTACAACTTAGAAAATCATTGCTAAACCAATCAGTATATTCATTTCTAATGTTTAACAAGCTGTATAAAGTGAAGCAATAGGTAACATCATAGCATACACAAGTAAACCTTGTTCTTGCTGGCAAGAACTCTAATGGGAAAATAAGTGCCCTGAACAAAAGTTCAGGGTCAAAGTGGATAGTCTACTGTTAGTCTAATTAGCCAAAAGCTGCATGCAACATTGTCCTGAAATTACTGGTAAAGTTTCTAATGTCTAGTTAAGAAATTACAAGTTAAAACACACATGTACACACATACCCACAACCACTTTAACTCAACAGTCCTTAGGATGGACATACTGCATCCCAAGAAGCAGCCGGATAGAATCCTGCGGTAGCTCACTTTTAACAGTCTCTCAGTCCTCCGAATTCCTAAAACTTGCCAAAATGATACCACCATTGGTCCAGGAAGGGGAAAAGAGAACTCTTTCTGCAGATCATACAGTGAAACCGACCATGCCCTGTTTTGTAATTCCATTCGCCAGTCTCCCCCTTCAACATCTCTCTCTCTCTCTCTCTCTCTCTGTTTTTTTCTTAAACTGATATCTATGTGAAATGAGCTGAAGTTCACGGTCCAGTTAGGAACGGATAATACATTCATTGTCCTGGCAGCAAACTTTTTTTTCACTCCCTGGAAGAATTCACGCTTGCCGCAAGAATAATAATTACGGAAAACTAGAAATGCACTGCTAACAAATTAATCCTTAACGGACACCACCCTAACGAGGGCAGTAATGATTTGAGGACTCTCTTCCTCACGGGACTTGCATCTCCTGTGACAATGAGCTATTGTGCATCCTCACAACTCACTCTACCTCTTATAGATCCAAAATGTCAAAGGTTGTCTGTCCTGGTTGACCATGACATGTGAGTTAACTCATTCTGCTGCTGCATGGCAGAACTTTATTCAAACTTTATTTATATCCAGAGTAACTAAAAGATAGAGTGTGTGGGTCTTTTCCACTCAGAGCTAGAGTGCCTAAGAGACAGAAAACCTGCTCTGACATAAACGGAGAAAAGTTAGATGAGAGCTGTGGGACCCTGATGGAAAATAGGGAGTGGGGACCCAGAGTTCTCTCACAGGTGACTTTAGGCAATCCAGTTAATTGGCCAGGACTAGAATTCACTCAGAGGTTGCTTCTCCCTAGTGCCCAACACGCGTCCTCAGAAAATGCCACAGCCAGAGAAAACCATACACCCCATAGTCCCTGAAAACAAAAGTAAGGGGGATGTGAAACTGGAGAGAGGGGGCAAAACCTGAGGGCTGGGACGAATGTTTCACTTTTTCCCCCAATACTGACTTGGCTAAAATATCCACCTCCACCTTACAACTGATACTCTTTAAAAAAGAATTAAAAAAAAATAGAAAACCCCAAATACTGTCCCATGGAAAATGAGGGCAAGCATTCCTGGGAACTCAAGTCGCAGAGTGGCAGAGAGAGGATGGCAAGAGGCAGCAGTGTGAGGCTGCCTCACTGAATAGTGTGAAAAAAATCAAATGTGAGTTTGATGAATGTGAGGTCTGGGACATTTTGTCAAAGAGGGAGGGAAAGTAGAAAAGGAAAAAAAAAAAAAAAAAAAAAGCAGCCCCGGCTGCCAACTCACCATCCACCAAGTTCTGGCCGAGATGTCGTAGCAGAGCTGCCATTTGATGGAGCCGTCGGAAGCTTTCCCTGCCATTACGCTGTCAGCAAGCTTCATCTGATGCTAACTCACGGGAGATAAGACACCTAATTGAGAAAACATTTGCAGTGGCATGTGGGGCAACATGTAGTCCGGTCCATACCATATGGAATCATGGGTAAAAAAAAAAATCTCCTTGACAATGAACCAATCTCTCACAGACCCAGTGGCAAGGTGAAGTGGAGATGAAAAGTCTTCTGCTCCTAGCACTGTCTTCTCCTCTCTCCTTTTTAAAAAAACAAGAGCCCACTGCTACACATCAAAGGGAGGTAGTTAAAATTAGGGCTTCATCACTCAGATGATTTTGGTCTGCGGGGTTTTTCCTTTCCTTCCAATAACCAATCCCCCCCTCTTTTTTTTTTTTTTTTTTTTAAGGAGAATAAAGAGATTTAATAGGACAAAGGCAGGTAGTGGACTGCGGAGGGAGATCGCCACAGGCTATTAGCCTAAAATTTCTGCTTGACAGATGGAACTGCTTAGAGACTATCATGCAATGTTTTGGGCTTTTTCCCCCCTATTCACCCCCCCTTCTTTGACTTTAAGTCTGATTCAGTATCTGTTTTTCACAGCCACTTTTCTCAAGAACGTGAGCCGTGCATTTACAAAAATGTTTAGTTCAGTTTTGCTGTCTTACACATCTCTGTTGGAAAAGTCTCAAACTAAATCTGGGAACAACTGAACAGGTTTTCCAAGGAGTTAAAAAAAAAATTTCCAGGAAAAAATATTTCTCTTTCCTTACTTTATTTTTTGAAAATTAACTCATTAGTTAATTTAGTCATGAAGGAAGATAAACAAGAGATGGCAGCATTCAAGTCTCTTGATTTTTGGTTTGGCTGGCATTGTGTTTAGATGTATGATTTATGTGAGTAAATAAATACATTACTGATATTTTACAAGTTCTAACCTATGCTGGGCTAGGCACCACCGATGTTTTTTGGTGTCTTTTTAAATACATTAATTTTGGACTTTTCCATTCTTTGTAAACAAAGCAATCAGTCATTATCAATTCGGTTTAGCACAATTCAGGCTAAACTTGACATGAGCTCTTCCTTAATCAGAGAAAGTCACTTCTGATTTCCTTACTATAACCTAGCCATCTTCTTCACAGGGGTTTTTAACCACACATCCTCTCTTTAGTATGGAAAAGTAAACCACAATATGGACCTACCAATAAGAATGGTTGTAAAAATAATTTTTTTTAAAGTGAGAAAAAGTCCAGACAGTTGCTGCATTTCAAGTAATGTTACTTAGGACTAAGAGGGAGAAAGAAGCAGAGAGAATGACTTGTATTCGTTATATTCTTTCAAATTGTGTGACACTAGGAACTGTAGAAATACCTTTATCAGGGTACCAAACACGTCCTAATTTTCGTGGATGTGCACCAAACACATCCTAATTTTTTCTGAATATAAGCGATCCTTTGATCTCCAAGAACCTACAGTTTTCTCCGCTATGGGCCTTCAATATATGTACTCCAGAATATGGGAGAATTGTCCATCACTATTTCTCAGGGCTGTTGAACTGTGATTATTTAAAAAGTTGTGCATTTACTGCCTAATTATCCAGTGGATTTTTGGTTCTGGTCATATTTTGGACTGAATAATATTTAGATAAACTCATTCAGAGCATATTTTAAGTTCCAAAGAGGTAAATTTGGTGCATTTTTCTTTCCTATTTCTGATCTCTTCCTTAGTAGGTATTATTTTAACCATTTAGCATGCTGTTTTGACAAAAATAACTGTATTAAAGCAAATTTTATCGTGTTGCACCAAAAATATTTCTAACTTAAAGCATGATGCACAGACTGCTTCTAGGAATGAACTACAAATACAACAAATATGGCATTTTTTTTCTTTTTCATTCCTTATTGTAATGGGATTTCTTCTAATAAAATTGGGGTGAGAGGCGATAGCCAGAATTATTATCAAATGTAAATATTGTCATCACTCTTAGGAAGTATCTTTGTATACTTTATTACCTTGGTGTCACCTGTCTTTTCAGAAGAAGAGTCTGCAGTAGCACAGGAAATGTTGTTAGCTTGTGTCCAATGAATACAATGGACATACTACCAGAAACTTGCCCTGAGCTTGCCAATGAAAACATTTATTGCCATATGTAACTGCAGCATCATTAAAATTACTTAGTCTTTCTTAAGTTTATCATTTAGAGAAAGATAAGGAAAAAAGTTGGAAATTCTACATAAAATGTAAAATATCATCAACCAAACAAAAAAAGGAGGAAAAAAAAAAAGAAGAAGAAAAGAAATGAAGTAGCATTCTGTCTTTGAATCAACCAACCTCTGATTCTACTTCATCCATTCCTACTTGCCTCTGACAAGCAGACAAAACAAAATTTCCCTGTTTTAGGGTCTCCTCTGCTTTCTCCCAGGGTATACAGGCACATGGACATCTTGGACTTGTGGGTCCACAGCTTTACAGTTTCTGAGTTTATCCTGCAGCAACCTCTGAAGTTGGAGCTGTTTCTTGTCTGAGTCGCTGCATTTTTGAGACTCAGAACACCCTATGCATGCCCATTATTTATGAATGAATGGAGCACAAGGTAAACTGGAGTCCAGATTTCACTCTGTGAATGATAGAATAGCCGGGAAGATTTTGCAGGAGAGGGCACATAGTTTGAACAAAAAAATGATAAATATTATTGGATAATAGTATTTTAAATCCAGAACAATTAGGTGCATTTAACTTTATCATTGTTCTCTAAGAGGCTGGTGGAAGCTGTCCTTCCCATGCAGCAATCAATCTTTTCACAGTGTGGCCCTTTGTTAATAGCCTTTAAAAAAGATTAAATAAAACATGTTAAATATTGCAATTATTGTGGGAAATAAAATTATTTGGTGAGCATAATGGGGAGCAATTCAAGCATTTAACATGATCCAGGAAATGCTACTCCAAACAATTGCATTTGCTTTATGCATTTTTCCCCTTTGATTGCTGACAGATGCCTTTTTGGAAACAAACATCTAAATGGTTTGCCTTCAGTTAGAAAAAAAATGTAACAGAAAGCGGCTACATGTTTTGAATTTAACTCTTGTCATTTGAATACTTCTTCCCACTGCGCATGAATGAATCCAAGGCAAAAACAGCGCTCTCATCAATAAATAAGCCCATCAAAATTTGGCCTTTCTTATTTCCTTTCGGTATATTTTATAAGAAGTGGGAATCCCCCTAGATAGGGAGTCAGGTGATGAGGACTATTTCCTGAGTAACAATGGGGAAGCATTAGAAAGGGAATTGTCTCCTTATAACATGCAGCCTCAGGCAAAGTGCAAGTCACTTTCCAGCCTCATTCAGGTCATCATGGCCAGTGCTCCCCTAAATAAGCTATCCCCTTTTGCTGAATGGGAAGAACCCAAGAAAACTCAGAGGATGGTGAATTTCCATCTGTGTCATTGCTGCAGTGCATTCCGATAAAGGCCTCGAAGACTCTGCTGTCAACACGTGTACAATAGCAACGCCAAGGAGAGGTTTTGGTTTCTGTTATATATTGCTAAAAGGAGATATGATTTGAAATATTCATGATTTTCAGAGGCTGGGTCGTAGAGAGATTGAGAGCACTGCTTCTGCAATCTAGTTGTCCATATCCAGGCTCTCTTGGTTACTGTGTGACCTCTCCCAGGTTACTTAACCACTCTGATTCTGTGTCCTATCATAATCAGGAAAATGAAGATAATAATAGTTAAATGTGCGCTTGTGTGTGTGCATGTGTGTGTGTAGTGTAGTTAGAAGCAAAGAAATGCATAGGGTACATAGTCCCTGATATGTAATGAGTTCTCAACTGAAGTTATTGTGCTGTTATTGATGTCTTGTTACTATTATTCCCCTGTTGAGGGAAGCCCTCTTTCTTCCCCCTTCTGCTCCTGTGCTGTGAGGGTCAGTTGGATCCCTTCCCTCTGTTCTTCCATAATAACCTGTGCCTTGCTCCACTGCAGCTATTAGCACCCTCTTCTGGAATCATCTGCCTGCTAGTCTGTTTTCCCTCCTAGACCTTGAGATCTTTTTTTTTTTTTTGAGACAGAGTCTTGCTCTGTCGCCCAGGCTGGAGTGCAGTGCCCCAATCTCGGCTCACTGCAAGCTTCGCCTCCTGGGTTCATGCCATTTTCCTGCCTTAATCTCCTGAGTAGCTGGGACTACAGGAGCCTGCCACCATGCCCGGCTAATTTATTTTATTTTATTTTATTTTTATTTTTAGTAGAGACAGGGTTTCACCGTGTTAGCCAGGACGGTCTCGATCTCCTGACCTCGTGATCTGCTCGTCTCAGCCTCCCAAAGGACCTTGAGATTCTTAAGGGCAGGGACTGTATCTTGCTCATCTGAGTAGCTGTAAGGCCAAGCACAGTGCTGGGCAGAGTAGGGGCTCCCTACGTGGTTGGAGAATGAGAATAAAAAGGCACAGGACATTAGCCACTTTGAAATTTGCATCCTTCTATTTACACAGCCTTGTCTTTTACCTTGGCTCAAGCTATTGCCCTCCTGGGACATGATCTCCCTTTCCAAGGTAACACCCTCCTCAGGACGCCAGCTCACAGTGACCCCTAACACGTTTGGTGCCCTGCTGCCTTCCTTATATGCACCATCCATTAGTACTACTTTGCATCAACTGACTGTATTATTATTTGTCTTTGATGAAAATGTGTCTTTCTTTCATTTATTCACCCATTTAATAGCAACATATGTGATTCAGGCACTAAAACTTATTTTCTCTTTCTTTTCAAGCTCTGTTTCTAGGACCATTGGAAATTTGAAAGTCTAGGGGAAGAGCAATTTGATTTCGTATGTAACAGCTCACGTATACTGAGTGTTTCCTCTTGGCCAGGCACTGTTCTAAGATCTTTGTGTGTGTGTGTGTGTGTGTGTGTGTGTGTGTGTGTGTGTGTTTTTCCATGTGAGTCCTTATGAGGTAGAACCTATTATTAACTCCATTTTACAAACAGGATAACAGACTCCAAGAGGTAAAGTGACTTGCTTAGGGCTCCAGAGTTAGTGATGGAAGGAGGATTCAAGCCTTGGAATGATGACTTCAGAGCTTCACCACTCTGGTGTTGCCTCCTGAACCAAAAAAGGAGAGAAGTAACAGGATTTAGCACCTGTTACATGTCATACAGTTTTTAAACACACTTTTGGGTATGATATGTTGTTTAACCTTCACAACAACCATAGGAGGTTGTTATTACGATTTTTAACTTGCAGATCAGGGTCAAAAAGGTAAGAGTCTTGGCTAAAGACACATGCTAAAGAACAAGAGCCAAGATTCAACCCTATGTCCATATAATGAAAAGCCTATGCTTTTGCTATTCCAACCAGCTTGTTCTCAGAAGACAATTTTTATTTTTTATTCATTTTTTTGGAGATAAGATTTATCTGTCACCCAGGCTGGAGTACAGTGGCCTCGAACTCCTGGGCTTGACTGATGTTCCTACCTCAGCCTCCCAAGTAGCTGGGACCACAGTTGTGCACCACCACACCTGGCTAATTGATTTTTTTTTTTAGAGAGACGGGGGCTTGCTTTGTTACCCAGGCTGGTCTTGAACCCCTGGTCTCAAGTGATCTTCCTGCCTTGGATATTTTTTATTTCTTATGTAGAGTTGAATGTTGAGCTTAACAGATATGTATGGCCTTGAATCACCAGGCTCATGGAAAACATGAAATTAGAAATGTACCCTGTTGCTGAAGCTGCAGAAATGTTCAGTTTAGAGCAATGGGTATCCAAGATTAAAAAGAAAGAAAAAAATAGAACAGAAAATAAAAGCTGTATTAAGAGGCATTAACTACTATTAACACCTAGATCTTTCCTCTAACCTTAATCAGGTGGAAAATCCTAAGATGGTGTTCAGGCCATCACCATCTAAACCTTCGAGTCAGGATGTATTCACACGTTAAGTATTGGGATAAAAAGAAGAATCAACACAAAAGGATAGAAAGTCTAGTTCCTCTAAAGCTCTAAAGTGTGAAGGTCTCTGGTGGGAGATTTATCCTTTTTTGATGAAGGCAGCAAAATCCTCTGCACAGGTACATGTCATTACTGGGTGTGAGTGTGGTGACTTAAAGAAACCAGCATTCCAGGTCACCTGGCATGCTTTTCTCACCGTATGGCAGAAGTGAATGCTGCAAAGCTGAAAAGGGCAGAATTGAAGAAAATGCCAGAGGGTCCAGACAGCCCCATCTATTTTATTAATTTGCCCAGAGATTGCTCAGATTTTTGATCTGGTATATATACATATATGTAGATATGGATATATATTTATTGCTCAATCAATCTATCTGTATTGTGCAAGGAAAATATTGATAATTTATTTTTGGCAGAAACTCACCCACAATGTCCTGCAAAGAATCAGTTTTCTTCTTGGCGGCAGATCTTGTGCCTCATTTCCATTTAGAAATTCTTTGACTTTTACTTTCTCTGCATTTTCTGTTAACCGGCTGCCACCCAAGATTGGACTAAACCCTCTGCCCCCTGTTAAAAAAGAAAAAAAAGGAAAAAAAAAAACACATACAACATAACCCTCTAATAAGTATATTCACAACTTCTATGCAAGGCGCTTAAGAAAACTAAAGGTTAATATATTCTAACTAGATGTTGGGTATAGAATGTCAGATCTGTCAAATTTCATTACAACTTGCTGCTCATTGGAAAAGATTTGATTTCTTTTGCCACTGTCCTACTATGTTCAAGTCACAGACTGCCAGCAGCAGCCCACAGAAGACCACAGGCTGGCAGTGAGCGGGCTCGAGTGGGAAACCAGCCGCAAGGACCATCTGTTTCCGATTTCTAGCTGAGCCAAGATGTGCAGTGAAGTGCATTCCATTCACCAGGCCAGCTTCTCCCCTGCTCAAGTTATTAGTGTTACAAGTGAAATTGTCTTTTCCAAACAGCAGGGGAGCTATAATCCTTATGGAACAGGACACTTTAAAACACACACACACACACACACACATGCACACACACACACACACACACACACACACACACACACACACACACCATTCAGATATCTTTTGTTAAAGTTGTGGGGAAGGCTGTTTGTAAATTTAATTACAGCCTTCATGGGGTTTATAAAGTACGTTTTATTAAGCATGATAACCTCTGAGGCAGCAGCATATACATTGGCCTCATTTAGTGTAATTGAATGATCAAATATCTTTAGGATGCTTTTTGTGGGCATGCTTAAAAATGATAAGGATGTATTTAAACCATCTTAAAATGAAATGGCTTTCAAAAGCATAATGGGTTTTTAGGAATAATCAATGGAAACCCTTGCCCAGCTGGCCCAAGTGAGCCAATCTCAAGCACATTGACAGTGCTGAGGCTTGTCAGCCAGCTATTAAATCCCAAGGGGGCCAAATGACTCATATCACCATGTAAGTTGGGAGACCATAATAAGCTGCATGTTTGTTATTTGAGATTGATCTTCTGCCTGTCTCAAGATGAATAATTTTTAGAAAAATTTGGAGGCGAAGTAGCAAGGCCGATTGCATGATAGTGTGATAGAAATAGCAATAGGAGAAGTCAAGAGACCTTAATTAAGTAATGTTATAAACTTGTATTTAGTAACAGGTACTTGCCATCATGCTAGGTGTTCAGGATATGAAGAAGAAAGCAATAGGGGCTGCCCTCAAGGAGCTCCCAACTCTCACTGAGGAGACAGAGGAGCAGGCAAGTACATTACGGTGTGGCAGAACCACGCCGGGGTTCTAGCCTTGGTTCTTCCACATGCTCGCTGCTTGACTCCAGGTTGTCACACCCTCTCCGCAAGCTTCATCTGAAATGGGATGGTGATGGCAGACTTTCAGGGACTGTTGTCAGAAGTAAATGAACTATAATCCACATAAGAGGACAAAAGTCTGTGATAGGCACTTAGGCAGTGCTCAATGTGTGTTAGTTTCTATTTCCTTTTAGTTATTCTTTGAATATGTGATAACCTTGTAAATTATAGCAGGTTTCTCCTTTGTGGATGAGTGGCACATTGATCTAGAGAGTATGCCTCATTCGTGACTCCCAGTAGAGGTCAACCAGCCTTAGACCACACATTCCCTAAGGGCAAGGACTGAAGAGGGTGCTGTGCAGAGTCATGAATAATAAGATGCTTAATGTGAGCTTTTGGTTCATGGTGAATGACAAAATGATTTTTCCAAAAATGAACTTTTTTTCTTTTCAAAGCAGAAGTCACATAAATTCATCTAAAATGAAGAGAGGGGGAGAAATATGATAAAGCCTCTTATTTTGTATTTAAGAAAATGAAGCCCAGCAGAGAGAATTACCTGGGGTCACTGAGCAAGTTAGTGACAGAGATAGGGTTCCAACCTAGAGACCCCAATTTTTGGTGTCTCTGCCACTTCACTGATTGTTTCACAGTGTTTGAAAGACGTGTTCTGAATCAGGTAATTCAATTGCATTCAGATGCATGTGAGTCCCTGCTGCTGCTGCTTCTGCTGATTGTGTTATAGACCTGGCAGTTGGATCATTGTACTTCACTTATGTTTACAGACAGAAATGGAGGTCATCTGGTAGAGTCCTCTTATTACATAGATGGGGAAGCTATGGGTCAGGGTCCCAGGTAGGTTCTCTGAAAGCAGACTTTGAGACTTGTATGAGAATTGTGAAGACCTGTGTGCAAGAACTTTATTGGGATGACCATCAGGATCAACACCTGCAGGTAAGTAAAGGAAGGAAAATTGGGCAGAGGGAGGAGATGGCTAGACGAAGTTCTAGCTAATCCTACAGGAAATGTGGAAACTGGGATGGCATTGCAGAACTGTCCCAAATTAGGGCAAGGGGATGAGGATACTGTACTCCTATAATGGATCACCAGCAATTGAATGAGAGCTATTTTCAGGGAAAAGGAAGAGACTCCAGGCTGGACAATTCTTTCCAAGCAAAGAAAAAATGCAAAGGAGTTTCAGCTGAGAGCTGTCAGCTACTAATATTCCTAATAGGTGGGAGGGAATCTCCATTGTTTGTCACAGGATCCACCTGTACCCAGAGAAATCAAATGGCCTACTTAAAGTTAGTGGCAAATTTGGGCTTAGAATTTATGGTCCATAGCTCAACTCTTTTCTCCAATGACAGTGAGTAGGCTTCGTGCCCTATTTGAACCTGGTAGATCCAGGAGTATCCCTTCTCCTTCAGAAACAACAGGGGATGGGGAAAGGAAGATAAGACAATGAGGGCAATGTTGGGCATTTCTTGGATTCTTCTTCAGTTGTCCAGTGATTGTCACCTTTCTTGGCAGATGCAAGAGTTCAGTGAATGAATAAAATAGATATTTGGAGTGTGACTCTGAACACCTCTCGTCAAATATTTGTTTGAGCCTTTAAAGAGTCTCGTGGTAGAAGCAGGTGTTGGCATCTCTCTGAGGCCTTGTACCTGTGAGGAAGAGGATTTGGGAGACGGGAGAGGAAGCACAAAGCAGCAGTGGAGTGAACCGCTGGTGTTTCTTATTTCACATGTTTTCATCTCAAAGAAACTCTCCCTTAGAGCACCCAGTCAAGAAAAGAAAAAAAGAGAAACCCCAAATCTGAAACATTAATGGTGTGTGATGATTAAACTCTTTGCTTCAAAGCAGTTCTTTGGAGAACAAACCCAAGCTTCCATAATCTCCTAAAAAGAGCAAATCTGTTTGATATGGAGCCGAAAGAAGGCTTTTAGAGTCGCTACCCCCTCATACCTCCACCTCCTGGCTCTTTAATTTCTTTTTTCTTTGTGTTCTCAGTGGGATTCTTTTATTTGTTACAACATTTTAAAAAGAAGCCATCTTAATTTTTGAGCCACTGCCATCTCTGCATTTCACTGGCAGTGAACATGATGTAAATTACTCAGGAATCCATGGGCACTCAGATTCTCTAGTTAGTGTCTCTTCTCTGGTCCTCGGTGGGACAAGTCTAGGAGACTAGTTTTTGCCTTATTCTTCATTGTCCCAACATAATGAACACACCCTTTTACAGGGGATCATGGACTGCCCCTCATGAGAAGTAGAAAAAGGGTTTCCACATCCATGTTTGGCAATTTTCCACCTTTTCCCTAATGGCCAGGTGTAGGTTCCTCTCCTACTCTCTCCACCTCTCCTTATCCTGTTCAGAGCTTGTATTTACAGTTAAGAACTTTCGTTTGTCTCTCCCCTACTTTCCTTTCTCCCACTTGTTCTTCATTCCTATATTTATTCAACTTCCCTTATAATCCATACACTGTGCTAATGACTAAGTGGGTACACTTATCACCAAGACAGAAGCTTACCTTTATGGCACTTGACCTTGGAGCAGACAGTCTTGTACCCAAGTTGTCCCAATTCTTTGTGATAGATCCTATGATGGGAACATATAGGGTGCTAAGAGAGAGCAGAAAAGGGGTACCTCGCTTAGTATGGAGGTGGCGGTAAGGGGGGGTTTGTTGCATTTCCTGCAACTAGTAACAGCGAAGCTACTTTGGTTTGAAGGATGACAAGGCGTATGGCAGATAAAGGCAGATGCTGGGGAGGAGGGGTAGAAGGAGTGTTGTAGCTAAAAGAATAACAGAAAAGACCTGAGGGAGAGTCTAGTAGCATCACACCCCTGAAAACTGTCCAGTGTGGCTAGAGATCCCCACATTTCCTGATCATTGTATTCTCCCTGAAGATGCATCTATAGTCCACCTACTATTTTTTATATGGCTCATGAACTAAGAATGATTTTTACATTTTTTAAATGGTTGGATAGAAAATGAAAAGAAGAGTCATATATTGTGACACATATAAATAATATAACATTCAAATTTCAGTGCCCATAATAAAGTTTATTGGACATAGTCATGTCCTTCATTTCTGTATCATTTATAGCTGCTTTTGTGCTATAATGGTAGAGTCGAGTAGTTATGATGGAGACCATAAGGCCTGAAAAGCCTAAAATATTTACTATCTGGTCCTTTACAGAAAAAGATTTGCTGATCCATGGCCCAGTGGATGGGGCTTGGGGCTTGGATTAAAACAGGCTTGGACTCAAATCCTGGCTGTTCAACTTCTACTGGTGTGACCTTTAGCAAATTTCTTAAAGTGTCCATGTCAGTTTGCTCATTTGCAAAATGGTAATAATAATACTTCACAGCCTTGTGAAGATTGAGGAAAATATTGTTATATAAAGCTCCTGGGAATATTAAGTGCCGAAATATACTTATTTATTAAAAATAGTTAATGACAATTTCAACTGCTTTGAGCTATTAATAACATTTGTGATAAGATAAATATGATAACATTTTGAACTGCTGTGTTCATTGCCATAATGACTGCTTTGGGAATTATCAGTCAAAAAATATTTTCTGTTAATAGATCAATGAGGAAAGAGAAAGTCATATTTGTGAGAGCGAGAGTCGAAAGCTGCTGCCAGAACTCCTCAAAATAATAATTACAGTTAAAATTAAGTGCCTGCAATGACACAATGCTGAGTACTTTACATGCATTGTCTCATCTGATCATCACTTCAAACCTATGAAGCAGCTACTGTCATTCATTTTTATAGATGGAGAGACTGAGGCTTAGAGGGGTAAAGTTAATTCAAGTTGCACAGACAATAGGAGGTACAGTCATGGCTGGAACCCAGGAGAGTCTAATGCCAAAGTTTCTGTCATAACCACTCTGCTTTTGGAAACATCTGATGAAAAGCAGAGATTCATATTTCAGGGCCCAAAACTGTTCCTGGTGGCTGGCACAGTGGCGTATCATTCTGAGTTGAGCTCTGTAGAAGTTTCCAGTTAGAAAAATGCTATTGCAACTGCCTATATTCACTCTTGAGTCAGTTTCTCAGAAGAAAGCCAGTGAGAACTACAACCAAGATTGTGTCTTGAGAGTTGTCTTATTAGGAGTGGTCTTGTATGTAATCTCTCTGTTACTTGGGTATGGGCACGTGGATGTGGCTATACTAGGGGTGGAAAAATGGGAGTATGTTTGGCTGTGTGATTGGGATAATATGTTGTAATTAATAAAATCTGTTTGGTCTCTAAGTATTATTTATAGACATGGTAATAAAAAATCAAACTATTACACACTCATACACAATAGTTTCAATTTGGTAATTGTGTGCGCATATGTATTTATTTTCAAAAAAGATGGGGAAGAACTATACCAAGATATTCAATAGGTATCTGCCTCTAGGTCAAAGAAATAATGGCAAATATTATTTTATCTATATTTCTATTTCCAGAATTTTAAATGATGTTTATGTAATTATGCATAAATAAAATATATGTGATTTGATGCTACATACCAAAAGACTTAAAACTCTTCAAATTCTTCAAATTCTTTTTTTTTGAGACGAAGTCTTGCTCTGTCGCCCAGGCTGGAGTACAGTGGTGCGATCTTGGCTCCCTGCAACCTCCGCCTCCCGGGTTCAAGTGATTCTGCTGTCTCAGCCTCCCGAGTAGCTGGGATTACAGGCATGCGCCACCACACCTGGCTAATTTTTTGTATTATTTTAGTAGATATGGGGTTTCACAGTGTTAGCCAGGATGGTCTCAATCTCCTGACCTCATGATCCACCCATCTCAGCCTCCCAAAGTGCTGGGATTACAGGCGTGAGCCACTGCGCCCAGCCAAAAATCTTCAAATTCTTAAACTCAATTCTACCTCTAGTATACTACCATACACATTGTTCAACCATTATATACACGGATATATGTTCATTTTAGTATTATTTGAAGTGGTGAACAAATTTAGAAAAAAATCTTCTGCATGGCATGACTACTTCAGAGCATATTATGTAGTCATGAAAGAAAATGTTATTTACAAATGGAAAATGCTTATGCTATAATATTGTGAAAAAAGCATGAGACAAAATTGAACATACAGAATGAGCACAATTTGGTGAAAACCCAACAATCTGTTCTTTAAGAGACAGAAGACATATTCCAGTGTTAAGAGTTGTTTATATAATTGGTAGGATTATAAATTTTTTCTCCTTTTTTGTTTCTGTGCAATTTCAAATGTTCGTTTAATTAATGTTAATAAATAATAAACAATGTTAACAAAAGTTCATTAATAAATAATGAAAACAACTTTGATATTAAAAAACCATTGAAACTGGAAATCTATTGGCTGGTGATTAGGCTTAAAAACTCCCTCTCCTTCCATAGCTCATTTGTGGGTACCTTCATCTGTTTCCTTTTATGGTTATCTGGGTGTTTTCCAGATTAGGCACAAGAACTTTAATGAAAATGCAAAGAACACTGAGCTGGGAATCAGGAGATGTGGATTGTAGCCAGGGCCATGCCATTAACTCACTGTGTGCTTCGGGGTGAATCCATTTTCCTCCCAGGGCCTCAGTTTCTGTGTCTATAAAATGAGGAGCTCTGGTTCCCTCCCACCCAACACAACTCAACACACACAGTTCTACTTTTATGGTTTTGTTATTGGGTTTACTGGAAAATTTTAAGTGAAAAATTATTCCTCTGTTAGTTAAAGTTTGAAAAACCGTTGGAATGGATGATCTAGATTAGTATAGATGACTAACTGCTTTTAGATTGTAGCTATTGTTTATATCTCTCTTTAAAAATTTATTTTTTATTGTGTTGAAAAACATAAAATCTACCTTATTAACCATTTTTAAGTGTACAGCATAGTATTGTGAACTATATACACATTGTTGTACAGCAGATCTCTAGAACTTTTTCATCTTGCATGACTGAAACTCTATGACCATTGATCAGCAACTCCCCATTTTTTCCTAACCCCATCCACTTTGAGGTTTTTAATTACCGATCCAATTTTCTTACTAGTTATAGGTTTGTTCTTACTAGTTTAGGTTTGTTCTTTTTATTTCTTCAGCATTCAAACTTGGTAGGTTAAATGTTTCAGGAATATCCATTTCTTCCAGGCATATAATTTGTTGGCATATAATTTTTGTTAGTTATATCTTACAATTATTGTTATTGATGTAGCATCAATTGTAATATTTCCTCTTTCATTTTTGATTTTATTTAGGTCTCCCTCTTTTTTTCTTAGTATAGCTAAAGGTTTGTCATTTTTGTTGATCTCTTAAAAAGCCAACTCTCAGTTTCATTGATTTCTTTCTGTTGTTTACTATTCTCTATTTCTGTTATTTCTGTTATAATCTTTGTTTTTTCCTTCATTTCTGCTATCTTTGGTTTTAGTTTGCTTTTATTGTTCCTTATAGTTCTTATAGTTCCTTAAGATATAAAGTTAGGTTATTTATTTGAGATCTTTCTTCTTTTTTAATGTAGGCATTTATCACCACAAACTTTCTTCTTAGTATGACTTTTGCTTATTTGCATAAGTTTTGGTGTGTTGTGGTTTTGTTTTTATTTGTCTTAAGATATGTTCTAGTTTTCCTTTTAATTGCTTCTTTGGTCCCTTGGTTGTCCAGAAGTATATGATTAACTTCATGTACTTGTGAATTTCCCAGTTTTCCTTCTGTTATTGATCTCTAGTTTTCATTCCATTGTGGTTGGAAATTGGTATGATTTCAGTCTTTTCAAATGTGTTAATACTTGTTTGGTAGCCTAATATGTGATCTATACTGGAGAATGTCCATGTGAACTTGAGAAGCATGTGAATTCTGCTGCTATTGGGTGGAATGTTCTTTATCTGTCTATTGGATCTATCTGATTTATAGGGTTGTTCAAGTTTACTCTTTTCTTATTGATTTTCGGTCTGGATGTTCTAGCCATAATTGAAAGTGAGGTATTCAAATCTTCTACTATGATTGCATTGCTGTCTGTTTCTCCTTCAGTTCTATTAATATTTGCTTCATGTTTTTGGGTGCTCTGATGTTGGGTGCATATACATTTATAGTTGATTTATCTTTCTGGTGAATTGGCCCCTTTTTATAATTATATGATGTCCTCTTTTGTCTACTGTGTCAGTTTTTGACTTAAAGCTTATTTTTTCTGTTATAAATATAGCTACCTCTGCTATATTTTGGTTACCATTTTCATGGAATATATTTCTTCTATCCTTTTCTTTCAGCCTGCATATGTCTTTAAATCTAAAGTGAGTTTCCCATAGGCAGCATATAGTGAGATCTTGATTTTTAAAAATCCATTCAGCCACTTGATGTCTTATGATCGGGAATTTAATCCATTTACATTTAAAGCAATTACTTATAGAGAAGGACTTAAGATTGACATTTTATTAATTGTTTTCTGTCTTGTAGCTTTTTGTTCTTTTTCTTTCTCTCTTTGTGTTGTCATTTTGGTAGTGACATGTTTTGAATCATTTCTTAATTTCCTTTATGTATCTTCTATGTGTATTTTCTTTGTAGTTAACATGATGCTTACACAAAACACTTATAGTTATAACAACCTACTTTAAGCTGATAACAACTTAACTGCAATCACATACAACTTTACTCTTTAACTTCTTTCTCCTTCACGCTTTGTGTTAACTCTTATACTATAATTAAAAGTGATTTATGGACCACCATTACAATATTCTGTATTCGTTTATAGATTTACCTTTACCAGCAAGCTTTATACTTTCACATGTTTTTGTGTTGCTCTTTAGCATCCTTTTCTTTCAACTTGAAGGACACTCTATAGCATTGCCTGGAAGTCTAATGGTGAGGAACTCCTTCAGCTTTTATCTGGGAAATTCAGTGTTTCTGCTTCATTTTTGAATGTCAGTTTTGCCATATTCTTTTTTTTTTTTTTTTTACTTTTAGCACTTTGAATATATTCTCTTATTTCCTGCTGGCCTGCAAGGCTTCTGCTGAGAAACCCATTGATATTCTTATGTAGAATCCTTTTCATATGGTGAGTAGCTTTCCTCTTCCCACTTTCAAAATTCTCTCTTTGTCTTTGACTTTTGGCAATTTGATTGTAATGTAGACTTTTACAAGTTTATCTTAATTGGGATCCTTTAGGCTTCTTTTATCTGTATGTCCATTTCCTTCCCCAAATTTGGGAAAATTTCAGCCATTGTGTCTTCAAATAATCTTTATGCCATTCTCAATCTCTCTCTCTCTCTTTCCCTCATTTCCTTCTGGAATAGCCATAATGTGTAATTAGTCTGCTTGATGGGGTTCCATAAGTCCCTTAGACTTTCATCATTCATTTTCATTTCTTTTTCCTTTTGTTCTTCTGACTAGGTAATCTGAAATGATCTGTTTTCGAGTTTGTTGATTCTTTTTTTCTGCTTCATCACTTTTATTTTTGAACCCCTCTAGTGAAATTTTCAATTCAGCTCTTGTGTTTTTAAGCTCCAAAATTGCTGTTGTTTATTTAAAATTTTTTCTCTTTGTTGATATTCTCATTTTGTTCATTTACCATTTTTCTAACATCTTTGTGATGGTTATTTTGAATTCTTTGTCAGGTACTTCATATAACTCTATTTCTTTAGGGTTGGTTACTAGAGATTTATTTTGTTCCTTTGATTGAGATATGTTTCCATATTTCTTTATGTGTCTTGTAACTATATTGGTATTCATGCATTTGAAAAACAGCCATCTCTCCTAGTCTTTACTCACTGACTTCATACAGGGAAATAACTTCACCAGTTATTTCAGCTAGAGGTTGTGAGGGCCTCTCACATCTTTTCTGGAGATGTGTTTTCTCTGGTTTCTCCCAATTAGAGAGGTTTGCAAGTTGTTTTTTTCAGAGCTTGTAATCTCTTGCTCCCTCTGGTGTCTATCTGTAGTATTATAAGTTTTCTGGTGCAACCACAAGCAACTGAGTTTTTAGGTTTTTTTTTTTTTTGGTCCCTCTGGCCCTAAGCAAACAAGGTATGTTGGTTTCCCATTAGGACTCTGAATCAGATGAGGCAAAAACTCGTCCCTCAGGAAGCCCCCTGAAAAGGCAGAATGCTAGACACACATACCACCCTCCTGTTTTTTCCCAGGGAAAAAGCCACAGCTAGGTGCTTACTCTTGATTACAACAAGCCCTGCTAATTTCTATCTGTGATATTACAAGTTCTCTGGCACTGCCACAAGCCGCTGACTCTCTTTTGCTCTCTGTGGCTCCCAGGCATCCAATGTATGTCAGTTCCCATGAATCTTCCGAGTCAGGTGAGACAGAAACCAGTTCCTTGGGCAGCCCCTCAAAAGCTGAAACTTTGAACATACATTTCATTCTTTTCTCTACCTGTCACAAAAGAAGCTGTATGTTGGGCTTTTCCTCCCAGAGATGTGCTGGCTTGGGGGAGGGGCTGACATAGTTAATGAAATAAATTTCTTATCCATTTCAATGCAGCTGCTCTTGGCTTTGAGATTGCCTGGGGGTATTGTGACTTCCTAACTGATTTCTAGGTTCTCATAAAAACTTTTTGTCTGTGTATTGTTGTTTAGTTAATGTTTCTGTTGGGGAATGGGGTCTGGGGTTTCCTATTCCCCCATCTTGATGATGTCATTCTTCTATATCTCTTAAATAATGAGAAATTAAAACTTGCTCACTCCACACTCATATGTGCAAAGACACACACACACCTTATTATCCTACCTATGGCCTCCTTTTTATTTACGCAGTTCTCCCCCTAATGTATCCTCTCTCTCAGCGTTGCCCAGCAAGTATGCCCCAAGGTCCCATGAATAGATTTAATAACATCTTTAGACCTAAGCCATAGGAATCCCTGCTCTAGACCTTGTATTGAAAGATAATACATACCACAAATACAAAAAGACAGATTTATTTAAGAGCACATGGGCACCTCTGTCACTCAGGATCTGTTGTTGAGGGCTGACATATGCAACCGTAAACATTTGTTCTTACAAGTAACATCTTCTGGACCTCAAAGAAAAACTTTTTTTTTTTTTTAAATATCTCTTAATATACGTCCCTGAAACATGCTTTAAAGGTTTGTGGTTTGTGTCATTGCCAATGTTGAAGCTAGTCCCTATTTTAGAATGTGGGAAATATTTGAACAACTGAAGCATTTAGGTAAAAGAAGAGGCGAATTAGTCAATTTGTCCAATCTTTCTTTTCAAAAAGCTTTAATATGGATATTCCTGCTCAATAAAGAATCACTTCCCAGTGACATATAGGGTACTTTCTCTTGCTTCTCTGTCTTCTGGTTCTGGAGATACATCAGTTGGTATGGTATTTATAGGAGTTACAGGTGGCAGATGAAGAACTATTAACTTTGTAATAGTTAAAATTTATATTACCCTGAAATTTATATATAGGAAGAAGTAACATGTACGATGTCTGATACTGATTCTTCACCTTTCTATTAAATCTGGTTACTGTTTTTAAAATGGTGAAAATCATGAGACAAGTGATAATTTATACAATGAAATTATAATAGTTTGTAAAGCTTTCTATGATAGTGATAATTTATCATATGTAATCCCACTATAATGTTTGCATATTCTACCTAAAATTTAAAGATCTTTCTAAATCTAAGATAATAATCTAATTATTTTAATAATTTTATTGATAATGCCAGTTTCTCCTGCCTCTGAAGAGTGAGTTTTCTCTAAACTGAAATTAGTATAAACTTACCTAAGAACTACAGTGACTCAGGAATAATTGTGTAATTTGGTGTTACTACTAAAGGAACAAAAATTATATGACAATCTTGATTATAATAGCATAAATTTTTTTTTGCCAAAATGAAGGAAAGAAAATTTTGTGGAATTAGTGTATAGCAATTTATAAATTATGTATTCCTTTATTTTAGTAGTCAACAAACATCAACCACTTATTAGTAGAACAGTGGTTTATTTTCAGTGACATAAAAATAATAGCTTCACACATATTTTTATTTTTGTTTCTATTAAAGTATATTTGTCAATGTAGGGATATAGAAGGCAGTTTATGCAACAGTTTACTAGTTTGATTATGAATTTTGAATTTAGACATCCAGTATATGGACCTCTAGCTATACTCTTGTCCTGAACCCATAAAATGTTTGAACCTGGTCTGAATAGGTTATGGCATGACAGCCAACATTTATGACTACTGTGACACTGAAAGTGTCAATGAGCAGGTGTCTGGAAACGTGGAGCTGTACTTCAACATCCTGCTGATCATATCTATGGAGCTGTTTGAGGGTGCTCTAGAAGTGCAGTGCTCAGCTCAAGGAACATGAGTGAGGGGAATAGGATATGGTTGAGGGTCCTGGTATGGCATCTTCTTTTTGTACCCTTTGAGTGGCCTCAAGCAAGCTGCAGAATTACTACTCTAATCATGCGAGCATATTTATAGCTTCATCACTGTTTAAAATACTGGGTTTGAGAAAATTTGACTTATATCTATACCAATTCACATTTTCTTTCTTATTTTTTTAAGTTCCGGGGTACATGCGCAGGATATGCAGGTTTGTTACATAGGTAAACGTGTACCATGGTGGTTTACTGCACCTATAAACCCATCACCTAGGTATTAAGCCTAGCATACGTTAGTTATTTTACCTAATGCTCTCCCTCCCCCAACCTCACCCCCCGACTCCAGTGTGTGGTGTTCCCTTAGCGGTGTCCACGCTTTCCTATTGTTCAGCTCCCACTTATAAGTCAGAACATGCAGTGTTTGGTTTTCTGTTCCTGTGTTAGCTTGCTAAGGATAATGGCTTCCAGCTCCATCCATGTCCCTGCAAAAGACATGATTTTGTTCCTTTTTATGGCTGCATAGTATTCCATAGTGTGTATGTACCACATTTTCTTTATCCAGTCTATCATGGATGGGCATTTGGGTTAATTCCATGTCTTTGCTATGGTGAATAGTGCTGCAATGAACATATGTGTGCATGTATCCTTGTAATATAATGATTTATATTCCTTTGGGTATATACTCAGTAATGAGATTGCTGAGTCAAATGGTATTTCTGATTCTAGATCTTTGAGGAATCACCACACCACCTTCCACAATGGTTGAACTAATTTACATTCCCACCAACAGAGTAAAAATGTCCCTATTTATTCACAACCTTGTCAGCATCTGTTGTTACTTGACTTTTTAATAATCACCCTTCTGACTGGCATGAGATGGTATCACACCGTGGTTTTGATTGCATTTCTCTAATGATCAGTGATGTTGAGTTTTTTCATATGTTTGTTGGCTACATAAATGTCTTCTTTTGAGAAGTGTCTGTTCATGTCCTTTGCCCGCTTTTTATTTATTTATTTTTTCCTTGTAAATTTGTTTAAGTTCCTTGTAGATTCTGGATATTAGAACTTTGTCAGATGCATAGGTTCCAAAAATTTTCTCCCACTCTGGAGGTTGCCTGTTCACTCAGATGATAGTTTGTTTTGCTGTGCAGAAGCTCTTTAGTTTAATTAAATCCCATTTGTCAATTTTCACTTTTGTTGCAATTGTTTTTAGTGATTTTGTCATGAAATCTTTGCTTGTGCCTATGTTCTGCATGGTATTGCCTAGAGTTTCTTCTAGGGTTTTTAATAGTTTGGGGTTTTACATTTAAGTCTTTAATCCATCTTGAGTTAATTTTTCTGTAAGGTGTAATGAAGAGGTCCAGTTTCAATTTTCTGCATATGGCTAGCCAGTTCCCACAGCACCATTTATTAAATAGGGAATCCTTTCTCCACTACTTGTTTTTGTTAGATTTGTCAAATATCAGATGGTTGTAGATGTGCAGTCTTATTTCTGAGTTTTCTATTCTGTTCCATTCGTGTATGTATCTGTTTTTGTACCAGTACCATGCTGTTTTGGTTACTGTAGCCTTGTAGTATAGTTTGAAGTCCAGTAGTGGGATGCCTCCAGCTTTATTCTTTTTGCTTAGGATTGTCTTGGCTATATGAGCTCTTTTTTGATTCCATATGCATTTTAAAATAGTTTCTTCTAATTCTGTGAAGAATGTCAATGGTAGTTTAATGGGAATATCATTGAACCTATAAATTACTTTGGGCAGTATGACCAATTTCATGATACTGATTCTTCCTATCCGTGAGCATGAAATGTTTTTCCATGTTTGTGTTCTCTCTGATTTCCTTGAACAGTGGTTTGTAGTTCTCCTTGAAGAGGTCCTTCAGTTCCCTTGTTAGCTGTATTCCAGGTATTTTATTCTCTTTGTAGCAATTGCCAATTCACATTTTCAAAATAAATTTCATTATCTTTGTCAATGAAAGAAAAGAAGGCCCTTAAAATCTTATTAAAATTTTTATTTTTAATCGACAAATAATAATTGTAATTTGTATTACTTTAACTGTTTCACATTTTTTAACAGTTGTAAAAGTGGTTTGATTTTTTTTATCAACTACTTATAGAAGAGAGACTTCTTTTTCATAGTGATTATTAAGAATTTGAAGAGACTTAAAAAAAAATCTTGATAAAGACTGTGTGTAGTCCGGGTGCGGTGGCTCACGCCTGTAATCCCAGCACTTTGGGAGGCCCAGGTGGGTGGATCATTTGAGGTCAAGAGTTTGAAACTGGACTGGCCAACATGGTGAAACACCGTCTCTACTAAAAATGCAAAAATTAGCCAGGTGTGGTGGCACAGGCCTATAGTCCCAGCTATTCAGGAGGCTGAGGCAGGAGAATCGCTTGAACCTGGGAGGTGGAGGTTGCAGTGAGCCCAGATTGCGCCATTGCACTCCAGCCTGGGTGACAGAGCGAGACTCCATCTTGGGGGTTGGGGGGGCGGGCAGGGAAAGACTGTGTGTAACTATTTCAGGCACAAAAACATCTTATAATGAAGTTCTAGTCACAGACACAAGCTCCAGTCTTGCATTACAATATGTGAAAATATTTTTTAAAAATATAATTTCAACTTTTATTTTAGACTCAAATAGTATATGTGCAGGTTTGTTACGTGGGTATATTGTGTGATGCTGAGGTTTTGGGTACGAATGATCCCATCACCCAGGTAATGAGCATAGTACCCAATAGGGAGTTTGTGAAAATATTTTTGAAATTATAAATTCTAAATTTATAATCATTGCTAATGTTTTAAAATCATAGTTATATTATAATGAAAATTTATTTTCTAAAACCAAGCCCCATATTTTCATATACCAAGCCCCTAAATTTCTTCTAATTTACCCCAGTGTGCCTTATGAAATAGAATAATTTTCTACGTGTGCCATGACATACAAAACACTGGAATCCCCGCTTTATCTGATAAACAATCTTGGCAGCACTCTGTAGTCACCATGGGAGGTTTACAAAACACTCAGGCCTGGTCCACCCCAAGAATCTGATTTAGTTGGTCTGGTTTGGGGTGGGGGTTGGAAACTCAGTGTCCTCTCTTTTCTGAGAGTGGATCTGAATGTTAGAATGGCCAGGAGAGCTTGGGAAACACAGATGCCTGAGCTTCACCTCAGACCACAGAGTCAGAATATCTGGATCATGGCTTTTGAGCCCCATACCACTGTTTAAGGTGATATCCTGCTCTCTTTCAATGTGGCGGTAAGCCTCATTGCTCAGCCTTCCAGGTAGAAGACTGCTAAGTGAGGAATTGAAACATTGACATTGGTTTGAGGTTTACAAAATATTAATTCCGTTACATCCAAGGATTTGGGACTTGGGTTGCAAAACATTTAGGAGTATTGGAAGCTGTCTTTTAAGTGATGCCAGTTGCATAACACTGGTGGATTCTGATGACCTAGACAATGATTTTCAACCCTGTCTCATGTTAGAATTGCCTACAGAGCAAGAAACAAACAAACAAACAAAAACCCAAATATGCTTGGGCCTCATCCCAGACCAATTAAATGAGAATCTCCAGGAATGGGATCTGTATACGGTCTGTTTTTCAAAAAGCTTCTCAGGTGATTTTAATGAATAGCCAAAACTGAGAACAGTTGGCTTAAGGGAAACCTGCAGGACTTGATTTCCAATTGTTTCCCTGCCCTTGTTTGTCCAGTCACATTGGTCTACTCAGTGTCCAGTGTCCATACCTATTCCTAACTCAAATTTTGTGGTTCTCATGGACTACACTATCTAACATGGCCCTACTGTTCTTGCCCCCTGTATCTTTTATTGCCCAGTTAATGACTTACTTTGTCTGCAAAGCCTCACTTTATTGCTCCAGCTCTCAGTGACTGCTTCTCCTGTAGTTTCCTCTATATGCTCATCTGTGAGAGAAGAAACAATGCTGTCTCCATCTTTATGTCCCACCGTGAGGAAAGTCTACCCGTGGCAGGTTTTTAGGAAATGCTTGCTGCTGCTCTTGCTGGCTGTGCTTTCCTTAGGGAAGTGAGTAGATTCCACTTTGTGGAGATGGCGAAGAACTGGAGAAACCCAAACTCTTATTCATCTGTATTTTTTTCTCCTACTATTTGAGGCATTTTTAGAGGGAAGGTGAGAGTCCAGGATGTTGCAGAGGTATCCTACAGTGGTGGGATTTTCTATTGTACCATGCTTACTTTACGCCCATGCCATGTGTGAGTAGGTGCTAGATGAGGAGCAATGTTCGTTACAATGAAAAATAGCTTATGTCCAAAATCACTGCCCTGGTAGGGGCCTGGAACAGTCCATAACTTGGATATGCACCTGTAGTTTCTAGATCTCCACTGGAATCTTCTAAATATCACTCAACGTTCCCTTATTTGGAAAAGGGATCTTAACTCTAGCCCAAAGCTCATGTGAACCACTTTTATATTCATTCATTCATCTATCCACCACTCACTGGTTGAGCACTTTGTGTGCCAAGGACCCTGTTAGTCTCTGTGAAGCTCCCGTTAGGCCTGTCTGCTAACTAAGTGCCTACAACTTTCAGAGCTAGGATTTACAGAGTAACAGAATACTACCTTCTTACAAAGTTTTTTTCTTCATTTTATTTTAAACTCATTTAAATTTTATTAATGAAACACTTCAGCTAAATTGTGCAGGCTAAACACATTTAGAAAAACAAAACTTTTACCTAAAATAAAAAAGATGTAATCTTTATGAATGTTTACAACAGTGAGGTAAATAGATCCATATTCATGCAAACACAGAATTATAAATACAGTGCAAATGCACATATGATATGTGTTGCTAATGCATATGCAGACCCTTGTAACATGTCCATTTCAACACTAAATATTTAAAGTCTTCTTAAAGATGCCAACAAGTTGCTAATTCATGGTAATTTCATTCTTCTCTAAAACCTTATAACAGTTCCAAATATAACTGGTACATAATTTTCAGTGTGGATATTGAAGCCTCAAGTTAGAAATTGCATAATTACTGTGTAATTATGTGGCTTTTGGTATGTATACACACTGAGTGGCTGAAGAAGGGCTTGGTTCATTTTGTACGCTTATAAACTATTCACCTGCTTTGCTGGCTTTCTTGAATTTGCATTCGTATATTCAAATAATACCTCATTTTATGAGCATTTGCCCATAGCCAAAAAAAAAAAAAAAAAAGGAGTCTAATGAAAACACAACCGAGTCATTGGTCTGTTTTACAATGTTCCCGAAACATGAATCTCATTTCTAACCTCTAGATCTTTTGGTGACATAATCATTTCACTTGAATTTTGGAAGCAGAGCCTGTTTTTTTTTTTTTTTCTTTCCGACTTTTATTTTAGGTTCAAGGGGTAGATGAGCAGGTTTGTTACATCAGCAAAGTGCATGTTGTGTGTGCTTGGTGCACAGATAATGTTGTCACCCAGGTAATCGGTATAATACCGACAGGTAGTTTTTCAACCCCCACCCCACTCCCGCCCTCCACCACCATGTAGACCCTGGTGTCTATTGTTCATTCCCTTCTTCATGTCCATGTGTACTGAATATTTGGCTCCCACTTATGAGTGAGAACATGCAGCATTTGGTTTTCTGTTCCTGCCTTAATTTGCTTAGGATTATGGCCTCCAGCTCCATCTGTGTTGCTTCCAAGGACATGACCTCATTATTTTTTACGGCTGTATAGTATTCCATGGTGTATATGTATCACATTTTCTTTATCCAGTCCACTGTTGATGGGCACCTGGGTTGATTTCATGCCTTTTCTATTGTGAATAATGCTGCAATGAACATATGCATGCATGTGTCTTTATGGTAGAACAATTTATATTCCTTTGGGTATATACCCAGTAATAGTATTGCTGGGTTGAATGGTAGTTCTATTTTAAGTTCTTTGAGAAATCTCCAGACTGCTTTCCACAGTGGCTGAACTAATTTACATTCCCACCAGCAATGTATAAGCATTCTCTTTTTTCTGCAACCTTGCCAGCATTTGTCATTTTTTTTTCTGACTTTTTAATAGTAGCAATTCTGACTGGTGTGCGATAGTATCCCATTTTGGTTTTGATATGCATTTCCCTAATGATTAATGATATTGAGCATTTTTTTATATGCTTGTTGGCTGTGTGTATGTCTTCTTCTGAGAAATGTCTGTGCATGTCCTTTGCCCATATTTTAATTGGATTTTTTATTTTTTGCTTGTTGATTTAAGTTCCTTATAGATTCTGGATATTAGACTTTCGTCAGATGCATAGTGTGCAAATATTTTCTCCCATTCTGTAGGTTGTCTGTTTACTCTGTTGATGGTTTCCTTTGCTGTGCAGAAGCTCTTTAGTTTAATTAGGTCCCACTTGTCAATTTTTGTTTTTGTTGCAATTGTTTTTGGAGTCTTCATCATGAAGTCTTTGCCAGGGCCATTGTCCAGAATGATATTTTCTAGGTTTTCTCCTAGGGTTTTAATAGTTTTACATTTAAGTCTTTAATCCATCTTGAGTTGGTTTTTGTATATGGTAAAAGGTAGAGTTCTAGTTTTCATCTTCTGCATATGGATAGCCAGTTATCACGGCATCATTATTAAATAGGGAGTCCTTTCCCCATTGTTGCTATTGTTGGCTTTGTCAAAGATCAGGTGGTTTTAGGTATGTGGCTTCGTTTCTGGGTTCTATAACCTATTCCATTGGTCCATGTGTCTGTTTTTGTACCAGTACCGTGCTGTTTTAGTTACTGTAGCCTTGGATTATAGCCCTTCATATAATTTGCATCTACTCTCAAGTTCTTGTTTATGTATTCTTTCCTAGGCAAAGTAACCTCATTTCCAGCCATGTTCTTGATATCATGTGTTTCAGTTCCTTTACCATGCTTTTTTCTAAAAGCATCATGGATGAAGTGTTGTTTCTACTGCCAAAGGATTCTCGGAAGAATTGAGTTTGGTCAAGGTCCTCAACTTCACTGGAATCTGCCCCCATGGACCATCCTTTTTCAAGGGTCTCACCCTTTCCCATTCAATACCTTAACAGTAATACAAGAGATCCTATAAGCTTATGATACATTTTGTGTTGTATTTCAGATACCTTTAGGATTAGATTTTTGGTTTAGTTTTCTGAAATCTCTAACTGTGGTTACAGGAGATAGGGTTTCTTTTAGTTTAGAAGCATTCTGGCTCTTTAACCAGACATATAACTGGATATTTAAAGCCCTAAGTTCATCATTTCTGCTCCCTCACCAAGTTCTCCATCACTCTTAGGAACAACATACCAACTCTCTGTTTTTACTAAAATATTCTAAGGCAGCAGCTAGTTGGTCACCCAAAGACCTTCTCTTCCATAGGCACTTGACTCCAGGTGGTACAGATGATAATTTAGGGAATAATTTTCCACTTCATGCTGTGGATTAGCAGTGTCCCTTTTACCACTGACAATTTGGCCATTAATGCCTTTTAATCGAGTCAGATTAGAAAACCAGGGGCTAGATTTAGGGAAGAGACTACAAATATCTAGGGTATAAAACATAAGGAGCACTTGCACCACCCTGAGAGTGAGTGTCTCCTTAATGTTTGCATCTAAGTAACTCACTTGTCTTACCCTAGTCCCTAGTCCATACAATCAATTCCAGATTTCCAGTTGTAAAGTTTTGTGTTGCTGAAACCACCTCAGTTTTCCATTGCTACACAACAAACCACCTAAAAATTAGTGGTTTTTCAAACAGCCATTTATTTATTCATGATTCTGTGGGTTGGCAATTTGGACTGGGCTCACTCATGCAGTTTCAGATAATTGGTGGGTTTTCTAGGAAGTGGCTGGTCCAGATGGCCCCTTCATGTATCTGGGGCACAACTGGGACTCATCTAGGGTGGCTGCAGCAGTTGTGAATGCTGCTTTTCTCTATCTCTACTTGTCTTTCTTATCACGTAATGTTTTATCCCTAAGGAGGCTAGCCTGGGGTCTATTCATAGAGTGGCAGTGTTCTAAGAGGGTACGAGGTAAGAATGAAAACTGTACCTTGCAATGATGAGGGTAGAAACACTAAGAAGCTAAAGAAGACAAAAAATAAAAAACAAATTTCTCTTGCTCTTCACCTTGGAAGTTGCAAGGTCATCCCAGATGAAAGAGGTGTAGAAATTAGACTTTCTGCCTTGGTGGTAGGAACTTCAAAGGATTTGTAGCCATTTTTACACCCTCCCTCCTGAGTATATCCTCTGGCCACACTTATTTACATTCCTCGCATATATGAAATATATCCATTCTCTCTAAAGAGTTCCACAGCCTCATCCCATTTTGGCATAGGCTTGAAGTCTATTATCTCACTGTCTGCATTAGGTCTAGTTGGAGATGAGATTCTTCTAATGTGTCTCCTTATGGGTGGTTGCTCTTGATCCAGAGTCCTATGAACTAAAAAGACAAAGACTCTTTCCCTCACACACCCCACATACAATAGTGATATTAGGAAAGGATAACTGCAAAAGACATGCATATTCAAAAAGGAGGGGTTCGGAAGGTAAATAGCATTAGCTGATCCATAGAAATTCTGGAATCCAGCAGGGTACATGTCAGAGCACCCTACTCCGGTAGTAAAATATGTTTCTTGACTAGGGTTCAGTTCTGCTCCCTGAGTGTGCTTCTCTAACTCACTGTTCTCCTTTGCTCTTCATTTCTTTTTTTTTTTTTTTCAACAGAGCTCTCTGAGGTCTTTCTTTTTTTGATAAGTGATGGCCTGTGTATGCGGATGAGCATATTATCAGTCTATTTCTGCATAGAAAATTTCAGAGCCAGCCATTATCCTTAACTAATGCAGGAGCAGAAAACCAAATAGTGTATGTTCTCACTTATAAGTGGAAGCTAAATAATGAGAATACGTGAACATATAGAAGGGGACAACACACACTGGGGCCTGTCGGAGGGTGAAGGATGGGAGGAGAAGAGGATCAGGAAAAATAATTAATGGGGACTAGGCTTAATATCTGAGTGATAAAATAATCTGTACATTGAACCCCAATGACACAAGTTTACCTATGTAACAAACCTGCACATGTACCCCTGAACTTAAAAGTAAAGTTTTAAAAAAAGAAAGTTTTGGAACCAGAGGGCTCTTTTCATTTTGAATGGTTTCCCTTTTGTTTCAGCTCATTTTTGTAGTGCTTTACTTAGTACAAGTCTGTTACAATTTTTTTGAGTTTCCTATATACCTTATTAGTCCATGTCCCAAAGCCGTATCAATATGTGTTTTTGAGAAATACTTTTATCTTATGGTGCAAATATGAGTCTTATTGGTCGATATCCTTAAGATATTTAACTCTCATTTTGCTAACTGAGGGAACCTATTAGTCACTAACTTAAATTTTCCTGAGGTCTTAATAAAGCATCTTATAACCACATGCTTAGTTTGATTATTACCCTGAGGCCAATTCTTAATTTTAGAATGTTTTACTGGTTCAAAAGACTAGGGGAATGTGAAACAGTTTTATTTTACAATTCAGTAAATCCTGAGATGTGCATACATGCACACATACATGTGCACATGCACACACACAAAGTGTTTGCTCATACCAGTACTGTTTGCATATAGATGAAAAAACTTCTGCTTGAACATTGGTCATTTTTCTCTTTAGTTCTTATCTCTGTTAATGCACCTTATTGTATGTAGATAAAAAGATGCCAAATGAGGCTTTCAAAAGTCTGTTTGGAGGCTGGGCATGGTGGCTTACGCCGGTAATCCAAGCACTTTGGGAGGCCAAAATGGGAAGATCACTTGAGTCCAGGAGTTTGAAACCAGCCTAGGCAACAAAGTGAGACATTGCTTCTACAAAAAAAATAGGAAAAAATTAACCAGGTGTGGTGTTGTGTGCCTGTGGTCTCAGCTACTGAAGTGGCTGGGCTGGGAGGATCACTTTAGCCTGGAGGGTTGAGGCTGCAGTGAGCTGTGATTGTGCCACTGAACTCCAGCCTGGGTGATAGAGCAAGACCCTACCTCAATTAAAAAAAAAAAGAGTCTGCTTGGAAATCTTTTTAGGCAGGTCCACTAGATTATTAGGTATATAGTCTGTCTTCCAAATTACCACAAGTGACAGCTTTGCCAATTGTTTCACTATTATATGATATGTTTTGCTCCTTATCTGCCCTCCAAGAACAATTTGATCACTGCTCTTTTAGTCCCTGAAAACAATGTCCTAATTGCTCTTCCAACCTCTGCTTGCTTGCCAGTCTCAAAGGCAATGCCACATATTTTATGTTTTATGTTACGGCAGCTTTTGACTTTTATGCAAAATTTTCTTTATTGGCCAGGGACAAGTCAGGGAAGCAGAGCTCCTGTGAGTGTTTGGATAAGGGATTGGTTATAGGAATTAGACTTTATACAATTGTGGAAGGAGCTGATGAAATGAAGCTCCAGAAAGAGGGCTGACGTATCAGAGAAATGTGTCACTAACCGATCTTTTTGAAGCATCGGTGCAACCGGACAAGCTGGAGCTTGCAGGGGTACTCAAGAAGGCAAACATGACCAGCCACTGAGGTAGGACTATGAGGAAGCAGCTCACAGTGAAATTAGCGAGTAGTTGTTGCCTCTGTGTAGCTACTGCATGTGTGACTCTCCCAGCAGTGTCTTGACAGTAAGCCTGGGCTGCTGTTGTTCAACAAAGCCTGGGGTATGGAAGAAGAATTGGACATGAATAGAAGAGTAAGGATAAACTGGAAACCACTGGATCTCTGTGTCTGTCTGTGTGTCTGACCACAATATGACCTTCAAAGAGTAATGCTCATTATTCAACCTCTGCTACTCAAATCTCACACAAGTTCCTCTTTTAACTGACCTGAACTCAGAATCATATTAAGAAGGAATTCTAGGACACAAAGTTTCTAGTTTAACAAGTTGACAATAGAACAATCCAGCATAAATACATTCATATCTTATGCCATTAATAGTTACTACATGAACACAGAATTAGAAAATTTTGATGCTCTCTTATTATTTTTTCCCAACTGCACAGTCTTTTCCCCCTTTTTGATTATCTAGGCATCAATTTTATATAGCTTATTTTTCCCACTGGAGAAAAATTAATGTCCCTTATAAGAGCACTGTT
Source organism: Homo sapiens (assembly GCF_000001405.40). Lineage (NCBI taxonomy): Eukaryota > Metazoa > Chordata > Mammalia > Primates > Hominidae > Homo > Homo sapiens. The sequence goes on along the minus strand of NC_000001.11, from coordinate 60,835,263 downwards.
TAAATAGCCCATAAATTTTAATAGCACCAACAGTGGCTTTCTGTGTATCAAGTACTGTCTGCTGGTACCCACTTAATTTTAGGAATGTCAGAAAGAGCCTCTTATTGTACATTAATGGAAAATTAAATCATCTTACAGGGAGTTTCCTTCTTTTCCGATTATTTTTCTGGGAGAAAGCTGTATTTATTTTATTGTAACCAATTCTTCCTTTGATCTAAAGTATTCCAAAGCATTTGATGCTTTTCCTACTATCTTTTTTTTGTGGTGAAAATTCAGCCTGCACTGAAGAACTTCCTTATACTCTAGTAGCAATTTCAGAAAAACTACTTTAGTGCTTGAAAGGACCTCAGAGAACATCTAATATAATTCATGAATTTTTTAGATGAGGAAACTCCAGACCTGGGTGGCAAACTAATCCCAGAAAGTAGGTATTACCATTCCATTTTACAAATGGAGAAAGACAGGATAACAAAAGTTAAACAAATTGCCCCAACTCACACAGCTAGTGGGTGGTGGGGCTGGGATATAGCCCAGATGTGTTTGCTTCAAGTGTTCTTTTAACTAAACCATTTCACTTGAACCACGGGGCCATCATTTAAGCTCCTGATATAACACAGTTGTATTTTGTGCAGTGCAAAGGATCAGCCCATGAACCCTTAACTTAGGGATGGCAAGAGTAAAGGTAAGCATTTTGGAAGTGTTTACTTTTCTCCCTTCTAGAGTCCTTCCTCTTTTTAGCTCCTTCTAAATAGGTAACGTATGATGGCTGATTTGAACACTATCCTGGACACTAAATTATTGTCACCTAGGGTTGCTCTTGTTCTAGCTATCCTTTGACTATCTCTTATGGTGTCCTGTATTCCTTCTTTAGGCTTCTAAAATCAGAGTAGATTGCTTATTTAAGGTCTGAGGCTACTTTTATGCTAGAGTTAGTTCAACAGTTCTCCCAGAAAACATTTTGGTATCCACGTTTCGAAATAACTAACCCTTCTCTGAACATAGCACCTTTCATCTTTTATTGTAATAATTAAATTAGTTTCCTGTCTGTAGCTCAGACTGTGAACTTCTTTAGGGCAGGCATTTTGTTTTCCATTTTTGCCTCCCCAAGATTAAGATGGTGCCTGACTCCAAGTGTATGTTAATAAATATCTATCAAAGTGAATACGTGTGGAGGATCCTCTCTGTTGGAATCAGTCTGATAAGTGTTATAAGCATAGTGCAGTGTTCACACTTAAAAGTTTTATGCTGTCAGAACCTCCTCATTCTATTGATGAAGAGACTAAGATCAGGGTTGAAATGAATGACTCAAAATTACACATCTATATTTTAAGAAAATTGAGAATAGAATTCTGGATGATTCTTATCCTATAGGATCTTCTTATGGCATCTGTGTTTTTCAAACACTTTTTTGACTGTGAAAGTCTTTGAATGAAACAGTATCAGCCCACCACATTACATGGTTAGAAGTAGAACTGCTCTAAAGGTTGTAGTTAGTGTAGGGGGTGAGGGAGACAGAAGGCCCTGGACAGCACCTGCTGCTGTCACCACCCCATCCTCTGCCTCCACCCCTGGGGTCTGCAACCCACGAAAGGGTTCCATGGAATACACTTTGAAAAACACTGTGCTACATTGTGCCCGTTTGCTTTCTCCTTTAGCTCTATAAATAGCTAAACAAATTCACAAAGGAACAAAACAAAATCACACACTCCCCCTGCTGTCTATGACCCCTCCTCTAAGCAGGAAGTTTTGCCCACTTGGTAACCCCAGTGGGGATCAGAAGAGTGAGTGTCATTTTCAGTCCAGCAGTACAAAGTGCCCATTCTTGCACTTTTATGGAAGGCAGTGCAGCCGGGCGGGTCTCCCACGACACATCTGCAGGGCTATATCTCACAGGAAGTAGTGCAGCTCTTCAGAGATAAGTTTCACTGGGGAACAAAGAGGGATTTTGTTCACTGCTTCAAGAATGATGCATTGAACCTGGGCCTGGCTTTTCAATTCATGCAGCTAGAAACAAGGCAAAAATGACCCAGCATGCTTCTTCCTTCTTCTCAAGTCAGGCAGAGTCATTTCCAAATCACCCTCCTCCTGCTGTCCAAAGACATTGAGAAAGCATTCTCTTTCCATTTCTGTACCAATCACCTCAGCTACCCCCACCGTACTCCCTGAAATCAATCTTGAACATTTACAAAGTTGTGTTTATTTCACACATTTTTCCTCTTTTGGGAATCTGGGCTGTTCACTCTGTTGAGATTAAGATGTCTCAAATTGTGGAAGCCATTGTTAAGGATTTCTGAACCTATTACTTGTAGCAAAGTACCACAGAGCCATGGTGTTAGAGCTTTTTTGTTTTTGGAAAAGCATGCTTGTGAGTCAAGACAGACTTGGGTTTGATGTCAATATTCCCTTTGACTAGATATTTGACTGTGACCTTGAGCAATTTGCAAACTTCTCTGACTTTCCTCATTTGCAAAATGGGAATAACGATATCCCAGCTCCCACTTTGAAGTAGAAAACGGAATCTCAGAGAGGTAGAGTGCTTTGCCCGATGTCCACAACAAGTTAGTGCCAAGGATAGCTGGGCAAGGCTTGTTATGTGCACTTAGGAAGCTGTACTGGCTGGTGAAGCAAACATATGACTCTCCACTTTGTGTCTGTATCTCAGCTTTGGAGGCACAGATCTGACCACATTTGAATTTCAAGAAGCCATACATTTCCTGTGAGATAATGAGGTGTGGTATTGAGGCAGGCAGGATTTATATGGCAGTTAAATGTAGTTTGGTATCAAAAATATGATTGCATTATTCACTGTGGCATAGCAAAGATCACCTCTGCCCCCTTGCTTTTGGCTGGATCAGCAGATGTAGACCACGATTAAAGAAACACTGTCAAATAATTCTTTATAGTTTAATTTTCCTCTTACTCTCCATTGCTTGCAATGCCCTTGCCTCTGGGAAGAGTGGCAAAGTAAATACGGCTTTTCTTACTGGTTTTGTCCTTCTTGCTTTTAGAGAGTGATTTAAGAATTCAGATTGGTCCTGGATTATCACCTTTGGTGTGTCGCACATGAGAATGGGTTAGCTAAATAGGGACTGAGAATCTGCATTTGAAACAAACCAAAGGCCTTTGGGCAGCTGAGGCGGTGCTGGGATGGGGAGACCACCACTCCCCTGAAGCAGCCAGTTTTATTTCCAGAATGCCTTCATTGTTAGACGCCAACGCTTTCAAAGAATCAGAGAAGTTCCATGATGGGTTGGGTCAAATGTGGAGCTTTCAGTCCCAGGATGTAGTTAAACATAAACTAAATGTTCCCTTTTAAAGGAAGCTATCAAAGGGATTCCTGCTGGAGACTAGGCTGTCCTGAGTTTAAATATTAATTTTGCCACTTCTAAACTCTGTAAGTCTTAGTTTCTCATATGTAAAATGGGGCTAATAATGCTTACCCTATTGTGTTGTTCTGGGGGATAAAGTGAGACAGTCTGTATTAAATGCCTAGCAATAAATGTAGTTCTCTATTTACTACTTTTTTTTTTTGAAACAGGGTCTCCATTCTATTGCCTAGGCTGGAGTGCAGTGGTGCAGTCATGGCTCACTACAGCTCGACTTTCCAGGCTTAAGCAGTTCTCCCACCTCAGCCTCCTGAGTAGCTGGGACTACAGGTGCACACTACCACATCTGGCTAATTTTTGTATCTTTTGTAGAGATAGTTTCGCCATGTTCCCCAGGCTGGTTTAGAACTCCTGAGCTCAAATAATCTGCCCATCTTGGCCTCCTGAAGTGCTGGGATTACAGGTGCATGCCACTGCACGTGGCCTCTACTTACTTCTTTACAGGCATAGATATTTGATCTTTGAGTAAATTCCTTTATCAATGGAAAGATTTATAATGGAAAAGGTTCAGGAACTGTGGGAAATGGATGAAAAACTCATTTTGGGAATGCTAATATGAGCATGTATGTATGACGTCAAGACTCTATTGAAAAATGATCCTTCTCAGTGTTCTAGGTCAATGTAGAGTTATTTGATGCTCAGGAAAGCATCAGTGGTCCAGAGAGTTGAAGTTTTTGTTGAAGGAGGGGAGTATTTATATTAGCAGTGATACCATGGACTTGGATTAGTTTGGATGGTGAGGGTGGGATAGGGCAGCGTGGTGAGAGGCAAGGGTCTATGTTTTGGTGAAATTAGTAGAGTTTGATTCTTATAGTTCCTTATAATCTATACTTGGAATAATTAGAAAGAAGGAAAATAAATGGTTGGAGAAAGAAAAAGAGATATAAAAATGTGAAAAGTCAGAGTTTCTTTTGCTATAGCTAGGATACCCTGGGCAAGAAAGGGGAATGGGAGGTTAAGTTACACCTAGGGCTTGAAATCAAACTATTTGAAGGAGGGATCTGGGTCTTAGGTAAGAGGGACTGATATTTTATAGTTCAATCAATGTAAGCATTAATAATAAGAGCAGGGACAGAGTATACTGATCTATTCTTATAGAAGGTTTTCATGGGCTTAATAAGGGAAAGAAGGAAGAGCAAGGGGAGAAGGAGGTAAGAGTAGGAAAAATTTGAATTTTCTCTTCCATACATGACATTTACACAATACTTGATACATATTTATAAATTTAATTGAAAAAATTTGTTAGGTAGGTATTACTATCCCACTTACAGATAAGGACATTAAAGTTTAGAAGTAGGATATTGTTTAACGTCACAAAGCTAGAGGGTGGAAAAAATTGGCTTTGAAACTTGGTTTGCATAACCCCAGACCCTGTGTGCTTTCTATGGTTCCATGCTGCACCTGAGCTGTATAAATCCCTAGATTGGCTAAGAAGGCAGGACTAACAGTCTGTGGATTTGTGGGTGGTCCCCTGAGTGAAGAAAAACACCACTTTGTTTGCACCCTAGGTGACAAAGTTGCAGATGAGGGAGAGTGAAATCTATCCCCTTTTTGAGAAGACTTTTTCTCCCAGATCTGGGCTCCTCAAAGAGTGGTCCCTGGACCCTGTCAGTTTATAAGCCGTTACTGGTCTGCGATAAGAAAAAGACCTCGAGCCAAACTAAAAATCAACTTTGTAATTAAGCACACTGCTTGATTCTATTTATATACTTTTTGTAGCAAGACTTTTTGGATGAAAGAAGCAACGCATGGATTTACATTGTGATGTAATCGCCTTACCACATCTTGGCAATCTTTGACAGATTGGCTACTTAGCAAAGCACTATCCTAGAACCATCCCCTCACCAGGTCATGGCTAGCATTTTAGCTGATAGTCCCTCAGGGGCTCTGTACCTCTCTCTCTGTTTAACAACTTTACCCCAGAAGAGTACAGCTCACGTATGAATTGAGCCAGCAGCTGAGGGACTTCCAGAGAAACACAATTCAAGACTCTGGGAAATGGGAGATTTCAAAGGACACAGGCCTGTGTTATCCCTCAGAGGTCCTCACTTAGCCTCTCAAGTGAGCTGCTATTATGAACAAATTTGACATACTATAACCTAGCCTATGATTTTCCTACAATATCTTTCATTATTTTAGGAACAGGAGGAATCCAGGATTTAGAAGAAAGCTACTTTTTCCCCAAGGAATTTATTATGAGCTGATTAAAATTGAGAGCTGGTGGTGATCCTTCAAAATTTAAAAAGAAAGTATTTTCCTTAAGAAAACCAAAGCATCTCAAGACTTTGGTGTACTTTTGGTCAGAATAGACGCTTAGACTACCATATGAAAGGCAAACGATCTTATTTTCAGGGAATACAAAGGCGGAATGAAAGCAAATATATATCAGAGAGGTTCAGAGTTAAAAAGGATTTTGTATACAGGATTAAGAAACTGACTTCATCAAGATGACATTATTGGAGGAAAATATGTAAAGTCATTAACTGATATTGTCAAAACATATTTGTATCTTACGGGATTGGTTTACAATAGGTCATGCCTCCACTGCTCTTCCCTCTTATGCTCTAGCAAATTTCTGCTTGTGCTTCAAGATCTATCCTGAAGTTCACCTTTCCTGTGATGTCTTCTAGTTTCCCAGGGAAAACATCTATCATTGGTATTCCTGCATTGCAACACCCTCCACAGGCAAACTTTATATTGACCATGTTTTTCCTCTGCTGATTTGTGAACTCCATGATCCAGGGTTAGTGACCTATTTACCTTTGCACTTCTCGCCCTAAGCACAGTGCTTGACCCAGAATGTACACAGTGAATTGGCTCTACTGCTCTGTAGGTTAAAAGCGTGAACTGAATACCGAAATAATGCCTGGGTTTGCATCCTGGATCTGCCACTTATTATGTAACTGTGAGTGGGTTGGTCATTTAACCTCTCTATGCCACAGTTTCTTCACCTCTTCACGGAGGGTAATAATTGTACCTATAGTGTTTGAAGACACAATGCGATAAACAATACATATAAAACACCTAGGACATACCTGGAAAACAATAAGAGCTTTAGAAACGTTAGTGATCATGTTGTTGTTGATAATGAGACTCTAGAGGGCAGAATTAGGATCAGTGATTAGTACTATCAGGGTAAGAAATAACTTTCTAACAAGGGGTGGGGATATCTGAAGGCTGAGTAGTTTGCCTTAAAAAGTAGTGGGCTACAGTTTTAAAATCAGTGTGGTGGCTGGGCGTGGTGGCTCATGCCTGTAATCCCAGCACTTTGGGAGGCCGAGGTGGGTGGATCACGAGGTCAAGAGATCGAGACCATCCTGGCCAACATGGTAAAACCCCGTCTTTACTAAAAATACAAAAATTAGCTGGATGTGGTAGCGCGTGCCTGTATTCCCAGCTACTCGGGAGGCTGAGGCAGGAGAATTGCTTGAACACTGGAGGTGGAGGTTGCAGTGAGCCAAGATCGTGCCACTGCACTCCAGCCTGGCAACAGAGGGAGAATCCCTCAATAAATAAATTAATTAATTAATTAATAAAACCAATGTGGTAATACCATAGGGATAGACATATAGATCAGTGGTACAGAATTAAGAGTTTAGGAATAAGCCCATACGCATATGGTCAATTAATTGTTAGCAAGGGTGCCATGAATACTTAATAGGAAAATAACAGCCTTTTCAACAAATGGTGCTGGGACAACTGTGTATCCATGTGAAAAAAAGTGAAATTAAATTCTTACCTAGCACTATATACAAAAATTAAGTCAAAATGGATCAAAGACTTAAATGTAGGAGCTGAAACTATACAACTCTTAGAAGAAAACATGGAGTAAACTCCCTGACCTTGGCTTTGGCACTGATTTCTTAGACATGACACCAAAAGTATAAGCCATACAAGAAAAAATGGATAAATCTGACTTCGTCAAAATTAAAAACTTTATTGAATCAAAGGACAATATCAAGACAGTGAGAAGACAGAATGGAGGAAAATATTTCCAAATAGTATACCTGTTAAGGGTCAAATATCAGCTGGGCGTGGTGGCTCAGGCGTGTAATCCCAGCACTTTGGGAGGCCAAGGGTGGTGGATCATGAGGTCAGGAGATTGAGACCATCCTGGCTAACACGGTGAAACCCCGTCTCTAGTAAAAAAATACAAAAAAGTAGCCGGGCGTGGTGGCGGGCGCCTGTAGTCCCAGCTACCTCAGGAGGCTGAGGCAGGAGAAAGGCGTGAGCCCGGGAGGCGGAGCTTGCAGCGAGCCGAGATTGTGCCACTGCACTCCAGCCTGGGCGACAGAGGAAGACACTGTCTCAAAAAAAAAAGGGACAAATATCCATAATATATAAAGAATTATAACTCAACAACAAAAGCAAATGTCCCAGTTAAGAAAATGGGGAAAAGGCTTGAATACACATTTCTCCAAAGGAGATATCTCAATGGCCATGAGCACATGAAAAGATGCTTGATGTCATTAGTCATTAGGGAAATGCAAATCAAAACCACAATGAGATACTCCTTCACACACACTGGGATGGCTATAATTAAAAAAACAAAACAAAATGGAAAATATCAAGTGTTGGTGAGAATGTGGAGAAATTGGAACCTTCATCCATTGCTGATGGGAATGTAAAATGGCACAGCTGTGGTGGAAAACATTTGGTGGTTCCTCAGTAAGTTAACCATAGAATTCCCATATAAACCAATAATCCTGCTCCTAGTTACATACCTAAAATTATTGAAAACAAGTGTTTAAAAATGTGGTATATCCATAAAGTGGACTATTATTCAGCCTTAGAAGGAATGAAGTACTGATACATGCTACAACATGGGTGAACCTCGAAAGCATTATATTGAGTTATAGAAGTTAGATAAGAAAGCCACATATTGTATGATTCTATTTATATGAGCCATCTAGAATAAGCAAATCATAAAGACAGAAAGCAAATTATTGGCTGAGGGAATGAAGAATGGGGAGTGGCAGCTTAATGAGTATGGAGTTTCATTTTGGGATGATGATAATTTTCTGCAACTAAATAGTGGTAATGGTTGTACAAACTTATGAATGTACTAAATGCCACTGAATTGTTTGTTTTAAAATGGTTACCTTTGAACCTTTGTACATAGTTGGTGGGAATGTAAGTTACTATAAGCACTATAAAGAACAGTTTGGAGGTTCCTCAACAAACTAAAAATAGAGCTACCATATGATCCAGCAATCTCACTGCTAGGAATATACCCAAAAGAAAGGAAATCAATATATTGAAGAAATGTCTTCACTCTCATGTTTATTACAGCTCTATTCAAAATACCCAAGATTTGGAAGCAACCTAAGTGCATATCAGCAGACAAATGGATAAAGAAAATGTGGTACATATACAAAATGGAGTACTATTCAGCTGTAAAAAAGAATGAGATCCTGTCATTTGCAACAACATGCATGCAACTGGAGGTCGTTATGGTAAGTGAAATAAGCCAGGCACAGAAAGACAAACATTGCATATTCTCACTTATTTGTGGGAGCTAAAAATTAAAATAATTGAGCTCATGGAGATAGAGAACAGAAGGACTGTTGCCAGAGGCTGGGAAAGGTAGTGGGATGGTGGGGAGTGGGAAGTGGGGATGGTTAGTGGGTACAAAAAACCAGAAAGAATGAATAAGACCTAGTATTTGCTAGCACAACACAGTGACTATAGTCAAACATAATTTAATTGTACATTTTGAAATGATTAAAAGGGTATATAATTGGATTGCTTGAAACACAAAGGGTAAACGCTTGAGGTGACAGATACCACATTTACCCTGATGTGATTATTATGTATTGCATGCCTATTATCAAAACAACTCATGGAACCCATAAATATATACACCTACTGTGTACCCACATACAAAAATAAATTGGTTATCTTTATGTGTATTTTACTGCAATAAAAAGAAGTAGTAAGCTTCTTTTTGCAGCAATTATTCAAACTGAAACTGAAAAGCCACCTATTGGGGGTGCTGTTCAGGGCACTTGCACAGGGTGCTGAAGCTTGGACAAAATGACTTCAAAGGAAGTCAGTGAATGTGAGTGAGCAAGGCCTCTGCCTGTGGTGTCAGGCAGGCTGGGAGCCAGGGTCCTGCATCCTGGCTCTGTGACCCTGGGCGGGGCTTAACCCTCTCTGAGCCTCCTCTGTAATGCAAGGACAATAATTACAGGGTTGTTGGAAGATTTATAGTGGGATCACAATGCCTGACACATGGTAAGTGCTCTGTAAAGGCCAATCCCTCTTACAGTTTTCAGATTCTGTAATTCCTTAAAAGGACCTTCCTCATAATCAAAACTACATTTTCAAAATAATTAAGAAGTGTTTGGGAGCTGTGAGAAGATCCCAGAAATCAGGGAAAATCCTTTTTCTCCCATCTTGTTCCTAAGGAAACCCACTGCCACGAGATCTGTTTTCCAGGCCTTGAATGCTTTTATTCCTCATATCTGGGTTTTCTTCTCTTTTCTCCAGCCTCTGCCTCTGAATGTGAAGGGAAACTGGACCAGCTCAGTGTCAAGCCTGTGAGTAGAACACCCTCTTAGTTCTTTCACAGTTGGTTTCTGGAAAACATCTCTATGTCCAGATTACTTTGTGGGTCTCAGCCCTCCCAGTGTTTTGGCTTCATGGTTTCTGTAATACTTCATTTCATTATGATGTGACTGTAAATGGTCAGTCACCTTCACTTTCTCTAGCTAATTACACCCACAAGGATTTCCACAGGCCTGTGGCATTTTCAAAGAGCTCACACTCATGGATTTGCCAGAAATCTACAATGGAAATTTTAAATACAGGCATTCTTTGACTTCTGAATGCCTAATTTACAAAGGTCAAATATCTATGGAAGCTTGGCCCTTGCTAGGCACAGAGCTGGGGCAGCCTTCTCCTTCTGTGGGTCCTGGAAAGGGAGAAAGAGTTTTGATTGCCATCTGTCTTTCCTTCTTCCTGTGGGGTCAGTGGCTGAGGAATTAGTGAAGGGGATTGGGAGGCAGGGGAAGGATGTGTTTTTGAGAACCCTGCATCTTCACAGGCATTGCATGATGGCCATACATGATAGAACCTGGAGTTTGGGTATCAGGACTGGGTCAGAAATCTGGCTCTATCTTTAAACATTTATCTTTTATGACTGTGTTTCCCTGGAAAATTACGTAACTTCTCTAGGCTTCAGTTTCTTCATCTATGACATGGAAGATAAATATATTTATATTGAGGGATAATGGCAAAGATTAGATAAAATATGTATGACAGTACCAATAATAATGGACTTTTCTTTCTTTCTTTTTTTTTTGAGACAGTGCTTGCTCTGTCACCCAGGCTGGAGTGCGGTAGCATGATCTTGGCTCACTACAACCCTTGCCTTTTAGATTCAAGTGATTCTCGTGCCTCAGCTTCCCGAGTAGCTAGGACTATGGACTACCACCATGGCCGGCTAATTTTTGTATTTTTAGTAGAGATTGGGTTTCATCATATTGTCCAGGCTGGTCTCAAACTCTTGGCCTCAAGTGATTTGCTCACCACGGCCTCCCAAAGTGCTGGGATTAAAACCATGAGGCATCGTGCCCTGACAATAGCATTCTTTTATTGAGTACTCACTATGTGCCTGGAATTATTCTCTGTGTTTTAAGGTAATAACTTACTTACAACAACACTAAGGATCCTACTTTAATCCCTGTTATGTGGATGTGGGAGCCGAGGCCCACATAAGGGAAGGGCCTTGTCTCATGTTCAGAGCTGGGAAGTGTTTAGTGACAGGAGTCAAACCTAGGTAATCCAGTCCTAGTGCTCATAGTATGCTAAGCTATACTGCCTTCTCTTTTCTTCATACAAAAGCTAAATTCTCACTATTACATGGCTTTCAAAATAGTTGTTGACAGGAGAAAGAGAGGGAGTCGAGATGTAATTCTGATGTTGCTGAGATTTCTAGATATTGCCTCAATACTGATCTATGTCAACACCGTGACTGGCTTGGCTTTTGTGGGCCTTACTGGAGATCCAACTTTTGTTCATAAAATTCTTTTTATGGGAAAATGCCTTTGACATTCTAGAGAACAGATTCACATGGGATACTTTTCACTAGTATTTACAGTAGTACTAGTGGTATAGTAACAATTGTCTTTACTCTTAGTGAAGGACAATATACTTAACATCTTTTTTTTTCTTTTTTTTCCTTTGCTTTCTTAAAATGTTTAGTATGAGAGGCAGGGGGAATTGGAAAATTGGTTTTGTTTTTCTTTTCTAAAAGCAGAAAACAGTGTAATTAGTGGGAAATTTACTCATAATCTTGATCTTTAAAATCTTCTGCCCTTTCATTCCATTAAGATTGCCTTTTTTTTTTTTTAAAGAAGGAAGAAAAGAGGCATAAATAGCCAGGCTACTAAATTCTCTTTAATGACTAAAGCTAATAAGAAATGGTTCTGGTATTTCATCCAGCCTCTCAAATAATGGCTCTGTTGTTTTGATCTCAGAAGTGTAAGGGAAGCTTTATATTCAGGGATGGGCGTCCCTGTCTCAGGCACCTGAGAGACTGCATTATATATTTGAAAACCATTTTACAATGTCCCTTCCCAGAGTGTGAGGCCATTGATGCTTTGATGTGGTTAAGTAATTTAGCACAATCATGTAATAGATTAAATTAGATTTCAGCTTCCTTGAAAGTTTTGAAGAGTACACATGAAATGAGTGTATATCCACAATCTTGGAGCACTGGGAGCATTTTCCATTTTTTATTTTTTATTTTTCTACAGGCTTCCTTCCCTTAATCTTGAATAGAAGCAGAGGAGAAATTGCTGAATTTCATTCTGTAGTATCCCTGCTTGAGTGGGAGAAAAGAAATGCATGTAGGGAAGAAAAGAGGGAGATATTTTCTAAGATAGAGTGGAAGAAGCTTTTTCATTTTCCATAAAATAAGTATTATGTGGTGGTGGGAGGGAACAGAGGCAAGAACAAAGACTTCAGAAGGATTTGTAGAGGCAGACATGAGTTTTAGTCTTGAGTCTACAGTTTTTTTTTTTGTTGTATTATTTCATTTCCCCGAGCCTGTTCCTAATTCTGTAAAATTGAAGTCATAATATTAAAGTTGAAAATGAGATGATGTAGATAAAGTGGTGGACATAATGCCGGTCAGAGTCAACACTTAATACATGGTTGTTTGCTTTCCTCTGATTTCAATTTAGTCAGTTACATATTGAATATTTATTAATAAATCATATCAATATGTATTGAATATTTATTTTGAAACACACACTTGAGTGCTGTATAAGTTTGACTAGACACATCAAACTATGCACCTGATATTTTCAGGGAATTAGAGTAGCCCAAACTTAAAATATTCCCAAATGAACTCATGGTCCCCACTTTTGCTAGTATTGCTTAGCTCAGCAAATGGTACTATCTTCACCTGACTGCTTCACCTTCTTTTCCTAAGAAAACTAGGTATCACCCATGAGTCACTCCCTGTTCCTCACCCCTTATAACCAATTCGTCATCATATACTGTCAGTTTCTTCCAAAATATTCTCAGATCCATTAATTTCAGAGCAATGTCTCCAATTTCACTCTTAGTAGCTGCATCCAAGCAATCTTTATCTCTTTCCTGAGTCATAGCAATAGCCTTATACTTCTTCTTCCTGCATATATTCTCATCTTTCTCCACCTATTCTTTAAAGAGAGAGCTTTCATAAATGTAAATCTTACCATGTTACTCCTCTGCTCAAAAGCTTTTACTACTTTTTTATTGCTTTAATGAAAAAGACAAAATCTGTTTTGTTAATCACTGTGTACTAGGCACCTAATATTAATGCATTGCATATATATCAATTCGATAAATATTTGTTAAATAAGTGATCCCTTTTTTCAGCATCCATCTGGCTGCTTTTAATGGCAAAACCCACAATTACCTTTTCACCAACCTGATAGAGTCATCTCATCCACTGCTACTCGATATGCTATGTTTTTCACATATATAAACCTGCAAGGACGATAGTATAATTTCTGCTTTAAGTCTTCACATATAAAACAATTAAGAGGAAAAACAATCTTTGATATTTACCCAGGCATTTAGTACTTCCAATGATCTTCATTCCTTCCTGAAGATCTGAGTTTTCATGTTATTGATAGCCCTCAGTCTAAAAAGCTTTTTGAGAATTTCTTTTAAAATGACAAATTATCTTAGTTTTCTATCTAAAAATGTCTTTATTCTGCCCTCATTCTTGAAGGATATTCTTGCTAGGTTAGGATTCTGGGTTGGCATTTATTTTTTTTCAGCACTTTAAAGACACTGATACACTCTCTACTGGCTTCCATTATTTCTAGTGAGAAGTTAGCAAACATCTGAATCATTTTTGCTTATATGCTATGTGTCCTTTTTCTCTAGCTGCTTTCAAGATTGTCTTGCCTTTGGTTATTAGTAGTTTAACTATGATATGCTTAGGTGAGATTTTCTTCATATTTATTCTGCTTTGAGTTGATTGAGCTCTTGAATCTGTAAATTTATGTCTTTCAGGAAATCTGGAGAAATTTCAGTCATTATTTTCTCACGTCTTTTTCTGTGTGGGTTGTCTTCTCTTGCAACTCTAATTACATGTATGTTAGATAATTTGATATTTGTCTATAGGTTTTTAGGATTTGTTTGCTTCTCTTTTTTGTCTTCTTCAGATTGGATATTTTCTGTTTATCTTCAAGTTGGCAGACTCTACTATATTCTCCACTCTGCTATTATGTCCATACTGTAAATTTTTAAATTTCAGATATTGTGTTTTCAGTTCTATGATTTCCTTTTTTTTAACAGTTTTTATTAATTTTCTATTTTTATTTATTATGAGCATATTTTTCCTTATATGATTGGGCACAAATTATGATAGCTTTTTAAAATAATTGCTTTCTAATTCCAACTTCTGGGTCAGCTTGGGGTTGGTCTCTGTTGATTATGTTGTATCTTGAGAATAGATCACATTTTCCTGTTTCTTTGTATGTAGAATAATTTTGGAGTATATCTTGGACATTCTCACTGTTGTATTGTGCAGACTCTATTCTATATATTCTTCTTAAGGTGTTAAATTTTTGTTCTGAGAGAATGTTAACTTAATTGGGTTCAAATTGAAAAATGTGTCCCTTTGGAATCTATGCAAATTTTAGTTCAGTTCTATTATTCTTATTTTAGCTGTTAGTAGCTTGCCACAAGTGTGCATAATTCAGAAGTCAGCCAGACTTGGATGGAGTTTATATACAGAATTTGGGGCTTCCCACACTTGTTTTCTCCTTTTTGAGACCTCCCCCACTGACTTTACAGCAGTTATGGTTACAGTGAACTCTGTTCTCTAATTTTTCAGGACAGAAAGATGCTAGGTTTTCTTTTGGGATTTCTATCAGAGTTTTAGCTATGTAGTGGTGCCAACTGTGGCCTGCCCTCAGGGTCGATCTATTTTAAAAGTGATACTTATTATGCTGTTTCCTTCTCTATAGAACTTTTTTCTTTTGCTCACTCTCTGGTAACATGAGGTAGTTGTTTCTTCATATATTGTCTAAAGTATATAGTTATATGCAGAAGGCTTGGTGCAGTTGGAGCTTCTTCATCCATAAGAGAAAAAGAACCCTATATGGCAAATTTTGAACTACTCAAATTTGTGGGCAACACCAATCATCACCATATATTTAAAAAATTGTTGTGGTGTATACATCCGTGTTATCAGTGAAGTATAAAAAAACTGTTGTGGTGTATACATCCATGTTATCAGTGAAGTATGTATAATTCATATTTGAATTGTTGTGTATGCATGTCAAAGCTTTGTGTTAGACCATTTAGAAAAAAATGCATATATTCATTATTATATACTGCATGGTAAACCAAACAACCCACAATAGATTAAATTGATGTTGCTGTTAAATTAACAATAAATGATAATTACAAAATGAGATTGGCAGAAATAAAACCATGATCAACCCAACACAATGCTAGGAATTCAATGATGACAAAATTTCCTTTGTGTATCTGTAAATTTCAGTAATTATGAATTAACTGAGCTACAGTAGGGTGTAACATAGGCAAACATTTTGAGGAAATCAGCCTTCTTAGTAGAAAATGGAATTCATATCTTTGGGAGACTCTAGTGATATGCTGATTTTAATTTATGAATATTAGCATTTAAAACCTTTAACATCTTAGTAGATAACTTACTAGTAAGCTGGAGATACGTCAAATTTTCACCCTTAAGAACTACAGAAAAGACATGCACTTAAGGACTTTTTATAGGAATTAGTCGTTGGCCACTCATCTCTATCTTGAGAAACTCTAGGCACAGAGGTATTTGCTCATTTTGGCACATTTTCCTTGCTCTTGGCTATGGAGATGAGCTAGGTCAAGGGGCCACTTTCACTGCACAGGCCTGAGAAGAACTGAGGTGGGTGGGGTCAGGCAAACTATGTTCTAGACAATAAAGCCAAATCTCTTTTGCTTTGGCTTTCATCTTAAGCTTAATTCTTATTGAATGCTCTCTGTAAGTCTTTCATTGACTTTGGAAAGAACCGAGAGTTGAATGTTAACTTGCAGTAAAAGCAGGCAAAGTAGGACAAAAATTGACAAAGAAGAGAAACTTCATATTGGCTCTGGAGTCAATTGCATATTTAAATATTTTAATACAACCTCACCACGTGGTCATGTGAAATTAACAAGTTACCTCACTTTGCATAGCCTCATTTTCTCATCTACAACAGAGGAACAGTTCTAGGAGGAGCCATCTAAAGATTTACTTGTAGAATTGAATAATATAATGCATGTAAGGCATGGTTCCACTAGGCTATGAAGACAAAGGCCACTTTAGTCTTGCTCACTGTCATCCAGGTCTGTTTGGCACAGTGTGTGGCACATGGTAGGTGTTCAATAAGTATTTGATAATTAAGTCAGTGAATAAAGAGTACAGTGCCTGAAACATAAAATTCATAATAAATGGAGGTTCCTTCCTTCTCCAACCAAATGGTGATGTAGTAGGAGGGATAGGGTTTGGGCAGAACCCAGTAGGACTCACTTGTCAGATGTGAGAAGAATCTGGCTATCATTCAAAATTCAGGACAGGAAGCAGCTGGCAATTGGCATCAGGAGTGAAGAAGACAGATCGAGACCTATGAGGCTGGCCCCAGGCAAATTTGTGATAAATTTTAATCATTATTATTTTTATAGCACCTTGCATGGGTCTATTTTATATCTTTCAAAGCACTTTTTATGGCTATGATTTTGCTTGTTTCTTAGGAAACCTCTGAAAGGAAAGCTGCTGGCTGTTACATGAACACATGTGTTGGTGTTATGTGTGCATGTGCACAAAATTTATTTTTATTTGGCAGAAAATCCTATAAATTATGTATAGGTTTGAAGTTAGAGAATCTAGAGTTGTTTTGGCTCTAATGACGTTGACCACCTCACTTGAAGTTTAGGAGAATCACTTTCCCTATCCTGAATCTTAGTTATTACTACTGAGTATAAAATCTTGGAAATGAAGCATAACTGCTCTGTGCCTCTGTTTATTTATCTGCAAAATGTACATAGAAATATATACTGTCCAGTATATATTTCATAAAGTTGCTTATTCACATAGCACATATTTATTTTGTCCACTGTCTATCAGTCCATGTTATAGGAGCTTGGGACACACGAGTGAACAAATGAGATGGAGATTGTTGTAAGGTAGAAAGGAGTGAATACATGCAAAACACTTATATCAATCAGTGCTTGTCATAATAGAGCAATCAATGGAGGTATTATCTTGAAAATGAACAAATTGGCCGGGCGTGGTGGCTCACGCCTGTAATTCCAGCACCTTGGGAGGCCGAGGTGGGGGAATCACGAGGTCAGGAGATCGAGACCATCCTGGCTAACACGGTGAAACATCGTCTCAACTAAAAATACAAAAAATTAGCCGGGCCTGGTGGCAGGTGCCTGTAGTCCCAGCTACTCGGGAGGCTGAGGCAGGAGAATGGTGTGAACCTGGGAGGCAGAGCTTGCAGTGAGCCAAGATCGTGCCACTGCACTCCAGGCTGGGCGACAGAGTGAGACTCTGTCTCAAAAAAAAAAAAAAAAAGAACAAATAATATTTTCCATGGTCTAGATAAGCCTGTATTTTAACATGTGTAAAGGGAGCTATTACAATTCAGAAAAACTATTTTGTTTTCACAAATCCTGGCTTTTAAAACTATTTACTTAGATTTGCTAAGGACTCAAGAGAGTCAGCTTTGAGTTGACAAAAGATTGATTTGTTGTAGTTTGTGCTTTCTTTCCTGGGTTGATTTTTCTTACTTAGCATGAATGGTAGGAGACTGTTAGAGTATGTGATTTTCAAGGCAAAGAGATTTGCAGGGGAATGGAAAATATGCTGATTTAATATCATCTCTATTATGTAAAACACATAGTAAATGCTCAAGAACTGATTATTGACAATTATTTCTTTTAAGAATTTGTAAAAATAATATAACAAAGAAGTTTAGGACAAACAAATGACTTGGCAGTGGCAGGACCCTTTGGCAATGCAGCTTATTGTAGGTGGAGATTATTGAGGGTAGTGAATATTCGTAGAAAACCATAAAACATATACTATGAAAGCCAATAGTCTAAATAAAATCAAGCTATCTTTGGGAATGGTCATTTTTCTCAATTAAGAATCCAGTGGATTAACTAGGAGTGTGTTGGAGAGATAGAAATTTCACGTATTTGGTGATATCCTTCAGCAAATGGATTTACCCTCTTATTTCTCAAGGCATTCCTGCAAAGCAGAGTTGAAGTCAATGTTTAGACTTCTGGTTCAATACAAATAAGAAGTTTCTGAACAATGTAATATCCAAATGCAGAAAAAAGCTTTTGATTGTTTTCTACAACAATGGGAATTAAGGGGTGTAACCTAAAATGCAGTGATGATGAATTTCAGTGTGTTTGTGGAATACACAGCTGGTTATCTGCACAGCAGATGCCTTGTGATCTGTGCATTCTATTGGAATGCCATCAAATGGTCTAAATGCCCCATCTTACCTAAAGGACTAGAGTTGATCTGGTTGGTAGGCCTGGTATTACAGGGAATTTCTCACACAAAGTTGGACAACTTGGCAGCTTGGTGCATGTAGACGAGATTTGAGCAGGAAGTTGAGTAGAATAAGTAAAAGAAGTCTCTTTATACATATATACTTGGGAAATTGAATATGGTTCCAAGATTGGGAGAACTGTAGAGATCAATGAAGATCAGCAGGATGAAAATATGTGAAGGGTAGTAATAGACATTTTGGTGAAACACACATTATAGTTTTGTTTGCCTTTATGTCAACTTGGTATATTAACTTGGTACCTGGGAAGGCGGGCTGCAATTACTGATCTAGGTGTGAAACGGACACAATTGCTGTTATGCTTATTTAAAAATTGCCCATTCAGTTATTCCTCATCATCTCTAAAAACCAAGTTGGAATCTGTGAGCCCCATGGTGCCTCTTTTTTATCTTCCTCCACAATGAAATGAGTGTTTGCATGAGATGTTCTTGCATAAGAACTTTGTTATCACCTGTGCAGTGTGTGTGTGTGAGTGTGTGTGTGTGTGTGTGTGAGTGTGTGTGTGTGTGTGCATGTGTTTTGAACAAACAAACAAAAAAGTGAAGACTGGCCCTAAATCCTAGCTGACTATGGAAAGTAAAGTCATTATGAACACCTGTGAGTAATGACTTATTCATGAAAGTCTCTATTAGAATACTTAATTGTAAAATCTTTCCATTCTTGTAGAGAAGTAATGTCCAGTGCAGAATGGTTTTGGGTGATTTAGTTCAAATTAGCCATTGAAATCACAATGGGTGGGACCATACTACTGTGAGACAAAGCAGTGGTTTCCAAACCTGGCTAAGCATCAGAATTGCCAGTGAACTTATTAAAATACATACACTAGACCCCACTCACTAAATTAGTGTCTCTTGGGGTAAGGGACTTCTGAACTTTTTGTTTGAATTTTCATCATATTTGATTCTGAAGCACAGAATGGTTTAGGAGTTATTGAGATAGTACATTGAAGCCATTTCTCTCTATTAGGATTTTTCCAAGTGTGGTCTGTAGTCCAGTTGTGTCTGAGTCTTGTAGTGGAAGTGTGAGAGTGGAAAGTGAGGAAGAAGTGCAGATTAAAATACAGATTCCTGGGCTTCACTTTAATCCTGCTGAAGCTGCATTGCTAACAAGTGCCTCAGATGATTCTTACATCAAAAGAGTTTGAGAATTATTATTGTGTATTCTCCTATGAATGGACTGTGGATGGAGGAGATTTGAGCTAGTTGAATTGACCCTAAATAATGGGAAATATTTCATCCAGAGAAATGAGGAAGAGAGCTGGCTATCCTGGAAACCTATTCAATCCTAGGCAAGGAAATTTATCAACATAATCTAATTCTTTACTTAATAACCATGTTATGAAGTAGGTAGTAAGTTACTCATTGCAGAGGGCCTTATTTAAGGTCCCAGAGTTAGAAGAAATGGAAGCAAGATAAAAATTTGGGTCTAATTGACACCAAAGCTTTAAACCTGTCTACACTCTACCAAATTACCAGCAAATCTATATTAACCTGTGTATAAATCAGGAGAACTAAACTTTAATCCCCACTCTGAGTGTGTCTCTTTCTGTGGTGTTAGCTATGTCCTTTGTCCTCAGTTTCCTCACTCTTCAGAGCATAAGTGTTATATAAGAATATGGCTCTATTGCCTATAGTGATATTTCTTCTTAAATATTGAATGAAAGACAAAGGACCACGGAAAGAGTGTTCTTGGGAACTGACCCTGGCATCTGAAGGTCACAGTATTCTTCTCTCTTCTGAGTAATTGTCTGAAGCCAATTTTGAAGTGTTTAAAAAAGAATTCTATTTTCCTCATTTGTGCAGGTAGCCTGAGACAAAAATTCAGTGCATTGAAGATGTATTGGGACTATGTATTTATTTTTATAACTTAGAATGCTCCCAGTCACCTGCCCTCAAAGTGAGGCTATATATATTAACACCAACACAATCTCAAGAGACTATTCAGCAAAACTAGGAAAATAAAAAATGGTCTCACATTTGCCATGGCTATTTGCACTCTACATTCCTGGATAAATAATGTCCAACCCCTGGGAACCTCTGTGTACCAGTAAAGGTTAAGGGCCTTTTTGTTTTTCAGAATGCCTGCTCTATTTATAATAGAGGCTGCGCCATCCTAGAACTAAAAGCCTGTGAGAAACATTAGCAGTGGCATCCAGGCAGGCAGGAGTTTTTCTGACAGCCCCTTAAGTCATCCCTACAAATGCCCACACGATCCTCAAAGGTCAGCAGGGGACTGAAGTTGTGACTTTGGATGCATATTGCATGCTCTTCAATCTGACTAGACTTTTCTGAATGATATCTTCAGGTCCCCCATCATTGCTCAGTTATAAGGCCCTTCCAGACTTAGCACTTGTACCCCAGGTCTTCTTCAGGTCCTTGGCTTAACTCTTTCATCTCCTTGCATCCCAATTTGCTTATGACTGGCCCCGTGGGACACTGTCCATGGCCAGTGTTTGGCACTCAACACTCAGTTGGTGACTGGCTTTGTTAGTCCCCCCACCATTCCACAGCTTCCTGATAAGATAGGCAAGGGCCTTAATGAAGATGACAGTGACCGTATGTGGGTTTGCCAGAAATACTGCTTGTTTATTTCCTTCTCCCTGTTAATAATGTTCCCTTTCACTTTCAAATTGTTCTGGTTTAAGTGATTAAATTATATTGTCACTCCATATAGAATGTTCTTTGTCTCATAGAAATGGTCCTGTAGTATCACACTACCCCTAGTGTCCAAAAGATACAGAATTTCACAACAAAATCTTTCTTTGATTAATTTTCATGGATTGTGGAGCTTTTAAAAACATAACTGTTTCTAGCACTGTCCCTGGTGCACTGCAAGCCTAAATAAATGGAAGTTAACCATATTAGTAAATCTGGTCACTCGAAATGTTGCCAGGGTTAATGTGAATAGGTAACCCACAGCCAGTTAGCCCAGCACAGCTTCTGTAAATGGTCCTGCTCACTCCCTATAAGCACATGCCAAGCTCTGTGTTAAAGGAGGTTCCAGTACATACTTTCCATTTTCAAACTAAGTCTGAAACTTCTTTGACCAGTTTCTACTTTCTACCTTCTATTGCATGATGCTTTACTCACCAATTCTGTAATTCATTTTTAGATAAAGAGAAGTGTTAAAATGACAGAAGATGCTATGACAGAAGAGAAAGAACTGAGAGATCTGGATGTAATAAATGTTTAGTAGCTGAAGCAATCCGAAGTAAAGGAGGAGAGATAGCACATGAAAAGAATATCTGGTGGAATTTTACATGTGATGATAATTCTTTCAAAAAGAAGGGGGATTCAGGGTGAAGGGAATGGGAAAGATTGGGGGAGAGGTGTAAAAGTCCTTTTTTGTTGTCATTTGTTTTGAAATGTTTTGGTTCCAGTGAAGGCTCTGTTTCAGATGCTACAGGAAAAGTACTCTCCCGTCTTGGGCCCAAAGGAAGTGTGTACTCCCCCAGGCTGCCAGATTCCAGGTCTTGGAATGAATGGTGAGTCTTGGAGTAATCACATGTCCTCTGCTAGGAATGCATTCCTAGAGATTTGTGGTCTCCCCATCTGGGCTGCAGGTGATGGATTAGATCAGGGAGGAGGAAAAGGCCTGAGAGGGGATTCATGACCCTGGGCTCAGCAGGGGATCTAGCTGGATTAACACGAAGGCTTCAGTCATGGCCGGGCAGAGAAGCTTGCAACTCTCAAGTGTGGCATGCTTGGCTCCAGTGCTGGGAGCAGGCGGTGGCAGTCTAAATGACAGTGGAGGAACATTGGTGTCTGGAAACAAAGTAGATCAGAAAACTTCCTAAGCAGCAGAGGTCACAGGAGCCATGCACAAATACATAGGCAAGCACAAGGATGAAGGACCAGGAGTTGATCATAAAGAGACATCTTTTGGCATGGAATTAGCTGTGAATTACTTGGAGAAAGATCAGAGTCTGTGACCCTTGAAATATGTGAAGTGCCTTGGAAATGAAGGTCCAAGTTTCTAAACAAAGTAGTATGTTCTCTATCCTAACTCAGAAATGGCTTATTTAGAGAAGGCTGCACTTAAAAAGATTGGGTTCGAGTTCTAGGTTTAACCTTAACTTCTTAAATGTATTTGGACCTGCTCCATTTAGGCTCAATGTCTTCAGTTAAAAAAGTTGAACTCTGTGTCTGTGCTGTCTAATATGGTAGACACTTACAACTATTGAAATGTAATTAAATGAACAAAAATTCAGTTCCTCAGTCACACTAGTCACATGTCCAGTGGTCAATAGCTACATGTGGTTACTGGCTACCACATTGGACAGATATAGAACATTTCCATCATCATAGAAAGTTCTTTTGAGCAATGCTGCCTAGATTATCTCTGAGTTCATGTGGGAATCATGAAGCAAATTACCATGTATCAGGGATGAAACTAGAAGCCATTTCTGCCCACCTTAAGATCTCTCTGTGGCAATCTTTGCAATGAAGCTCCTGTTTGAGCTGGTGGAAACTTTCTTCAGCTGAACCATAGTCTGAGACTTTTCTACTCAATCCTCCTGCCTCCCTATCTTCTTTCACAAGTAGATCTGCATTGTAACATAAAGACTTGCCCTGCCTACTGTTTCTCCCTCTCCTTTCCCTCATACAGGCATTGTCCTCAATAAATCTCTTACACTTCCAACTCCAAATTGGCCTATGGTTTTTGGAGGACCTGAATGAACACAGGAAGAAACGTTCTTCACGACAGACAACTAGGATCACCAGAGAATATGACCATAAGTCATGGTTTGAGCAGGCAGTCAGGCCTGTATGATTTGTGAGCCCTCCATGGCTTTCTTCCCAGCCGTGCACTTCCTAGAGATGCCCTGTTAGTGATTTCTTGCCTCTCAGTTTTCTAGCCTCTGCCTTCTGGTTCCCCTAACTTTGTCCTGCCTACTCTCTTGGAGCAGAGTCTATAGTCCCGAGCTCATATTTGATTTCTAACCCCTGTCTTGAGCTTGATAATTTTGGCCATACTTTTTTCAAGGCCTATCTTTGCCCAGGTTAGAGACCTTGATTCTCCTTTCCTCTGTACTTTATGATCATGACCATTGGTTCATTTCTAGCCTTGGGTTTTGGAATCCCAGCTTGGGCAAATCAGTAGCCACCTTCTTGTCCAGAAGGGAAGGTGGGCAAGACTGCAAATGAAGCACTATGTAAGAAAGTGAGATATTCCAACAGGTGGATGGGAATCAGATATGCCATGCCTGAGGATCCAGTTCACTTGCAGAAGCATACCCAGAAAGGTGCAGGCCAGTCAACAGGATTTCTTAAGAGTCCTCTTAGTTTTTGGAGTAGAGGCTAGGAAAACAGGAAAGGCTCCTTAGAAGGCAATGGTGGTATATATCATACCATTCATTCACTTAAAAAACAACATTTAATGTGTGCTTGTATCATGCTAGGTCCTGTGCTAGCTGGAGATGGAAATATGAATTACCAGAGTCACTGCCTGGTGTTCATGGTCTAGACTTTATACCTGAAACAGGAGCTCAGGAACCACATCAGAGGCAGAAAACCAGGAATGAAACTGTTAAACAAAAAATTCTAGTTAAACTATCAGCAAGAGGGAATTGATCCTGTGGCAGTGTAGGTGAAAATTTAAAAAACAAAAGGGGCGGGGAAATTGAGATTGAGAACTAGGAGGTGGTTACTCTAACTCTCCTACTTAAGACAGCTTTGGAGTTTGGACTCAAGCAGCTGTTGCTGGGAGGAGAGAAGAGAAGCAGAAGCTGAGATCCAGGGAGCATCTACCACTACCCTCCCTGATAGATACTTTGCAGATTTCAGGCTGCCACAACCCCTGAATGACACACAAACTATTTGTGGGCTCATAGAGGAGCTCAACTGGGCTTCTGATTATAATTCATCATTCCATAACAGCTAGCATTTGGAGATTTCTGCTGTTTGTAATATTTGTCAGTTAATTTGCAGAAATACAGAGGGTTCATCCAGTTAAATAACTTGTACTATAGACAGGAGTAAAAGAACTCAGATATTGCTGCATGTAATGGAAACCCAAGATATTTGAGGTAAATGTAAGATAGAGGTTCAGTTCTCTGTTATATAAATGTCCTTGTGTTTATGGCGGCTCTGTTTGAATTCATGAAAGAAGGATCCAGGCTTCTTTTCTTGTCCTGCAATTTCTCAGTGCTGTTGTCAACCACATGGTCCAAGATTCTTCACTACCGTGCCTGGATTCCATCTACAAAGAAAGTGGGAAGGGGAGGTGATGAGCATGCCTTTTCCTCAGTGGTAGAGCTTGGTTGTTACATACACATGATCAGCTATGCTCAGATTTCACTGGCCGTGATTTACTTTCAGGGTTCCTGGAAGAGGTCACATGTCAAGGCAAAGACAATGAATACTAGGAGGTAATTGTCTTCAGCCATGGGCCTGTGTGCACTCTTAATTTACAGAGTGTTGCCCACTTCCAGCACTGGCCCTGAGGAGGGGATGCTAAACCTTCATTGCCACCACTATCCCTCAGACTTACCTCTATCAAGAGATTTTTCACCCTGGGTTGAAACTCTGGGTTTATTTGCATCTGTGAGCCTCTTGGCAAGCAGAAGCTATTGCACCAAGTCTGGCACAAAGTAGATGCTCAAAACACAGGATATCTGGCTCAGTAAATGGCTAGTGAATGAAAGAAATCCTTTAGAAATAAAACGTTACAAAATCTCTGCATGTAAAAGAGACATTCCCCTAAACACCCCCTCTCCTGCCCCTTTTTACCTGCTAGGACAGGCTGGGCTCATACGTTCTTTTTTGCAATTGTTAGGGATGATTAAAAATAATTTATTTACATTATGTACGATTGACTGAAGGAATGACTAAATAGGTGTGGAAGTCAGAGATTTGGCATTCTTAGATACCAAGGTCACTGTGAATTTCGTCCTCAGGCCTCTCTGAGGCAGTGACTTCACTCCACTTCTCTGTGGGCAGAAACTGGGTAGCCTTTCTGACTTGGTTATGCCAAGCAGAAGTAACATCCTTTCCCACCCCCTGCCACATCAAAGGGGTCCTGGGGGCAAGGAGGAGTGTTATTGTGGCTTTTCACTTCAGGAAGCAAACATAATGATTCTATTCATGGCATTAACTGCAAAAAACTATCATTAAGTCGTTGAGTGTCTTATAATCACGGGGAAGGGAACTAATCCTTTGGAGCTCCAAATATGCCAGGCACTTTGCGACCTGCGTCTCTTTTAATCTTCTCAATAGTCGATGAGAAAGGTAATTTGAGTCGCCATTTTACAGATGGGAATCATGTCAGAGAGATAAAATAATGTGCTCAAAGTGATGCTGCTACTGAGGTCAAGACTGGGATCTGCCTGCCTGAAAGCCTGCATGCTTACCATGATGTCAAGTGGCTGTTGCTTACATTCCCAGTGGATTCTGTAATGCATAGCTTTCATAACACTAACTCTCTTGGCCTTGACAATTAGCCTATGAGGTGTGGGAGGCAGGAGTTTTCATCCCCATTTTGCA
The DNA here is from genome assembly GCF_000001405.40 of Homo sapiens. Lineage (NCBI taxonomy): Eukaryota > Metazoa > Chordata > Mammalia > Primates > Hominidae > Homo > Homo sapiens. The sequence goes on along the minus strand of NC_000001.11, from coordinate 60,809,301 downwards.
GATAATCAGAGGTTCACAGAGATTAATTGACTTGCTACATATCACACTGCTGTTAAATGACAGCCAGAACCAGATCTGCAAGTCTAGGGTTCTTTTGTCCTATCCATGCCCACCTTATGTAGAGGTTATTAGTTGACAGGAACAAAGAAAAGAAGTTGATTTCTTAAAGACATCAAACATTTTCATAATGGAATGTAGGTAAGATTACCAGCTATTCTGATTTTCCTAGACTTTCCTGGGTTAGTACTGAAAGTCCTGTGTCCTGGGGTTACCCTCAACTAGGGGAAAACTAGACCATTGTTTCACCTAGTCAGGTAAATTTCTTGAATCTCGTAGAAATCAATAATTTTCCTTGATGATGTCATGTCAACAAAACAGCATCATAATGACATTAGGTTAACACTATTCTGAATAATAATGTGATCATTGTTGGCCCAATTTTGTTTATTAAAAGCAGTTAATTTCAGTGGGGAATTCCAGTATCTCAGAGTCACCCTTGGCTCAGCTTTATCTTGTGATTGTGCTTTTATTACATCAGTCCTTGTCTTAGAGCCAAGGTCACCTTGCCCCACCTGTGGATTTAGCCATCAGTGGTTCTCAAAGTTCATTGTCCATAGAATTATGTGAAGAGCTTATTAAACCACTCATTGCCCAAACCCCAGAAATTGTGATTCATTATATCTGGGGCAGCGCCATGAACTTGTACCTCTAACAAGATCCCACATGATGCTGATGCTGCTGGTTTGTGAACCATACTTTGAACAGCACTTGGCCAGTCCAAAGGTCTCAAAACTGTGGATGCAAGGCAATCCATTGGGGTGTGGGAAGAAAATAGAACTTTTATGTATATTTTTAAAAAGCTAAATACTTTCATCATTTGAAATAATGTGTTAGAGTGAGGGGCTCAAGAGGGCTGAATAGAGGCATCTGGCACCTCCCTCTTCCACAAAAAACCAAAACAGTGAGTAGATAATCACACTTTGAATAGATCATCTAAGAGAGAACACTGGAATTCAACAGAGAAGTGACAGAAAACACCTAAGGCAAGGAAGAAGAGGAAAGTGAGGCAGTTTGCTATACAAGGATTGGCAGGAAGCTTGGAAAGGCTCCCCAGTGTGGGGCAAAAGTAACTAGAGATCCCCAGCAGTCCACATTCCTACCGAAGACTCCTGTAATCACAACCATGGAAGAGCTCCTCAATCCTTATGGGCCCTGAAACTAACATAAGGAACTGCTTAGAACCTTGTGATAGCATTGCTTTGGAGAGGGAGCTTACACTGAGTGCTACACAACCTTTGGGTCCTAAGCAGCTATAACACGATGCTATTTTGAAAGCCCAGCTCCCACCATACTGCATCCTGCCATGGAGCCCAACAGCCCCTGTATCTCCACAGCCCTGGAGCCCCATTGATATTCCCTGCCTGCAGCTGCTGCTGCTACTAGCTTCCACTGCTGGACCGAAGTGTACCCCATTGGTAGTGATCCTATCATTCCCAGCCGTGGATGCATTTATAAGTGCCCTGAGGATAGGCTTCTCAGTCCTCCTCAGCAGCAGGGCTGTGGTGCAGCTGCTGCTGTCCCACTCTGCTGGTGGTCTGGGATCACCCCACCCTTGCCCATCACAGCCAGTACTTGTATGCATCAGCGCAGTCCTGAGGACAGGTCTATTTGGCCTGGCTTTCTGCCTAACCCCACTCAGTGCCTGAGCATGCTATCTGGGGACCTGGAGATTGGCCTGTCCCACCCACTATCATTGGCACTTGAGCATCCCTCCCAGAGGCCTAAGGATGGGCCTACCTAGTCTGACACTATCACTACAGCTGGCATCCTCCCATCATGTGCCATTTGTGGGCCTGGAGACTGGCCCATCCAGCCTATGGTAGCCACTGCCAACACCAACATGGGGCACTTGGGAGGCAGAGGGTTGTCCCACTACTACTATGATTGCCTATGCCATACCTACTTTCCAGGATCCCAATGATCAGAGCACCTGCCTGGCCCATCACTGCCACTGTTGACACTTAAGCAAGCTGCCTGGAGGCCCAAGAATCAGTCAGTCTTTCTGGAGCCACTAACACTGTTGTTAGTGTATGCTCCCTGGAGCCCAAGAACAGGCATTCTCAGCCTGCTGCTACCATTACTGAGGCTTAAGGACAGGTCCACCTGGGATCCCTGTCCCCAGCAAAACATAACAATGGCCTTCACTAAAAACCACACCCTAAGCCACTGAGGAAACCAAAGACATGACTGACACCATTTAAAGCTGAAGAAGTTATATGGAGACTACAGTACTGCACATACCCAGAATGAAAGCCGAAGCATGCTACTCAACCAACACCATAGATATTTTCAGGAAAAAGTCCTCTTCTACAAATGCGAATCCAAAAATTAGAAGAAGTAACTATTATACCAGATGTGCAGACATCAATGCAAGGATACAAGAAATATAAAAAAGTGAGGAAATGTGACACCTCCAAAAGAATAAAACAATTCTCTAACAAGAGATCTCAAGGAAAAAGAAATGTATAAAATGCCAGGAAAATAATTCAAAATAATGATATTAAAGAAACTTAGTGAGATACAACAGAACTAAAAAAAATTAAAAGGAAATCAGGAAAACAATTAATGATATAAATGAACATTTACCAAAGAGATAGAACAAAAGGATAGAAAATTTATTTAACAAAATAATAGCTGACAACTTCCCAAGTCTAGCAAGAGATTTAGATATCACATACAGGAAGCTCAGAATCATCAAATAGATAGATACAGAGAAACCCAAAAGTTCTTCATGAGACATTATAATCAAACTGTCAAAAGTCAAAAACAGAACTATAAAAAGAGCAAGAGAAAAGCATTTAGTCACTTATAAGAGAACCCCCATCAAATTAACAGTGAATTTCTCAGCAAGAACCTTATAGGACAGAAGAGAATGGGATAACACATTCAAAGTGCTGAAAGAAAAAATTGTCAACCCAGAACACTATATGTAGCAAAGTTATCCTTCAAGTCTCCTTCATGAAGGAGAAATAAAGTCTTTCCTAGATCATCAAAAGCTGAGGAAATTCATCACCAGTAGGCTGGTCCTACAAGAAATGTTTAAGGAGTCCTAAACCTGGAAGGGAAAGAGTGATGTCTATCATGATGAAAACAGATGAAATTGTAGAACCCATTGGTAGAAGAAACACACAAATGAAAAAGAGAAAGAATTCAAATGTTACCAGTACAGAAAACCACCAATTGTTCACCACAATGGTGAACAGTAAGAGAGAAAGAAGCAAAGGTTATACCAAACAATGAGAAATCAATTAATAAAATGACAGGAATAAGCCCTCGCATATCAATAATAACTTTGAAAATAAATTGATTAAACTTTCCACTTAAACTATATAGACTGGCTGAATGGATTAAAAAAAACCTGGCTGAATGGATAAAAATATGCTGCCTACAAGAAAGTCATTTCACCTGTAAAGACAAATATAGATTGAAAGTAAAGGTATGGGAAAAGATATTCTATGCAAATGGAAACAAAAAATGAGCAGGAGTAGCTAGCTATACTTCTATCAGATAAAACAGACTTTAAGTGAAAAACAGTAAAAAGAGATAAAGAAGGTCATTACATAATGATAAAAGGATTGACTCGGTAAGAACATATGACAATTCTAAACATATACGCACCCAACGGAGCACCCAGATACATAAAGTAAATATTATTAGATTTAAAGCAGGGGTCCCCACCTTTCAGGCTGCGGACCGGTACCGGTCCATGGTCTGTTAGGAAATGGGCCACATGGCAGGAGGTGAGTGGTCAGTGAGTGAACATTACTGTCTGAGCTCTACCTCCTGTCAGATCAGCTGCAGCATTAGATTTTCATAGAAGCCCAAATCCTATTGTGAACTGTGTATGCAAGGTATCTAGGTTGCACACTCCTTAAGAGAATCTAACTCATGCTTAATGATCTGAGGTGGGACCATTTCATTCTGAAACCATGCCCCCTCCCCACCCTTGGTCCATGAAAAAATTGCCTTCCACAGAATTGGTCCCTGATGCCATAAAGGTTGGGGACTGCTGATCTAAAGGGAGAGGTAGACTCAACAAAATAAAAGAGGACACAAACAAATGGAAGAATATTCCATGCTCATGGATAGGAAGAATCAATGTAATGAAAATGGCCATACTGCCCAAGGTAATTTATAGATTCATTGCCATCCCCATCAAGCTACCAATGACTTTCTTCAGAGAATTGAAAAAACTACTTCAAAATTCATATGGAACCAAAAAATAGCCCACAATGCCAAGTCAATCCTAAGCCAAAAGAGCAAAGCTGGAGGCATCACGCTACCTGACTTCAAACTATACTACAAGGCTACACTAACCAAAACAGCATGGTGCTGGTACCAAAACATTGATCTGTATCTCTGTTACAGACCAATGGAACAGAACAGAGCCCTCAGAAATAATACCACACATCTACAACCATCTGATTTTTGACAAACCTCACAAAAACAAGAAATGGGGAAAGGATTCCCTATTTAATAAATGATGCTGGGAAAACTGGCTAGGCATAGGTAGAAAGCTGAAACTGGATCCCTTCCTTACACCTTATACAAAAATTAATTCAAGATGGATCAAAGACTTAAGTGTTAGACCTAAAACCATAAAAACCCTAGAAGAAAACCCAGGCAATACCATTCAGGACATAGGCATGGGCCAGGACTTCATGTCTAAAACACTGAAAGCAATGGCAACAAAAGCCAAAATTGACAAATGGGATCTCATTAAACTAAAGAGCTTCTGCACAGCATAAAAACTACCATCAGAGTGAACAGGCAACCTATAGAATGGGAGAAAATTTTTGCAATCTACTCATCTGACAAAGGGCTAATATCCAGAATCTACAAAGAACTCAAAGAAGTTTACAAGAAAAAAGTCAAACAACCCCATCAAAAAGTGGGTGAAGGATATGAACAGACACTTCTCAAAAGAAGACATTTATGCAGCCAACAAACACATGAAAAAATGCTCATCATCACTGGCCATCAGAGAAATGCAAATCAAAACCACAATGAGATACCATCTCACACCAGTTAGAATGGCGATCATTAAAAAGTCAGGAAACAACAGGTGCTGGAGAGGATGTGGAGAAATAGGAACACTTTTGCACTGTTGGTGACAGTGTAAATTAGTTCAACCATTGTGGAAGACAGTGTGGCAATTCTTCAAGGATCTAGAACTAAATACCATTTGACCCAGCCATCCCTTTACTGGGTATATACCCAATGGATTATAAATCATGCTGCTATAAAGACACATGCACACGTATGTTTATTGCGGCACTGTTCACAATAGCCAAGACTTGGAACCAACCCAAGTGTCCATCAATGATAGAACTGGATTAAGAAAATGTGGCACATATACACCATGGAATACTATGCAGCGATAAAAAATGATGAGTTCATGTCCTTTGTAGGGACATGGATGAAGCTGGAAGCCATCATTCTCAGCAAATTATCGCAAGGACAAAAAACCAAACGCTGCATGTTCTCACTCATAGGTGGGAATTAAACATTGAGAACACTTGGACACAGGAAGGGGAACATCACACACCAGGGCCTGTCGTGGGGTGGGGGGCAGGGGGAGGGATAGCATTAGGAGATATATCTAATGTAAATGACGAGTTAATGGATGCAGCACACCAACATGGCACATGGATACATATGTAACAAACCTGCACATTGTGCACATGTACCCTAGAACTTAAAGTATAATAATAATAATAATAAAAACCAAATAATCCCATTAAAAAGACATGGGCAAAGATATAAATGGACATTTCTCAAAAGATATACAATTGGCCAACAGATATTTGAATACTTGCTCAATATCACTAATCATCAGGGAAATGCAAGTCAAAACCATAATGAGATATCATCTTATCCCAGTTAGAATGGCTATTACTAAAAAGCTAAAAAATAACAAAGGCTGGGGAGGACATGGTGAAAATTAGTACAACCATTATGGAAAACAGTATGGAAAATTTGCAACAAACTAAAAACAGAACTACCACACAACCTAGCAATCTCACTACTGCGTATTTATACAAAGAAAAGTAAATCAGTTTATCAAATCGATACCTGCATCCCCATGTTTATTGTAGTACTACTCACAACAGAAGAGGTACAGAATCAACCAACTGTCCATCAACAGACAAATGGATAAAGAAAATGTGGTATATATACAAAATGGAATATTATTTGGCCATAAAAAATGAATTTATGTCATTTGTAGCAACAAGGATGGAACAGAAGGTCATTATGTTAGTTGAAATAAGCCAGGCACAGAAAGATAAATATTGCATGTTCTTACTCATATGTAGGAGCTAAAAAAGTTGATTTATGAAGGTAGAGAGTAGAATGATAGATATAATACTAGAAGCTTGGAATGATGTGTGGGTTGGTGAGGGAGACATGAAGAGAGGTTGGTTAATGGGTACAAATATACAGTTAGAAGGAGTAAATTCTAATGTTCTATAGCAGAGTAAGGTGACTATAATTAACAACTATGTATGCATATTTCCAAATAGCTAGAAGAGAGGACCTGAAATATTCCCAATACATAGAAATGATCAATACTCCAGGCAATAGATACTCTAAATACCCTGACTTGACCAGTATGCATTCTGTGCATGTAACAAAGTATCCCACAAATTTGTACAAATATCATGTATCAAGAAAAAATAATGTATTAGTACAATAGTATAGGCAAATAATTTATATGTAAATAAATATACATAATTAAGTAAAAAAGAGCTTGATAGACTTGAGCAATCACTTTTTCTCCAGCAGAGCAGTGTGTATCTCCTACATCAGAGTCATCTGTATGCATCTGAACCTCCATCATAGGGAAGAGGCAGGGATTTCATATTTAGCTGATTACCCACATGATTCTCATGCATACCAACACTGGAAAGAGCCTGATATAAACTCTGGGATTCATTCTCTGGGCCAGTGTTTTTCAAAGTATGGCCCCGTTAGCATTAGCCACTCCAGAAATGTGTTAAGATTCAAATTATCAAGTGCCACCCCAGATATACTGAATCTAAAGCTCCGGGTGTTAGGCCCAGCAACCTGTGGTTTAACAACCCCCCCACCCCCGCCCGGATATTCTGATGTGAGATAAAGTTCGAGAAATGTTTCTCTGGACAGGAGACCTTTAGAGAGAGACTTAGATATAGTGATTTGTTAACAGGTTGGTCTTCTAGTTCCACTGTTTCTAGCTTTTTAATCTGCAGCCAAGTCTCTCTTGAAGCCTGAATTCCCTGAGAAAATGAATTCCCACTTTTTTCTGTCATGATGTTTAGCTGCTTTCTTTTGTCTCCAAAATTGTAGCACTGAGAAACTACTATTAATTTACTGAATGTAAATATTTTCTCTTGCCTCTGGCTTAGAGTCGCACAGTTAAATCTGAATTTTCAATAATCAACAAATGAATTTTGGTCGATTGTACACATGCTATGCAGTATTCGGGATATACTTATGTGAAAAAGCATTTGTTGTTTATCTCAATTTCCAATTTAAAACTTACTCTGGTTGCTCTTCCTTCTGCTGCGAATACTCCTCTCCCTGGCTATATTCTTCTGTCCTTCAAGACTTGTCATCTCCTTTGGGAGGTCTTCAAAGACAATCATGCTACGATTGGCCCCCTATTCTGTTCTCTCATGGTTTGCACTTTATTGAAATTGTTTAATTACTTGGTAGCCTTTTCCTCTAGACTGAAGCTCTTTAAGGATAGGGACTAAATCTATCTTGTTGGTCGTGGCATCCCCAGTGCCTAGAACCAATTTGTGGGCATTCAAACTTCGCTTAGTAGATAAATGAATGGTTCTTTGTGAACCCTGGGATTTCTAGAACCAAGAGCAGATGCTGCCAGCACCCCTGATGCTGCCTGGCTGCCCCTTCGCTGCTGACCTTCTGCTGTGATCCTGACTGACCTGTGCAGTGCCTGGGCATGGACAGAAGCAGTGTGCTGTGGCAGGGAGAGCTGACAACAGAGACAGGAATATCAGCTCTGTCCTCTACTTGTGTGTGATCTGGCTGGAATCTCAGCTGAATCTCTTTTGATCTGTAAAATGAGGGAGTCCTAATAATACCTTGGTTTTGAAGATCCAATGAGACAATTGGTGATAATGGAATTTTACACATTATAAAGAACTATGAAAACAGTACTTGATTTTCATTTTGGGCTTGGAATTTCTGGCTCAAAACAAACCTTTTCAGGGTGTGTACATTCTCCTCATTCTGTTCATCTCGGATCCATTTCTGCTTGTATTTTTTTCTAGTATTAATAATATATACCACTTACTATTGCTTGCCAGGCACTTTGTTATTGCTTTGCATACATTATTTTAAGTCTCGACCAGCCAAGTAGGCATCCCCATTTTACAGATAAGGAAATTGAGACCCAAAGAGTTTCTGTGCTTTTCCCAGTAAATAGCAGAGCTTAAATTTAAACTCAAGGCTGTCTGACTGCAGAAGCCACACCCCTTGAATCACAGCACGTTAAATCTTGAGTCATGATTAGAGTTGACCTTTGCTAGCTCCTTCAGGGGTCCAAACTGCCCTAGGGTGGCCTGTCTCCCCTGGCTCTCAGCCCTGGTTTGGACACTGCTGCAAGGGGCTAGCAATATCCCACTAGAGTCAGCTGATTGCCAGAGGCACTTGAGAGTCTGTAAATATCACTACATCACCCCAAAGCAGTCGCATTTCTGGTTTTGCCTTTAATTCCATCTGAAAGTCCAACTTTCACAAACTATGTATTTCTATTTCCAGCACAGCTCACACATGCTGCCTTAGAAGCCTGTCCTATGTATCTTGGGCTTACTTCTGTTATATTCCTTAAATTGGTGAATTCTGTGCTGTAGGCCAGAAACTATTGCCCATCCAACAGCCCTTCCCCTCCTCGCCTTGCTGGTAGAGGCTGAGTTTATTCATCTGTCTACCTTTTCCCCATGTGACTCAGGAGAAGTGACCCCATCCCAGCTCTAGGAGTAAGTCATGACGATCTGTTCATGACAGCATCATTCCTCTTTCCAGTCATTGGTTTAGGGATGGGCATGTAACATAGTTATGGCCAATAGGCTAAGAGCAGACGTCTCCTGAGGGCTTTTGGGAAAAGTTGCTTTACCGATAAAGAGGTGTACAGGAAGATGCCATTGTTGCCTCTACTTCCTCTTCCTCCTCTGTTGCTCTACCTGTGTGTTCTAGCACTAAGGCAGCCATATTCTGTCTAGCAGAAGTGCTAGTATACTAGAATACCAATATGCTGGGAATGTAAAGAAACTAAGTTTTTATAACATCATTGAACCATTGCATAAAATTTTCTTGAAGGAGTCTTATCTTGGATTTATATAAGATCACAAAAGCTACATAGATGTCAAATCATGTTTTCAATTAAGAGTTTGTACTCCCATTATTTGCAACTGACAGCTTGATCACTGATACCCTGTAACTCTCTATTTTCTTCTCTGTCTCCACCCAGGACTATGAGCTAATGGAAAGCAGAAATTTTTTCTTGTTTAAAGTTGTATCCTCAGCATCTATTATTATATTTGACACACAGTAGTTACTAATCAAGCACTTCTTGACTGAATGAGTGAAAGATCTGCCGGGGAAACTCACTAAACACGAAAATGCAACATTCTTGTATTTGATTTCATCCTGAGGTTAAAATAAAAGCATGAGGGGGTGCTATGCTTGATCTGTAGTATTTACAGTAGACCAGTAAAAGTTTCTGCTGGATAATTCTCATGTAGAGTTGAAGCAGAATCCTTGAAGATCACAGCAGAAGGGGACTTGGACATGGCTATCCTGAACTGCCTTAAAAAAAAAAAAAAGACAAGGAAATGAGTCTCAAAGAGGCAAGTAACTTGTCCAAGGCACCTATATATTTCTTGACTCTGTTCCTTTAAGCCATCCCAACTCTTAACTTGCTATGCAACTGGGGCACATAACATACACTCTCTAAGCCTTTTTTAGACATAGGTAACAAAAGGGTAATAATTCCTGTTTGCTCAGTTCCAGATGCATGGTAAAGAGAGATGCTGTGGCAGAAGTGGAAGAGTTTTGTAAGTTACATAATTCTAGGCAAATTTGTTTTGCTATTACAGTAGATATTAAATATATGTATATTGAAGTGAGATGAGGGAAGAAGCTATAACCAGGGTGCTAACAGGTCTTGGTATGAGTTTGTAGAGAACATAAAAATAAGTGACTCAAATAGAAAAGGAGGGTTAAGAGGCCAGGCGCGGTGGCTCGCACCTGTAATCCCAGCACTTTGGGAGACCGAGGCAAGTGGATCATGAGGTCAAGAGTTTGAGACCAGCCTGGCCAACATAGTGAAACCCCATCTCTACTAAAAATACAAAAATTAGCCAGGCACGGTGGCAGGCGCCTGTAATCCCAGCTACTTGGGAGGCTGAGGCAGGAGAATCACTTGAACCTGGGAGATGAAGGTTGCAGTGAGCCGATATCGCGCCACTGCACTCCAGCCTGGGTGACAGAGCGAGACTCCGTCTCAAAAAAAAAAAAAAAAAAAAAAGGAGGGTGAAGAAAGGATGTTGGGATGCAAAATCTTGAGTTTTTGAGAGCTTGTGTGTAGCAGACACTATGCTAGACACAATGCATGCATCACTATTTAGTATGATGATTGTACCATAGGTTTGGTTTTTACCAGTGAAGAAGCTGAAGCTGAAGCTCCAAGAGGTTCAGTAGGTTGTTGAGGTAGTGGATGGTTTTCATGACCTGGCTTTCATACTCTTTCTGCCATACCATAGGTCACACCAGAAACTCGAGGACATCTATCTGGATGACACAATCTGAGGTCCTCCTGCCTCTGGCACACCAGGGCTTCCCATTCCCCACAGGTCGGCCCTGACTGGCAGTGGGAATATGCCAGGCAAGATGACTTGGAAACTGATAGTTGAGAGATCATCATGTAGATGATCACAGTGACCAGCAAGATCAGTCTCCTCTCTGCCTCCCCATTGCTTAGTCCTTAAAAGTCTAGGCATGGACAATTCTTCCTTTTTGTTTTGGTGCCTAGGTCATGTAATTTGTCTTACTTTCAGTTGTGTTTGGTGTCTAACTACAAGTTCTGGGACAAGGGCAACAGGAGCTAGTATGTGTGATTCTAAGTCACACAGCACTGGGTTCAAATTCTAGTTCTACCATTACTCATTTGGTGGCCTTATACAAGTTTCTTTTGGGTCTCAGTTTGTTCACCTGTAACATAGAGGTAATACCTTACTTATAGGGTTATGTATTGTTATCATTTCCACATATGGTAGATACTAAAAAAAGAGAGCTATTCTTTAAATTTATTTGTAAGAAAAAAGAAAAAAAACAATTTGGCTTTTCTTCTTCTCTATTAGTTTTTTAGGTCTTTTAAGTCTAGTTACCATCATTTTTTTATGTCTCTATGTATTTCTCTTTTGTTCTCAAATCAGCTTGTATTTTCTAGAATTATGTTTCGGATATGTCCTTCTCCATATTTTCTCTGCTTTCCTGCACCATCTCTATTTATCCCCCAAGTGGATTATTTTGTTCTCAGCCTCTGTCTGTCCACTCTGTAACAGGGGGATTTTCACTCCAAATCTCTTAGATGTGGTCATATAAACAGTTGTGTTTGCCCTGAGTTTGTTTCCAGCTCCATTCAACATCCATTCTGCTCCAGGAATTTCCGAGGCCAAAACATTTGGCTGCGGAAGGGACTCCCATGGCATTTGTTGAGGTGCATCTGGATTCTGCAGTCAGCAGTCTTTGAAGCCATATAGTGCATCTGGTTGCAAATGTTTTTGGCCAACAAGGAGCTCAATTATCTATGCACTTTTTTTTCCAATCTCTCTTTCAATCTGTTAAAAACATCCAGATTTCTTGGGTTCCATTTAGAATGGAAAACTATAACCACTTTGGAATTCTCTGATAGTGAAAACCTTTGCTGGCTCTGCCTTGCCTATGGAATAAATGCTAAAGCACTCTGCAGGCAATCAAGGCCCCCAGAGTCCAGCCTCAAATCAAGCCTTTAATCAGGGGTTCTTAATCTGAGGTTTGGGAATCCCTTGAAGTTCCAAGCAAAATTGTTTGTATACACTTTTTATTTTTCTGGATAGAAAGTCCAAAGCTTTCATCATTTTCTCAAAGGGGTCTAAAAATCAAAATGATTAAGAAGCCATCAGTCCATTAGGCTTGCCCTTGAATTGAGTAATGGGCACATCAAGCTGTCATCTTCACAGCTCTTGTTCTGAGGCTCTTGTCCTGCTGTGCTCCCCCAGCTGCCTTCCTAGCTCACATTTGCTGCCTTCTCTCACTTCCCTACCTGCTGGCATCTCTCTTCTGTTTCCCCTTTATAGCATTATCTTGATCATCAAAACTGACCTTTGGCTGCATTTCCTGATAATCACTTACTTCATCATTAATGATAACTTCCTGATGTCTTAGTTTGGCTTCCCCACAGAAGCAGACCCTAAGATTCTAAGTCACCTGCAAATGATAGCTTTCTGGAGTGAACCTAGAAAACATAAGAAAGGGAGTGGAGAAGGGATACCAGGTAGAGAAAGAAGCTGAGAGAGGATCATTATAAAGCAAATGAACATGTGGGCAGCTGGAGGCTAATCCTGCCGGGAAATATATGCCTCAGGTTTCCCTCAGGTATGTTTATTCACCATTCATCATTGCTTGGGGAAAGTGGAAAGGAGAAAGAAGTCCTTAGTACTCTGCCTGCCCAGCATGCAGGCTGAGTGGGCTCCAGCATTCAGATAATGCCCTTGGTTGAAGAGTTGGAAGTTGGGCTGGCTTGTAGCAAAAGGGCACTTTCTGAGGGCATCCAGGTGTGGCCCAACAGTACCTGCTACATGACCTGCCTCTGGATAAGTACCTTCCTAGTCCAGCTCTACCTCTGAGTTCCCCCTCTGATGTAGTTTGGCTCTGTGTTCCCACCCAAATCTCATCTTGAATTGCACTCCCATAATTCCTAGGTGTTGTGGGAGGGACCCTGTGGGAGATAATTTGAATCATGGGGGCAGTTTCCCCCATACTGTTCTTATGGTAGTGAATAAGTCTCAGGAGATCTGATGGTTTTATCGGGGTTTCCGCTTTTGCATCTTCCTCATTTTCTCATGCTGCCACCATGTAAGAAGTGCCTTTCTCCTTCCACCATGATTCTGAGACCTCCACAGCCATGTGGAACTGTAAATCCAGTGAAACCTCTTTTTCTTCCCAGTTTCAGGTATGTCTTTATCAGCAGCATGAAAATGGACTAATACACCCTCACTCTTGAGTTTGCAGCACTGAACTTCTCAGCGATTCCCAGATGTGAACAATATTGTCTTGTCTCTGTCTGATTTCTCATTTTGTTCCCTTCACCTAGGTTGTCCCTCTCTCTTCATGCTGAAGACTTAGTCATAATTCAAGGCCAAGCTCAAATGCCCTCATTTCCATGAAGACTTCATACATCCACCAAAATTACAATGAAACCCATCCTGCTCATGTGGACCCTTAACACTGCACATTTGCTTATGAAATGAGCTGAGCCTGAGGGGTGGATGTACTGTCTTCTCCCCTAGAAATTGAAGTCCTGAGGTCAGATATTGGTTTATTAATCTTTATGAAGATTACCAAGAGATGAAGCAAATGTTTGGCACACAGTAGGCATTTGAAAAAGATTTCCTGAGATGAAGTTCATAGTAGCCAAGAATACAGTTCTTGATTAAACTACATCATACCCCTGGAAATGAACTGTTTTGTTTGGCCTCTGAAATGTGACTCCATATGTGGTACATCCCAGGGACAAAGTCTTTTTTTCTTGCATTGGTGTATTAAAGTATCTTCTTTAGTTGCTTCTCTGGAAATTAATGCTTTAGAATTGGCTTAAATATCCTTCAGAGCAAGATGCCAATTAATGCAACAAATATGTACTGAGCACTAACTACATTCTGAGCACTAGAAACACCTACTTGAATGTGTCAGAACCACACTGTCTAGCCTGGGTTTATAATCTTGTGGTGGTCCTTGTAATTGTTCTGTGTGTATGTAGAAGTCTTCTCTATGGCAACATTGTGAACTCATTACAAAGGTGTCTTAGTCTCCATTGCATGCACTGGACTGGGTTACTATAAGATAATGAGGAACTAATGAAAATCTTTTGGGTGGTTTCAGGCCAATCCCAATAATTCTTACTCAGCCTTCAAGGCTTGGTTCAGATGTGTCCTTTGGGAAGCCTTTGAGTATTTGGGTTGGGTTATGTGACCATGCAGTGGGCTTCTAGCATCTGGTGCTTACCACATTGTATTAAAATTATTAGCTCTATTTCCACCTATTCAACCATCAGCTCCTCAAGATCAGGGGGTGAATTTTGTTTGGCTTCTCATATGGAGTGTCTGATATACAGCAGAGTCTCAGTTGCTATTTGTGAATGGCATTGGACTCATGTATGTGTTTTCCCATTTAGGAAGAAGAATCCATGGTAATTCCAGAGATGGGTGATTTTCCCAGCAGAACTTCCTCTCACATCCCCGCTTCCCTTTCATCTATTCAGGCTTTCACTCCCTTCCTTGACTGATTTGTAGAATAGGTTACACAGAACTCTAATGAAGCAAACAAAAAAAAAATTACAGTACTTTGGGGATTGCTGTACTTTGCTTCTAGAGATAATTTTTCACTCAGGTCTTCACTTCACCTTTTATTCTTTTATTCAGAGAAGGAAATGCTTTATGCTTTCTGGAGAATGAGAGAGACCACAAGTTATTTAATTGAAAGTATATTGGTCAACATAAAAATTCAGCAAAGATGGCGGGTATGGATATGCATATCTGTTTTCTGGTATTAGTAATTTTAGAAGAATGTTAGATAGGTTTTTAACTCTTCTTGTGTATTGAATCATTTTTATAGCCTTTTCCAGACATTTCTTTGATTTTAATTTATTTTCCATTCATTTCTCCTGCCCCTAAACATTTTGATATGTTATGAGAATGCAGTTTCAAGGGCTCAATGATGCGTCCCGGCCTTGCATGTACCAAAGGATTTGGTAGGGGTCCTCTCCAGAATGGTAGCAAAGAGGTCCAGGCCTGGGGAGAGGAGACTGGTTACCCAGGGCAATCATAAACAAGGTGGCCAGTGGGGAGAAACAGGGCTACTCTACTCACATTCTGAGTAGCTAGGGTTCTCAGTTGCAAAATGCCAGTGTAAGTAGAATTGGGAGGAGAGAGAAGAGTGCAAAATGAAAAGTTAAGCCATTAGCTAGAACACTGTAGCTCAGAACAGTCTGAGATGTGCACCACAGAGAATAAGAAGTGGTTGAACAATGAAGTTGTGAGTGGAAGATGCCATTCACACCATCCGTTTAGCTAATGCCTCATTTATGATGTACAGATAGGTACAGTACCTTAAAGAAACCCCAGTAGTCTGGACAGAAGATACGGACAAAGGTCCCTGCTAATAGGGTTTTGTTTTCACCTCGTAACACTTTCCAGCCCTTGAAAACTGTTCTGAGTAGGATTGTACTATCCTTGGAGAGAGTAAATATCTTGGGCAGTCATGCCTTTTATGATTTTCCTCTAACACTGATGTCCCATTCATTTGAATTTTACTTAAAAAAAGTGAACCCACAGACCTACCATGCCTATACTTCTGTGTCGTATGTGAGCCTGTGGGATAGCTATGAAAAGTCAAATAAATACAAAACAAGTGCCCAAGTACTGGAAACAAGGGGAGAGCAAGACCAAATTGATTCCAGTACAATGCAAGATACACCCTTTATCCCACTTTAACCCCAAATTCTGCCTCTGCAGCCACCATTTCTCTTGTTGTGGCTTTGATCCTCTCACACATATGCAGCATATTATGAGACTGCAGTGCCACCGGGAAAGGCAAGGTTTCCATGCAGTTCAGCCCACAGGTCCCCTCTCTCCTCTCATATTAATGCTGGTGTGTTCACCCTAAGAATGGGTGCAGTCTCCCAACCTGCATGGACCACAATGCCACATTACATTTTAAGATTTAAACTCTTTACTCACAAAATGGTTGTCAAAAGGCAAATAACCCCTACACTCATTCACTACAAGCTTGAAGTATCCACCAACATCAACTCTAATTTGCTATTTAATAAAAATCATAAATTGAAATCTACTGAAAACCATGGACTGAAACTGAAGACCCTTAATTCAGTAAGTATCTCCTGATTTTATAAGGGAAGTGAAATAAAAGCAAAATTCATATCTATCCACAGGAAGCTTAGTGTCTGCAGTGATTCAATATACATCTTCTCAACTAACAGTGTTAGTTAGACTCTGTGAGGACAACAGACATGGTTTAGATAGACATTGTGCCTGGTCTCAAGGAGCTTACAGTCTAGTAAAAGAGGTATTCAAGTGTACTATTTATGAATACAACATGATTAGTTCTACCCTTATGGAGGTACAAATTAAATATTTCTGAATTCCAGTCTCATTTATTACAATGAGGACTTTATTTTCTACTCGGAGTCACCTGTGTGACTGAGTAAAGGATTCTAAGGAATTTGCTTATCTCAAGGGGTCAGTCTCGATTACTGTTGCCCTCCAGAGAAAAAATAAGAAGTTCTGAGTCATGACCTGTATGGTCCTGTTCTCTGCTGCAGTTGTTTTTATAGAGTATTATTGCTCAAGCAGGTCTTCCATTTGACCTGACCATTGCAGTGAATGCTGCAGGGTTCTAGACACGGTCATGGAGATCCAGTGCACCTGTCTGCTGGAAGGTCAAGTGGTCAGGTGCAAGGAGCACTACAGATACGAACTTGCCCCCCGCCACCCTGCCATTGGTGGTTAATGAACCACCAATGGTTTGGAGTTCATGGGAGTGAGAAAGTGGTGTATTTGTTGTGTCTTCCATATTAATGTTTAAGAGCCCTAGTTTGATGGAACTACTGGGATGGAATTGCTGTGAACTTTTTACAAAGAAACACCAGAGAAGGTACAGAACTGAGAGAGACAGTCATGAGTTCAGCTTTTGATTATGTTGATGTGGGAGCTCCCATGAAACATCTGAGAGCAAATTTTGAGTAGATTTTATTTATTTATTTATTTTTAAAATTTTTGAGACAGAGTTTTACTCTGTTGCCCGGGCTGGAGTGCAAAGACCTGATCTTGGCTCACTGCAACCTCTGCCTCAGGTTCAAGTGATTCTCGTGCCTCAACCTCCCGAGTAGCTGAGATTACAGGCAGACGCCACCACGCCCTGCTAATTTTTGTATTTTTAGTGGAGACGAGGTTTCACCATGTTGGCCAGACTAGTCTTGAACTCCTGACCTCAGGTGATCTGCCGGCCTTGGCGTCCCAAAGTGCTAGGATTACAGGTGTGAGCCACTACATCCAGCCTTGAGTAGACATTTGGATCAAAGGCCTATAGTTACAAGAGTGGCTGGGCTGGAGATACAAACTTGTGTACTATCATCATATTATTAATCCTACATTATAGGTGAGGTTATATAATTTTCTCAGAGTCATGCAGTGCTGGAGTCTCTCCTGTACCTTATATAATATCTCTCTCTCTCTCTGTCTGTCTTTCTGTCTCTGTCTCTCTCATATCCCTCTGTGCCTAGAGTAGTGTCTTCCTCACAGGAGATGCTCAATAAATATTTTCTTATATCCGGAAGACTCCCTAGCTAGACATGTCAGACCTATTTAAAATCTACTGGCGACTCTGGTCATTTGGAAGAGCATGTTTTGAAAAGATGAGCTTTTTGATGGCTGTATTCGGGTAGATAACAGACAAGGAAACACGCAGCAAGACTGCTAATTGCATTTACTGGACCACACGCCTTCCTTTATTCTCAGAGGAATACATGTTTCCAAGAAATAAGGGGTTTGTCTGAGGTCCAAGGGCACTTAGACAATGGAGAAAACAGGTCTCTCAAGCTGTGGTTAATGTCTCTGTCTGAAGACCTCACCCACTATTGCTTCATTTATATCTGAACAACTAGCACTTCAGGATCCTTGTGTTTGGATTTTAGGTATACAAAGTTGTTTTTTTTTCCTTAGTTCTGGTAAATGACTCCTTTTCATCATTTTCAGTTAGTTGTCTTCATGTAAGTTGAATGTGGGGTCCTGGATTTGGAGACTGAACACCAGGCTTTGTATGTTGCTTCTAATCCCTAGAAGCACATGACCTTGGGCAAGTAACTAAGTGAGCTGTTTTTAGACCCTTAACAGGGAATTTACATTACCTGCCTCCTAGATTGGTGGTGAGGTTCAGTGAAATGGCCAGGGTGAAACCATGTACTACATGTTTATTTAAAAAATCTGGCAGGTTTTAGCACTCCTCGAAAGCACTCTTTTCCAAGTCTCAGAGAGTTTAGGGCTTTTTGCTCATCTTCAGTTGGGGAGGGCCTTCGTCTGTCATATTCTATCTTACCTATGGACAAATGGATCTACTCTGCTTCAGAAATTACCACTGAAATAAGATTTTAACCACTGTAATTGTTGCAAATTGCTTTGTCTCTCCAGAATAGCTGTTTCTTTTGGGGTAAATTTCTCTTGCACTCTTACCATATATCTTGCTGTTGGCTAGGGGAATTGGCCACTGGCTTAGGCCATTCGTAGACTTCCAGTCCTCTAAGAAGTCATTAATCCAGGAATGTGCACAAGATCCAACTGGGCCAATGTCTTCCTCTGAAAGTTTAAATGAATACTGACTCCTGGGAGAGACAGGCTTTCTTTCCTACTGATGTGGGGAGAGAAGTAGAGGTAACAGGCAGAGAGTTCTGATAACAAAATGAGTTCCCGGACTGTTGTGCTTGAGATCAACTTAGCCCCTGCTCTTTACAGACTCATGAAACAAGATTCCTCTTTTTACTTATGCCAGTTTGGTTGGAGTTTTGAACTTGCAGCCATCATAAATATCCTAGTTATCTATTGTTGTAGGACACACTACCTCCAAATTTAATAGCATAGGGCCATCACTGTGGGTTCTGCTGTGAATTCTGTGGGTCAGTAATTCAGACAGAGCACCATAGGAATGGTAACTCCAAGTTCCACAATGTCTGATGCCTCAGCTAATGAAACTTGAACAGCTGCTATAGCTGAAATAGCTCAAATGCTAGGACTAGAACAATGGGGCTGAAGATGTCTCCTTCACCAACTTCTCTGACATCTGGGCTGGGATAACTCATAGGCTGGGCTCACCCGGGACTGCTGCTTGGAGCAACAATGTGTCGCTTCTCTACATGTAGCTGGAGTTTCTCACAACCTGGTGGCTGGATTTAAGGGCAACCATCCCAAGGAGAAGTATTAGGAGAGCAAGGATTCTAAGACAGCCATGTGAAGCTGAATGACCATTTATGGTCTAGGCTCTGAGGTCACAGAGCACCACTTCTAATGTACTCTATTAGCAGGGCCATCAAGGGGAGGGGACATGGACCCCACCACCACTTGATAGATGAAATCTTGAGAAACTTGTTGCCATTAAAAAAATGACAAGCACAACAATCTTAATACATGTCTTCCCTTTTTTGTATCCAGGCTCACCACTCCATCCCCTCCTCTCTGTCAATGCTTACTCTGATGTCTTTAAAACTCATCTCCTCCAGAAAGCTCTCCCTGACTTTCATTATTTTACTCAGAGGTCCATTTTAATCCTTTAAAAAAAGGCAAAAGATGTATTTAAACTGGAGAGAAACCAGAGTATCTTTACTAATCCTTGTCTCCTTGATGCCAGTGATAAGCATTTCTAGTATAATCTTAGGTACATCTATGTATTACAGAGCCATAGATGTTGAAAGCTAAAAGAAATGTGAAAAGTGATCTAGTTGATACCCTTAATTTTGCAGATTCAGTTCAAAAGACCTTTGTTAAACTCAACTCTATGCCAGCCATTATGCAAGTACAGAGGATGCAAGGCTGAACTATGTGCACAGAATAGCCAATAAGTATAGGCCAGGTGCAGAGGCTGATGTTTGTAATCCCAGCACTTTCGAAGGTCAAAGCAGGAAGATCACTTGAAGACAGGAGTCCAAGACCAGCCAACAGAGCGAGACCCCATCTAGAAAAAAAAATTAGCTGGGCATGGTGGTATGCATCTGTAGTCCTAGCTACTTGGGAGGCTAAGGTGGGAGGATTGCTTGAGCCCAGGAGGTTGAGGCTACAGTGAATTAGGATTGTGCCACTGCACTCTAGCCTGGGTGGCAGAGCAAGACCCTGTCTCAAAAAAAAAAAAAAAAAAAAACCCAACAAACAAACAAACAAACAAACAAAAATCCCCAGGGAAGCATATCCTAAAGTATCTTTTGAAAACTCCCCCCCCCCAAAAAAAAAAAAATATATATACATATATATAACCCAGGGAAGCATACCCTAAAGTATCTTTTGAAAACTTGGGTTCCACAGAATGTTAGTTTTATGAAGAAAAAAGTTACTGTTATCAATATATTTGTGAAATTCTAGGTTCAATAAAATTAAACAATTAAACATGCTCTTTATTGTAAGACTTTTTAGGGCCTTTACTGTGTATATATTAGCCTGAACAAATGTTTGTCAAATGAAGGTTCTTGGATGAAAGTGTATTGTACATCCCTCTCAGGTAGTGAGGTGAGGGTGGGACAAAGTATGCTACGTTTCTCAAACTTCTCTGTACACATAGCTCTTTTTCTTGAAATACATGCCTTAAATATTGCACTTTGGACACATTTGGGGAGTGAGAACAGAAGGGGGAATGCAAGCATTCCTTTTTCATTCCTTCCTTTCCTTTGGACTTCTGCCTCAGTGTCTTTTGCACTTCTGTTTCTTCATGAAATGCAGATACAGCCCCGAACCCCAGTATGCTGGTTGGGAAACTCAGACAATCTAGCTTCACTCTTACTAGAACCCTGTTCTGGGTGCTGTGTCCTGTGCCAGACACCTCAGGATAGACATTCGGCTTCAAATGGACTGAAGTTCCAAGCCATGATGTCGATGTTCACCAGAATTTGAGAATTACCCATCTGTTAGATTGAACCTTAAATGCTCTCTGTTGAAATTAGCCACCTTCTTCTTGGCAATTGAATTACCCTTGGCGAAGAATTACCCTGGTTCAGGTCCTGAATTACAGTAGCCTCAATACTTTACGTTTGGGTTGAGCCACATGCAATTACTGTTTTTGGGGAATTAAAAACAGTTAAGTATTGGCACTTGCATAGTTTTACCTAATATCACTTCATCTTTACAATGTTTCTATGAGTTAAGCCTGAGCTGGGCCAGACCAAGGCACGTGGGTATTGTGGCAGTCCAATAATTTGTACCTTTTCAAATTGATCCTTTAAAATCCCTAGTACTTATAGAGAGCCTGAATGTAGTGTGGCAAAGTGGATAAAGGGGATCCCTGTTGGCCATGGCAGCAATTCTTCTATTTTACAGAACAATTAAGCTCTGGCCCAGGAATTCATAAAGCACTCTGCCAAACAAAAACCCTACTGTTAACCAGACACACCTGTCCTTAGAAGGTGGTTTGGCAACTATTACTGTTTATTGTTACTTAATACTGTTCTTCTCCCTCAGCAATTGAATAAAATATTTCTTCTAGCCAGATATTTCTTCTCTGTGAAAAAAATTCTGAGAAATAGTTTTTTTTTCTCCCATCTCATTTTATTTTCAATGATATTTTGAGGCATCATAAATAACTGCCTGGAAGACATGATAGATTTCATCTGGCTCTGGATATTTTATCCCCATTTTGCAGATGAGGAATTCAGAGTTCAGACAGGTTAATGGGCTTGTTAAAGGCCACACTGCCAATATGTGCTGGAGCTGGGATTTGAACTCAGGTCTGAAGGACTCCCAATCTGGTTGTCTTAATCATGACAGGATCTTGCTTTGTCTGTCCTCAGGCATGGTTTCCCTTGTTACATTAGCTAAAAACATCATGCTCAAGAGCTTGTTACTCTGTCACTTACTAGTTGTACATCTTGGGTAAGTTACTTAACCTCTCTGGTTCAGTTTCCTCATCTGTAAAGTAGAAATAATAAAGATTCACCTTTAAAAGTGTTGTTGTGAAGACTCAATGGCTTAAAAATAATAGTTAATGCTATTATTGTTATTCCGTATCTCCTCCCACTTATTTCTATTTTCCCTACGTTTCCAGTGGCCTGTGTTGCTGAAGACCCAGTCAGTATTTCTTGGGCTATAATTTACTTAATCTGGAGCCAGCCTATTTGAGAGGCCAGAGAAGCTGCATCCTTATTCCCCTCTCCACTTGGAACTGATTCCGAGGAATTCTAAATGGCCAACATTAGGAGTTTAGATGATAGAAATTAAATAGCCATCAATAATACCCTAATGTTCAACATTTAAGTTGTGCCAAATGTTTGTAATTATATGTACAAAGAGCAGGGACAATTAGTGGAAAATGAACTAGAAAATTAAAAGATTGAGAAACTGAAAATATAAACAATGACCTGACCAAATGTGACAATAGATTTCTGACCTACAAACTCTATAGCAAGCAACCTGGGAAGTCAAACTACTAACTCTGGAGCAAACTACTAACTCTGGAGCAATCCACCCAGGACTTGGTCAGTGACTGCCAACTTCCGTGTTTTTTTCTTCCACTGCTAACTCAGGACCAACTAGGGAGAGCCAAATATACTCCCCAAACCAATGACATAAGATGTCCTTCCACTATTTATCCTGCCTCCAGCTTCCCAATCCCAACAACCTCCTATCAAAGCACACTTGAAGCTTTGTGTCTTTTTTTTCACTATAAAGATTTCCACTTCCTTACCTGACTTGAGCCTCTACCAAATTCAAGTGGTGGTGGCTGACTCCCTTGCTGTCATAAGCTCTGAATAAGTAGCCTCTGCTTGTTCTAATTTGGGTGGTCTTTGTTTATTTCTAGAGATTTTCTGGAGCTTCCACTGACATATGGTCTATACTGCCCAGCACCGTGGATCCCAGCCTTCAGCCAGGTGCAGCAGCCACAGAAAGCCCTTGTGCCTTACTGTTCACAGTTTGTCGAGTCAATGCTTATGCGGAAGGTTATCACTGAGTCTGAGCTCCATGCTCTTGTGTTGGGTTCCCTGGCTATCTATTCTCAGTTTAGCACCTGGGTTTTATTTTATTTTATATTTTATTTTATTTTATTTTTGAGGCAGGTTCTCGCTCTTGTTGCCCAGGCTGGAGTACAGTGGCGCGATCTCCGCTCACTGCAACCTCGGCCTCCCGGGTTCAAGCAATTCTTCTGCCTCAGCCTCTTGTGTAGTTGGGATTACAGGTGCCCACCACCACACCCGGCTAATTTTTGTATTTTTGGTAGAGACAGGGTTTTGCCATGTTGGCCAGGCTGACCTTGAACTCCTGACTTCAGGTGATCCGCCTGCTCAGCCTCCCAAAGTGTTGGGATTACAGGCGTGGGCCACCATGCCCGGCTGCACCTGGGTTTCATTATTGGTTCCCATTTGTTTGGAATTCTTGGTGGAATAAGGCCACTCCTTTTTATCCCTTTCTTCTCTTTTTTTGTGTTTTTACATAGGACTTGTAGGCCCGTTGTTTGAGCCAGCCTTGTAGATGGGTGAGTTTGTGGTTCTCACTGGACTAGCATCTATACAGACAAACTTTGCTTGGGTCACCAATAAAACTGGATAAGTTTCTTCTTCTGTCTAGACTGTTTTGTCTTGAGAGCTTGGCTTTGATTCAGAGAGAGTCTTTTCTCTGGTTTTATGACTGCTGGGGGTGCTGCTTGCTTTTGGAGGCAGCCAACTGTCAGGTAGGGGTCCTGGGACACGAAGTGCAAAAGCATCACTTTTGACTGACTGTTGCCAGCTCTCCTGGGTTGTTTAAATAGAAATCCTCCCCAACTGCTGGAAGAAACTTCTATGTCTCATCTATATTCTCATAACAATATGAACTTTTGTGCTTATCTCTTTAAATAGTAGAATTTTGCCACAGATGCTTTGGGCATTCAGTGGCCACTTTGGAGAATGTTTGAACTTGAACAAAACTGTTCATTTGAGAGATGCTTTAGAAAATAAAAGGAATTAAGCTTTCTCAGGCCCAATTGGTAGCATTTAAAAAATTTAATTAGTATTCAGAGGCCTCAAAACAAAACTCTGAGAAAACATTGCTTTACTAAGAGATTTTTTTTTTTTTTTGGCCAAAGCAAGTGAACAATTTGACACACTTAGGTAACAATATACTGTATTTATTTTCCCTAGTAAATTGTCTTCCTCCTTGTCCTCCAGGTACTTCCCTATGTCCAGCTCTACTTTTTTTCTCTATTTTTCAAATCTTTCCTCTTCTGCACACCCATGGACTCATCTTACCTACTCACCTTGTCCAGATGCCCTACCTTTTCCTAAAGACTTGTTTAAAGGCCTCAAAATGTCAATTGCCTCTAAACATCTATCATCTTGCCCATGAGCCAGATGAAAGCTACAGTAGAATTAAAACCTTGGAGCCAAGCTGAATTAAGAACTATAATTATGAAGTTCTCTTAATCCAGGCATGATCAGCAGCTATTCATAGAAGAATTTAGAATTGTTTTGAGTGCATATACCTCGTATGCACTCAATAGAGTTAACTGATTTATATCCACTTGTACTGATGTTGGTTGGAATCTTAGATACTAAATTCTTGGTGGCAAAAGAAATGAGACTGATCCAAAAAGGGGCCTGTAGGATCCCCCTTTCCCTAATAAATCTCAGAGTCAAAAAATAGGGCTGGAAAGTAGGACAAAGTTTCCCAAAAGCCATATCTTAAACATTTGCAATAAAAATTAATTGGACTGCAATTAAATCATGCAAACAGAGAAAAGATGAAACTATAGAGGATTTTAGGATAGGCTAGAAAATACCATCTGACAACATCTGGTAGTTAAAGAAGATGTTGACATAACAGCAGCCCTTTCATTGGGGACCTAATAAGAAAACAGAAATTAGAACGGAAAGTAAGCCTTTTACCTGAACTACAACACCAGGTAGAATGTCTTGAAAGGGCTCTAGAACAAAATGAGAGAGGAACCAAATAAACTTACACCTCTGCAGACCAAACAGCTGGGTGGCTAACTTCCTAACAGACTATCTATTAACAAAGATACCTGTAGAAATTGTAAACAGAAGGAACAAGGGAAAAAAGATGGTTTCATCTTGGAAAAGAAAAGCCATGATAAAGAAAAATTTCTCAATTCAGATCAACAAGAGCTCTCTAAGGAAGAAAACAGTGCCCAACATTTTGCCTTAGTCTTAAACATACAGGATGAATTAACTATAAATATAAATGTTGAAACCTCACCAGATTCTGGTAGATATATGTACTACTCTTTCTATATTAAACTCTGCCTCCTTTACTCAACTTCTTCCTTGGAGTAAACATACCACACAGGTGGTAGGTATTTCAAATAATGTATAGATTCCCTGTCTCCTAGGCTTTGACTATAACCTTGACCCTGATTGTAAAGCATTCCTTTCTGCTCTGTGATACCACTGTTGTAAATATAATGAGAGACTTATTTTGCAAATGGAATTGTAATATTAAAAGAACACCAGAGGAACAACTTCTTTAGGACTTTGAGGTCTGCTGTGTTCATAATGAAGTTGTGCCTGCTCTGGGTATACCTTTGCTTTCTTCATTATTGTTGATGTATATACCCCATGCAGAGATCTTGACACTCTGTGAATGAAAATGCCACTGACATAAGGAAAATAATTGGACAGACCTATTAAAGTTCTGCCAAACTGTTACCCAAACTTCCCTAACATCCCTTGAAGCAAGAGAGAGCGAGAGAGAGAGAGAGAAAATAAAGACACAAGCCTATAGTTGAAGGCTTTTTAGCCAAAGGCCTTTTCATACCCCATAGTAGGCCTAGTAACCATTCTGTTCATCCAGTGAAACAAAACAAAACAAAACAACAAACAAAAAACCAAAAACAACCAACCAAATGGATAAAGATGTTGATTAGTTGAAGATCTCAGAACCATCAACAGAATTGTAATTCCTCCATTTCTGGTAATATCTAACGTAAATATCTTCCTTAGGCCACTTGCTTCACTATAGTAGACATTTGTTCTGCCTTTTTTAGTCTGTCTTTAGTCAAAGATAAAAAAACATTTTTGCCCTCCCCTGAGGAGGATGACAAAGTATTTGAATAGTGATGCCCCAGGTATTCACTGAAATCACCTTCTGTTTTTCCCAGGTCCCCAATTAAGACTTAAAAGACCTAAATTTTCCTTATGATTCTGATATAATATGCAGCTGATCTACTTTGCTCAGAGAACAAGAAAGCCTGTACAATGTATACCATTTACTTCCTCATATATATATATATATATATATATATTTTTTTTTTTTTTTTATTATATTTTAACTTCTAGGGTACATGTGCACAATGTGCAGGTTTGTTACATATGTATACATGTGCCATGTTGGTGTGCTGCACCCATTTACTCATCACTTAACATTAGGTATATCTCCTAATGCTATCCCCCCCTCCCCCACCCCATGACAGGCCCTGGTGTGTGATGTTCCCCGTCCTGTGCCCCAGTGTTCTCATTATTCAATTCCCACCTATGAGTGAGAACATGCAGTGTTTGGTTTTTTGTCCTTACAATAGTTTGCTGAGAATGATGGTTTCCAGCTTCATTCATGTCCCTACAAAGGACATGAACTCATCCTTTCTTACACCAGTATTCCGTGGTGTATATGTGCCACATTTTCTTAATCCAGTCTATCACTGATGGACATTTGGGTTGGTTCCAAGTCTTTGCTATTGTGAATGGTGCTGCAATGAACATCCGTATGCATGTGTCTTTATAGCAGCATGATTTATAATCCTTTGGGTATACACCCAGTAAAGGGATGGCTGGGTCAAATGGTATTTCTAGTTCTAGATCCTTGAGGAATCGCCACACTGTCTTCCACAATGGTTGAACTAGTTTACAGTACAGTCCCACCAACAGTGCAAAAATGTTCCTATTTCTCCACATCCTCTCCAGCACCTGTTGTTTCCTGACTTTTTAATGATTGCCATTCTAACTGGTGTGAGATGGTATCTCATTGAGGTTTTGATTTGCATTTCTCTGATGGCCAGTGATGATGAGCATTTTTTCATGTGTCTCTTGGCTGCATAAATGTCTTCTTTTGAGAAGTGTCTGTTCATATCCTTCACCCACTTGTTGATGGGGTTGTTTTTGTCTTGTAAACTTCTTTGAGTTCTTTGTAGATTCTGGATATTAGCCCTTTGTCAGATGAGTAGATTGCAAAAATTTTCTCCCATTCTGTAGGTTGCCTTTCACTCTGATGGTAGTTTCTTTTGCTGTGCAGAAGCTCTTTAGTTTAATGAGATCCCATTTGTCAATTTTGGCTTTTGTTGCCATTGCTTTTGGTGTTTTAGACAGAAGTCCTTGCCCATGCCTATGTCTTGAATGGTATTGCCTAGGTTTTCTTCTAGGGTTTTTATGGTTTTAGGTGTTACATTTAAGTCTTTAATCCATCTTGAATTAATTTTTGTGTAAGATGTAAGGAAGGCATCCAGTCCCAGCTTTCTACATATGGCTAGCCAGTTTTCCCAGCACCATTTATTAAATAGGGAATCCTTTCTCCATTTCTTGTTTTTGTCAGGTTTGTCAAAGATCAGATGGTTGTAGATGTGTGGTATTATTTCTGAGGGTTCTGTTCTGTTCCATTGGTCTATATCTCTGTTTTGGTACCAGCAGCATGCTGCTTTGGTTACTGTAGCCTTGTATTATAGTTTGAAGTCAGGTAGCGTGATGCCTCCAGCTTTCTTATTTTGGCTTAGGATTGTTGTGGCAATGCGGGCTCTTTTTTAGTTCCATATGAACTTTAAAGTAGTTTTTTCCAATTCTCTGAAGAAAATCATTGGTAGCTTGATGGGGATGGTATTGAATGTATAAATTACCTTGGGCAGTATGGCCATTGTCACGATATTGATTCTTCCTATCCATGAACATGGAATGTTCTTCCATTTGTTTGTGTCCTCTTTTATTTCATTGAGCAGTGGTTCGTAGTTCTCCTTGAAGAGGTCTTTCACATCCCTTGTAAGTTGGATTCCTAGGTATTTTATTCTCTTTGAAGCAATTGTGAATGGGAGTTCACTTATGATTTGGCTTTCTGTTTGTCTGTTATTGGTGTATAAGAATCCTCGTGATTTTTGCACATTGATTTTGTATCCGGAGACTTTGCTGAAGTTGCCTATCAGCTTAAGGAGATTTTGGGCTGAGATGATGGGGTTTTGTAGATATACAATCATGTCATCTGCAAACAGGGACAGTTTGACTTCCTCTTTTCCTAACTGAATACCCTTAATTTCCTTCACCTGCCTGATTGCCCTGGCCAGAACTTCCAACACTATGTTGAATAGGAGTGGTGAGAGACGGCATCCCTGTCTTGTGCCAGTTTTCAAAGGCAATGCTTCCAGTTTTTGCCCATTCAGTATGATATTGGCTGTGGGTTTGTCGTAAATAGCTCTTATTATTTTGAGATATGTCCCATCAATACCTAATTTATTGAGAGTTTTTAGCATGAAGGGCTGTTGAATTTTGTTAAAGGCCTTTTCTGCGTCTATTGAGATAATCATGTGGTTTTTGACTTTGGTTCTGTTTATATGCTGGATTACCTTTGTGTATGTTGAACCAGCCTTGCATGACAGGGATGAAGCCCACTGGATCATGGTGGATAAGCTTTTTGATGTGCTGCTGGATTCAGTTTGCCAGTTTTTTATTAAGGATTTTTGCATCGATGTTCATCAGGGATATTGGTCTAAAATTCTCTTTTTTTGTTGTGTTTCTGCTAGACTTTGGTATCAGGATGATGCTGGCCTCATAAAATGAGTTAGGGAGGATTCCCTCTTTTTCTATTGATTGGAATAGTTTCAGAAGGAATGGTACCAGCTCCTCCTTGTACCTCTCGTAGAATTTGGCATGAATCTGTCTGGTCCTGGACTTTTCTTGATTGGTAGGCTATTAATTATTGCCTCAAGTTCACAGCCTATGATTGGTCTATTCAGGGATTCAATTTCTTCCTGGTTTAGTCTTGGGAGGGTGTATGTGTCCAGGAATTTATCCATTTCTTCTAGATTTTCTAGTATATTTGCATAGAGGTGTTTATAGTATTCTCTGATGGTAGTTTGTATTTCTGTGGGATTGGTGGTGATATCCCCTTTATCATTTCTTATTGCGTCTATTTGATTCTTCTCTCATTTCTTCTTTATTAGTCTTGCTAGTGGTCTATCAATCTTGTTCGTCTTTTTAAAAAACCAGCTCCTGGATTCATTGATTTTTTGTAGGGTTTTTTGTGTCTCTATTTCCTTCAGTTCTGCTCTGATCTTAGTTATTTCTTGCCTTCTGCTAGCTTTTGAATGTGTTTGCTCTTGCTTCTCTAGTTCTTTCAATTGTGATGGTAGGGTGTCAATTTTAGATCTTTCCTGCTTTCTCTTATGGGCATTTAGTGCTATAAATTTCCCTCTACACACTGCTTTAAATGTGTCCCAGAGATTCTGGTATGTTGTGTCTTTGTTCTCATTGGTTTCAAAGAACATCTTTATTTCTGCCTTCATTTTGTTATGTACCCAGTAGTCATTCAGGAGTAGGTTGTTCAGTTTCCATGTAGTTGAGCAGTTTTGAGTGAATTTCTTAATCCTGAGTTCTAGTTTGATTGCACTGTGGTCTGAGAGAGTTTGTTATAATTTTTGTTCTTTTACATTTGCTGAGGAGTGCTTTACTTCCAACTATGTGGTCAATTTTGGAATAAGTGTGATGTGGTGCTGAGAAGAATGTATATTCTGTTGATTTGGGGTGGAGAGTTTTGTAGATGTCTATTAGGTCTGCTTGGTGCAGAGCTGAATTCAATTCCTGGATATCCTTGTTAACTTTCTGTCTCATTGATTTGTCTAATGTTGACAGTGGGGTGTTAAAGTCTCCCATTATTATTCTGTGGGAGTCTAAGTGTCTTTGTAGGTCTCTAAGGACTTGCTTTATGAATCTGGGTCCTCCTCTATTGGGTGCATATATATTTAGGATAGTTAGCTCTTCTTGTTGAATGGATCCCTTTACCATTATGTAATGGCCTTCTTTGTCTCTTTTGATCTTTGTTGGTTTAAAGTCTGTTTTATCAGAGACTAGGATTGCAACCCCTGCCTTTTTTTGTTTTCCATTTGCTTGGTAGATCTTCTTCCATCCCTTTAATTTGAGCCTATGTGTGTCTCTGCACGTGAGATGGGTCTCCTGAATACAGCACACTGATGGGTCTTGACTCTTTATCCAATTTGCCAGTCTGTGTCTTTTAATTGGAGCATTCAGCCCATTTACATTTAAGGTTAATATCGTTATGTGTGAATTTGATCCTGTCATTATGATGTTAGCTAGTTATTTTGCTCGTGAGTTGATGCAGTTTCTTCCTAGACTCGATAGTCTTTACAATTTGGCATGTTTTTGCAGTGGCTGGTACTGGTTGTTCCTTTCCATGTTTAGCACTTCCTTCAGGAGCTCTTTTAGGGCAGGCCTGGTGGTGACAAAATCTCTCAGCATTTGCTTGTCTGTAAAGGATTGTATTTCTCCTTCACTTATGAAGCTTAGTTTGGCTGGATATGAGATTCTGGGTTGAAAATTATTTTCTTGCAGTGGAGCCAAGATGGCCAAATAGGAACAGCTCCAGTCTACAGCTCCCAGTGTGAGTGATGCAGAAGATGGGTGATTTCTGCATTTCCAACTGAGGTACTGGGTTCATCTCACTGGGGAGTGTTGGACCGTGGGTGCAGGACAGTGGGTGCAGTGCTTCGAGCACGAGCTGAAGCAGGGAGAGGCATCGCATCACCTGGGAAGCTCAAGGGGTCAGGGAACTCCCTCTCCTAGTCAAAGAAGGGGGTGACAGATAGCACCTGGAAAATCGGGTCACTCCCACCCTAATACTGCACTTTTCTAATGGTCTGAGCAAACAGCACACCAGGAGATTATATCCCACACCTGGCTTGGAGGTTCCTATGCCCACGGAGCCTTACTCATTGCTAGCACAGCAGTCTGAGATCAAACTGCAATGCGGCAGCAAGGCTGGGGGAGGGGCGCCCGCCATTGCAGAGGCTTGAGTAGGTAAACAAAGCGGCCTGGAAGCTTGAACTGGGTGGAGCCCACTGCAGCTCAAGGAGGCCTGCCTGCCTGCCTCTGTAGACTCCACCTCTGGGGGCAGGGCATAGCCAAACAAAAGGCAGCAGAAAACTCTGCAGACTTAAATGTCCTTGTCTGACAGCTTTGAAGGGAGTAGTGATTCTCCCAGCATGGAGCTGGAGGTCTGAGAATGGTCAGACTGCCTCCTTAAGTGGGTCCCTGACCCCCGAGTAGCCTAACTGGGAAGCATCCCCCAGTAGGGGCAGACTGACACCTCACACGGCCAGGTACCCCTCTGAGACAAAACTTCCAGAGGAATGATCAGGCAGCAACATTTGCTGTTCACCAATATCTGCTGTTCTGCAGCCTCCGCTGCTGATACCCAGGCAAACAGGGTCTGGAGTGGACCTCCAGCAAACTCCAACAGACCTGCAGCTGAGGGTCCTGAATGTTAGAAGGAAAACTGACAAACAGAAAGGACATCCACACCAAAACCCCATCTGTACGTCACCGTCGTCAAAGACCAAAGGTAGACAAAACCACAAAGATGGTGAAAAAACAGATCAAAAAAACTGGAAACTCTAAAAATTAGAGCACCTCTCCTCCTCCAAAGGAACGCAGCTCCTCCCCAGCAATGGAATGAAGCTGGATGGAGAATGACTTTGATGAGTTGAGAGAAGAAGGCTTCAGATGATCAAACTAATCCGAGCTAAAGGAGGAAGTTCAAACCCATGGCAAAGAAGTTAAAAACCTTGAAAAAAAAAATTAGACGAATGGCTAACTAGAATAACCAATGCAGAGAACTCCTTAAAGGACCTGATGGCCTGAAAACCACGGCACGAGAACTACGTGATGAATGCACAAGCTTCAGTAGCCGATTTGATCAACTGGAAGAAAGGGTATCAGTGATGGAAGATGAAGTGAATGAAATGCAGTGAGAAGAGAATTTTAGAGAAAAAAGAATAAAAAGAAATGAACAAAGCCTCCAAGAAATATGGGACTATGTGAAAAGACCAAATCTATGTCTCACTGTGTACCTAAAAGTGGCGGGGAGAATGGAACCAAGTTGGAAAACACTCTGCAGGATATTATCCAGGAGAACTTCCCCAATCTAGCAAGGCAGGCCAATATTCAAATTCAGGAAATACAGAGAATGCCACGAAGATACTCCTGGAGAAGAGCAACTCCAAGACACATAACTGTCAGATTCACCAAGGTTGAAATGAAGGAAAAAATGTTAAGGGCAGCCAGAGAGAAAGGTCGGGTTACCCACAAAGGGAAGCCCATCAGACTAAGCTCATCTCTCGGCAGAAACTCTACAAGCCAGAAGAGAATGGGGGCCAATATTCAACGTTCTTAAAGAAAAGAATTTTCAACCCAGTATTTCATATCCAGCCAAATTAAGCTTCATAAGTGAAGGAGAAATACAATCCTTTACAGACAAGAAATGCTGAGAGATTTTGTCACCACTAGGCCTGCCCTAAAAGAGCTCCTGAAGGAAGCGCTAAACATGGAAAGGAACAACCGGTACAGGCCCCAGAAAAAACATGCCAAATTGTAAAGACCATCGAGGCTAGGAAGAAACTGCATCAACTCACGAGCAAAATAACTAGCTAACATCATAATGACAGGATCAAATTCACACATAACGATATTAACCTTAAATGTAAATGGGCTGAATGCTCCAATTAAAAGACACAGACTGGCAAATTGGATAAAGAGTCAAGACCCATCAGTGTGCTGTATTCAGGAGACCCATCTCACGTGCAGAGACACACATAGGCTCAAATTAAAGGGATGGAAGAAGATCTACCAAGCAAATGGAAAACAAAAAAAGGCAGGGGTTGCAATCCTAGTCTCTGATAAAACAGACTTTAAACCAACAAAGATCAAAAGAGACAAAGAAGGCCATTACATAATGGTAAAGGGATCCATTCAACAAGAAGAGCTAACTATCCTAAATATATATGCACCCAATAGAGGAGGACCCAGATTCATAAAGCAAGTCCTTAGAGACCTACAAAGACACTTAGACTCCCACAGAATAATAATGGGAGACTTTAACACCCCACTGTCAACATTAGACAAATCAATGAGACAGAAAGTTAACAAAGATATCCAGGAACTGAACTCAGTTCTGCACCAAGCGGACCTAATAGACATCTACAAAACTCTCCACCCCAAATCAACAGAATATACATTCTTTTCAGTACCACACCACACCTATTCCAAAATTGACCACATAGTTGGAAGTAAAGCACTCCTCAGCAAATGTAAAAGAACAAAAATTATAACAAACTCTCTCAGACCACAGTGCAATCAAACTAGAACTCAGGATTGAGAAACTCACTCAAAACTGCTCAACTACATGGAAACTGAACAACCTGCTCCTGAATGACTACTGAATACATAACAAAATGAAGGCAGAAATAAAGAGGTTCTTTGAAACCAATGAGAACAAAGACACAGCATACCAGAATCTCTGGGACACATTTAAAGCAGTGTGTAGAGGGAAATTTATAGCACTAAATGCCCATAAGAGAAAGCAGGAAAGATCTAAAATTGACACCCTACCATCACAATTGAAAGAACTAGAGAAGCAAGAGCAAACACATTCAAAAGCTAGCAGAAGGCAAGAAATAACTAAGATCAGAGCAGAACTGAAGGAAATAGAGACACAAAAAACCCTACAAAAAATCAATGAATCCAGGAGCTGGTTTTTTAAAAAGACGAACAAGATTGATAGACCACTAGCAAGATTAATAAAGAAGAAATGAGAGAAGAATCAAATAGATGCAATAAAAATTGATAAAGGGGATATCACCACCAATTCCACAGAAATACAAACTACCATCAGAGAATACTATAAACACCTCAATGCAAATAAACTAGAAAATCTAGAAGAAATGGTTAAATTCCTGGACACATACACCCTCCCAAGACTAAACCAGGAAGAAATTGAATCCCTGAATAGACCAATAACAGGTTCTGAACTTGAGGCAATAATTAATAGCCTACCAATCAAAAAAAATTCCAGGTCCAGATGGATTCACAGCCAAATTCTACCAGAGGTACAAGGAGGAGCTGGTACCATTCCTTCTGAAACTATACCAATCAATAGAAAAAGAGGGAATCCTCCCTAACTCATTTTATGAGGCCAGCATCATCCTGATAACAAAGCGTGGCAGAGACACAACAAAAAAAGAGAATTATAGACCAATATCCCTGATGAACATCGATGCAAAAATCCTCAATAAAATACTGGCAAACCGAATCCAGCAGCACATCAAAAAGCTTATCCACCATGATCCAGTGGGCTTCATCCCTGAGATGCAAGGCTAGTTCAACATACCCAAATCAATAAACGTAGTCCAGCATATAAACAGAACCAATGACAAAAACCACTTGATTATCTCAATAGATGCAGAAAAGGCCTTTGACAAAATTCAACAGCCCTTCATGCTAAAAACTCTCAATAAATTAGGTATTGATGGGACATATCTCAAAATAATAAGAGCTATCTATGACAAACCCACAGTCAATATCATACTGAATGGGCAAACACTGGAAGCATTGCCTTTGAAAACTGGCACAAGACAGGGATGCCGTCTCTCACCACTCCTATTCAACATAGTGTTGGAAGTTCTGGCCAGGGCAATCAGGCAGGAGAAGGAAATAAAGGGTATTCAGTTAGGAAAAGAGGAAGTCAAACTGTCCCTGTTTGCAGATGACATGATTGTATATCTACAAAACCCCATCATTTCAGCCCAAAATCTCCTTAAGCTGATAGGCAACTTCAGCAAAGTCTCCGGATACAAAATCAATGTGCAAAAATCACAAGCATTCTTATACACCAACAACAGACAAACAGAGAGCCAAATCATGAGTGAACTACCATTCACAATTGCTTCAAAGAGAATAAAATACCTAGGAATCCAACTTACAAGGGATGTGAAGGACCTCTTCAAGGAGAATTACAAGCCACTGCTCAATGAAATAAAAGAGGACACAAACAAATGGAAGAACATTCCATGTTCATGGATAGGAAGAATCAATATCGTGACAATGGCCATACTGCCCAAGGTAATTTATACATTCAATACCATCCCCATCAAGCTACCAATGATTTTCTTCAGAGAATTGGAAAAAACTACTTTAAAGTTCATATGGAACCAAAGAAGAGCCTGCATTGCTACAACAATCCTAAGCCAAAAGAACAAAGCTGGAGGCATCACGCTACATGACTTCAAACTATAATGCAAGGCTACAATAATCAAAATAGCATGGTACTGGTACCAAAACAGAGATATAGACCAATGGAATAGAACAGAGCCATCAGAAATAATGGCACATATCTACCACTATCTGATCTTTGACAAACCTGACAAAAGCAAGAAATGGGGAAAGGATTCCCTATTTAATAAATGGTGCTGGAAAACTGGATAGCCATATGTAGAATGCTGAAACTGGATCCCTTCCTTACACCTTATACAAAAACTAATTCAAGATGGATTAAAGACTTACATGTTAGACCTAAAACCATAAAAACCCTAGAAGAAAACCTAGGCAGTACCATTCAGGACATAGGCATGGGCAAGGACTTCATGTCTAAAACACCAAAAGCAATGGCAACAAAAGCCAAAATTGACAAATGGGATCTCATTAAAGAGCTTCTGCACAGCAAAAGAAACTACCATCAGAGTGAAAGGCAACCTACAGAATGGGAGATAATTTTTGCAATCTACTCTTCTGACAAAGGGCTAATATCCAGAATCTACAAAGAACTCAAACAAATTTACAAGACAAAAACAACCCTATCAACAAGTGGGTGAAGGATATGAACATATGCTTCTCAAAAGAAGACATTTATGCAGCCAAGAGACACATGAAAAGATGCTCATCATCACTGGCCATCAGAGAAATGCAAATCAAAACCACACTGAGATACCATCTCACACCAGTTAGAATGGCGATCATTAAAAAGTCAGGAAACAACAGGTGCTGGAGAGGATGTTGAGAAATAGGAACACTTTTGCACTGTTGGTGGGACTGTAAACTAGTTCAACCATTGTGGAAGACAGTGTGGCGATTCCTCAAGGATCTAGAACTAGAAATACCATTTGACCTAGCCATCCCTTTACTGGGTATATACCTAAAGGATTATAAATCATGCTGCTATAAAGACACATGCATATGGATGTTCATTGCAGCACTATTCACAATAGCAAAGACTTGGAACCAACCCAAATGTCCATCAGTGATAGACTGGATTAAGAAAATGTGGCACATATACACCATGGAATACTATGCAGCCATAAGAAAGGATGAGTTCATGTCCTTTGTAGGGACATGAATGAAGCTGGAAACCATCATTCTCAGCAAACTATTGTAAGGACAAAAAACCAAACACTGCGTGTTCTCACTCATAGGTGGGAATTGAACAATGAGAACAAATGGACACAGGAAGGGGAACATTACACACTGGGGCCTGTTGTGGGGTGGGGGTATGGGGGCAGCATAGCATTGGGAGATACACCTAATGTTAAATGAAGAGTTAATGGGTGCAGCACACCAACATGGCACATGTATACATATGTAACAAACCTGCACATTGTGCACATATACCCTAAAACTTGAAGTAGAATAAAAAAAAAAAGGAAAAGAAAATTCTTTTCTTTAAGAATGTTGAATATTGGCCCCCACTGTCTTCTGGCTTGTACAGTTTCTGCTGAGAGATCCGCTGTTAGTCTAATGGGCTTCCCTTTGTGGGTAACCTGACCTTTCTCTCTGGCTGCCGTTAATATTTTTTCCTTCATTTCAACTTTGGTGAATCTGACAATTACGTGTCTTGGAGTTGCTCTTCTCGAGGAGTATCTTTGTGGTGTTCTCTGTATTTCCTGAAGTTGAATGTTGGCCTGCCTTGATAGGTTGGGGAATTTCTCCGGATAGTATCCTGCAGAGTGTTTTCCAACTTGGTTCCATTCTCCCCGTCACTTTCAGGTACACCAATCAGACGTAGATTTCGTCTTTTCACAGAGTCCCACATTTCTTGGAGGCTTTGTTCATTTCTTTTTACTCTTTTTTCTCTAAACTTCTCTTCTTGCTTCATTTCATTCATTTGATCTTCAATCACTGATACCCTTTCTTCCAGTTGATCGAATTGGCTACTGAAGCTTGTGCATTTGTCACGTAGTTCTCGTGCCATGGTTTTCAGCTCCATCAGGTCATTTAAGGACTTCTCTACACTGGTTATTCTAGTTAGCCATTCGTCTCATCTTTTTTCAAGGTTTTAGCTTCTTTGTGATGAGTTCGAACTTGCTCCTTCAGCTCGGAGAAGTTTGATCGTCTGAAGCCTTCTTCTCTCAACTCGTCAAAGTCATTCTCCATCCAGCTTTGTTCCATTGCTGGCGAGGAGCTGCGTTCCTTTGTTGGGGGAGAGGTGCTCTGATTTTCAGAATTTTCAGCTTTTCTGCTGTTTTTTTCCCCATCTTTGTGGTTTCGTCTACCTTTGGTCTTTGATGATGGTGATTTACAGGTGAGGTTTTGGTGTGGATGTCCTTTCTCTTTGTTAGTTTTCCTTCTAGCAGTCAGGATCCTAAGCTATGGGTCTGTTGGAGTTTGCTGGAGGTCCACTCCGGACCCTGTTTGCCTGGGTATCAGCAGCGGAGGCTGCAGAACAGCAAATATTGCTGAACAGCAAATGTTGCTGCCTGATCGTTCCTCTGGAAGCTTCGTCTCAGAGGGGTACCCAGCCGTGTGGGGTGTCAGTGTGCCCCTACTTGGGGGTGCCTCCCAGTTAGGCTACTCAGGGGTCAAGGACCCACTTGAGGAGGCAGTCTGACTGTTCTCAGATCTCAAACTCCGTGCTGGGAGAACCACTACTCTCTTCAAAGCTGTCAGACAGGGACATTTAAGTCTGCAGAGTTTTCTGCTGCCTTTTGTTCAGCTATGCCCTGCCCCCCAGAGGTGGAGTCTACAGAGGCAGGCAGGCAGGCCTCCTTGAGCTGCGGTGGGCTCCACCCAGTTTGAGCTTTCTGGCTGCTTTGCTTACCTACTCAAGCCTCAGCAATGGTGGGCGCCCCTCCCCCAGCCTCACTGCCACCTTGCAGTTTGATCTCAGACTGCTGTGCTAGCAATGAGTGAGGCTCCGTGGGCGTGGGACTCTCAGAGCCAGGCATGGGATGTAATCTCCTGGTGTGTTGTTTGCTAAGACCATTGGAAACGTGCAGTATTACGGTAGGAGTGACCCGATTTTCCAGGTGCCATCAGTCACAGCTTCCCTTGGCTAGGAAAAGGAATTCCCTGACCTCTTGTGCTTCCCAGGTGAGGTGATGCCTTGCCCCACTTGAGCTCACACTCGGTGGGCTGCATCCACTGTCCTGTACCCACTGTCTGACAAGCCCCAGTGAGATGAACCCAGTACCTCAGTTGGAAATGCAGAAATCACCCGTCTTTTGTGTTGCTCATGTTGGGAGATGTAGACTGGAGCTGTTCCTATTCGGCCATCTTGGAACCTGCCCCCTACTTCCTCATATTTTAAATGGAAAAGGACATAAAGTCCTAGAAGATAAATTACAATTTTTGCCAAAACATCGTCCATTATTTAGGACCAGACCCATCTATGGAGGGAAAAATGCAATCTCCTGATAGACTAAAGACCATCAAACTTATTCTAGACCCCTTGCTGAATGACATTTGAGAGAATTTCTAAGTTAAACTTGATATTGCAGAAGAGTGCCAAATTTTTTCTTAGATTTTCACACTTAATTATGAACTAAGTCCTCAGTAACAGGTAGGAAATAGGTAATATAAATTTGAATTCAGCAACCTTCTTAAGGTGATTGGCCAAATTCTTGCCACTTGAAACAGACTAATAAAGATAAAAATGTGTGATCCAGCTCATGTTCTATAGAGCTTATAAACACTTACCTTCTCACGTTCTATAGAGCTCCTCTGGGAATGCAAATATGAAAAGGCCTTCTAAAATTCGAAGATGGTTCTTCAGCAGCCTCCTTTCTTAGGCATCCCTAACTACAAAAATCCCTTTGGTCTACTTGTGCATGAACAATCTGGACGAGCACTGAGATTTTAACTCAACTTTAAAGGAGTCATCACAAACTCACCAGTTACTATAGCCTCACACTTGGTCCTATTACAAGAGCTTAAGCCCTTGTATATCTTAGGACAATAGCTGCTGCAACCAAACTCATTCATGCCTCTGAGGAACTAGTTTTTAGCTCCTTGCTTGACCCCACAGTTTCTCACCCAGCACAGAATTACTACTGATTGAGCACACATTATGTTTCCCAGCCATCTGATTAACTACTTAAGAGATTCTGTCACTTTCTTCCTTTCCTATTACTATTTACCACTAAAACACTCTCAGTCCTGCCATTCTCCTGCCCCTAAAGGAAGCAAGGGAAAACTTATCATTCTCTAACCTCAATTAGGGAGCTCTCTTTATTTTACTGATGTGTAGAAGAGACTCCCATCAAGAACTTGGTCTAAATATTATTTGTTGATGGACCATACTTAAATCAGAAGGTAGTAGTTATCAAACAGGATATCCTATCACTAATTTAAGCTCTTCTTTAGAATATAGTTCTCTACTTCAGGTAAAATAAACCTGGATGGCAGAACTTATTGTATTTACTAGAGCATGTAAACTGGCCAAAGACCAGAATGTAAATATATGTACAATAACATGTATGCTTTTGGAGTAATACTTGACTTTTAAGATGCTTTGGAAGCAAAAGGTTTCTCATCTTCTCTGACATCCTCATTAAAAATAGACAAGTTAAGGAACTTTTAGATACTACTTCTACTTCCTAGTGAGGTAGCTATTATATAGATTGAGGCCCATAGAAAAAGAGCTGGATTTCATCCAGCTTCCTCTCTCCATGGAGTTTATGTTTTAGTTATTATATGTCTATTTTCAGTATGTGTTGATGTTGAAGTATTTCCTTGCCAAAAAGCTACAGAACTTATAGTTACTACAAAGCTGCTTGATTTTTTGTTTCCAATCTGGGGTATTCCAATTTTTATATATTAAGTAACTGAGACGCACACTTTACAAGAACCATTATAAAAGAACACTGTAAGGCATTATCAAAGCTGAAAACTACACTGCTTTTTTCCATCCAAATCTTTTGGAAAGGTAGAAAGAACCAATGGCACCCTTAAATTAAAAGTAGCATACTTATAAAACCTTTTAATAATCCTTTTTCTTTCTTGACCAAAGGTATTTCTACTAGCCATTATGGCCGTATGATCCACTCCCTTGCAAACAATCAGTTATTCCCTTATTAACTGGTAACTAGAAGCATCATGAATTAATAGATTTCATCTTTAATACTAGATTCTGCCCTGTCACATGAAGACATGGCAAAATACTGCAAGGGACTCAAGTACTGTGTCCATTTCTACCACCAATATTTTAAGGCCATTCTCTCACACATCTAACTAAGCAAAGTTTTCATGACTTGCAATGAGGAGATTTCATCTGCCGGAAGAGACATAATAGAAAAACTGCACTCAAACCTCATTGGAAGGTACTTTAACAACAAATGCAGGAGTGGAACTCCTGGAAATTAATCCTTGGATTTCTGTTTTACAATGAAAAAAAACAATACAGAATTCCATACAATTGGAAGGCCATTATATGTTAATATGGACCCTCAAACAAGATTTTCAGAGATTCTCTAGAAGCAGGTGATCTTTGGAAGTAGTCTTCTGACCTGAGACCATGAGAACAATCTTATGACCTCAGATAATGGACAGCTTCCCCTCCAGACCAAGACCCCTGTATAATTCCTGTTTTGTTTTTCATCTGCTTGCTTATAAACACTTTTCTTCTCATGTTCTATAGATCCCTGATTGTTGTCCACCCATAATGGCTTCTTTTTTATTTTCATTCATCTTTATGATAACTATTAGGTTGGAACATTCTCATTCAAACTCATTCTTTGATTATTCCAAACCATAGCCCTGCCTTCAACTTTACCAACTTTTGGATATGCCATTAATCAATGGACCCCCATGATATCTTAGGGCAATTTCAGTCTCACCAAATGAAGCCATGAGGAACTACTGATTGCATTTCCATTTGCACCTACAAGGACAAATGTACTAAAATGAACCAACCTATAACTTTGCCAGTGTCCTTCTTTCCCCCAGAAAAGGAGTACATTGTTACAATCTATTGATTGGAACTTAGGTAATATAAATTTGAATTCAGCAACTTTCTTAAGGTAATTGGCCAAATTCTTGCCACTTGGAAGAGACTAGTAAAGATAAAAATGTGTGACACAGCTAAAATAAAGCATTGATTCTGACCTCATGCCATAAACAACTAAATTTTTTCCTAAGTGTCCATGTGCCACTATCATATACTTCTAGGACTTCCCGGTCATCTTTTCTTCTGCACTTTAGAAATAATATTCTAAGACCTGTCAGTATACAGAGATTCTAATTCTATAGATCACCAAGGCTGGAAATTCTAACTTAGTTGATAGCTCCATCGTAAGTCCTCCATTTGGGGGAATTACTTACTCATTGTTTATGGGAACAATGAAAGGAATGATCCCAGTGGTGAGACTCAAACAAGTAGAAAATATTGAAAGAAACTTAGAATTAACTCAGCAGAAGTTATTAATTAATGTACTCCTTCTGCCTTAGATAGAGTACAGATCAATGTCAACTTGTTGGCAGGAGTAATGATGGACAATGTCATTACTCTAAATTTCTTGTTGGCTAGTCAATGTGGTGTTTGTATCATTGTTAATAATTCTTATTTACTTAGATCTGTGAAGCAGGCATAGTCAAGTAGGCTACACTTCACCTTAAAGAAAAAGTGACTTGATGTTCTAAGATTCATCCTCTTGGGCTCTGGGATTCATTCTGTTTACCTGAGTTAGGCAATTGGGGTTCCTGGGTCTAGCTGTCTTAGTGGGACTATTACTTGTCTTTGTTTTGGTCAAAGTTGTTGTAAGCTTGTTCATTATATTCTATCCAGAGTCTTAAATGCTTTTGTGTAGCAGCTCTCTCATCAAATGATTGTCATGATGATACAGCAGTAAAAAGATCAAGAAGATCTTGTGATACGGTTGACTATGGAGACAAGCAGACAACCTTCCATCAGTGAAGATCTGCATTTCTGGTCTTCCTTGAATTGACCAACCTGTTGCAAGTGAGAGAATGACTGAAAGGGGGGACTGAGGGACGTTGTCTAGACAGTGACCAGATCATATATGGCAGTAGAACATTGACCAACAACCTTTCTGGCTATTGATCCTGGAAAGCAAATCATGACCTTCACATCAATTGACCCCAAACAGTCAGAACTTCGTCAATGACTGCCAGCTTTCCTATTTGTGGCTTTCACTTCTAATTCCGGACCAACCAGAGAAAACCAAATATGCTCCCTGTATTAGTCTGTTTTCATGCTGCTGATAAAGACATACCTAAGACTGGGTAATTTATATTAAAAAAAAAGAGGTTTAATGGACTCACAGTTCCACGTGGCTGGGGAGGCCTCACAATCATGGTGGAAGGAGAAAGGTGAAAGGCACATCTTACATGGCAGCAGGCAAGAAAGAACTTCTGTAGGGGAACTCCTCTTTATAAAACCATCAGATCTCGTGAGACTTATTCACTATCATGAGAACAGCACAGAAAAGACCTGCCCCCATGATTCAGTTACCTCCCACTGGGTCCCTCCCACAACACATGAGAATTATGAGAGCTACAATTCAAGATGAGATTTGGGTGGGGACACAGCCAAACCATATCACTCCCTAAAAAAAAAAATCACATAATATATCCCATTTTTATAGCCTGTCTCCAGCTTCCCCATGCCAACAACTTCTAATTAGAGCATACCTGAACACTCCCCCTTTTCTCTCTCTCTCTCTCTTTTTTTTTTTTAACTATAAAGCTTTCCTTGCTTCTTCTGCCTGACTTTGAGTCTCTGCCAAATGGAAGTGACGATGGCTGATTCCTTTGCTATAGTAAGCCTTGAATAAATAGCCTCTATTTTTCTCATTTTTGTGGTCTTTTTTTCTACAAGAAAAAAGTAAAATCCTCTTGAAATTGTATACAATGATTAAAAAGGCTTAAAACTCAGAAAGCCTCTACAACTATTCCACAGAAAAACTGAGTTATTGTTAATATTCAATGAATGATTTTGCTTCATGGTGATATGTTAACACTAAGGTCAGATTATTTCTTTTTAGCAGGGCT